>NC_000016.10:31008144-31323351 GCF_000001405.40 Homo sapiens
CTGCCAGGTGTCTCCTGCATCCCAGGCTCCTTGCTTTCAACTGTAGCAGGGAGACCCTTACGCTACCTGAATCTGTCAGCTTTTCCCACCCCGCCCGCCCCCTCTTGAATCTCCAGTTTCCCTGAGCTGTGACTAATACCAAAGCCACCACATCCACTCAGCCCCTTCACCCTTCCACACCACCTCCGGCAGCCACAGCCAACAGGATTCCTTACCTCTGAGCAGGGGCCCCTGACTCATTCATGAGGCCTCCCCCTCCCCTGCCTCCCCCTTACCCCGCTTAGCCTTTTCCCTCCCTCTTTCTCGAATTGTACCCCAATTCCACACCACCTGATCCCAACCCACTTCCATTTCCCTGGGTTTTGGAGTCATGGAATAGTCCTGGTAGCAGGGGAACTGGGTTCAAGTCCGGATCCCTCACCTGCTAGCTGTGTGACCTTTGGAAAGTTATTCAACCACTCTGGGCCTCAGTTTCCCCAACTCTAAAATGAAAGAGCCTCCCCGTCCACTTGCCAGGAGGTCAGTGGGGCTCTAATGACATCACGGATGAAAGCCTGCTCTGCAAACTGAGGAGGGGAATTGACAGCACCGATGCTGAAGCCGGCCTGCCTGGGTTTGAATCCTGCCTTTACCAGCTGTGTGACTTTGGTCTAATTACTTAACCTCTCTGAGCTTAGTGTCCTTATCTATAAAATGAGATAACATATATCTATATATCTAAAAAGATATTTATATATCTATGAAATGAGATAACCAGTCTCATAGGATTGCTGTGAGGATCAAAATGAGTGAATATGCATAAAACACTTCAAACAATGTTTATTATTACTGTCACTTTCCTCATGCCTGAGTGTATATTCAGTAAAAATGTAATAAAGAAACCTTTAAAATTCCCTCCCTCAGCCACCAGCTCCTCCTTGCTTCCCATTTGGCAACCTGTCTGTCCCCAGAGACAGCGGTCACTTGCCTCCAAACACCTTCTTCTCGTCTGTCTGTAACCTGGGTCCCCACCCCCAAATCCAGGGGACAGCTCTTCACCCCCAGTGCTGAAACTTCTGTTTCAAAGGCCAGAAAAGCAGAGACCTGTGTCAACCTAGCAGACAGGAAACCCAGATTGCAGTCTGCCCCCCACCCACTTGCTTGGTGACCTTGGACAAGTCCCTTCCCACGCCTGAATCTCAGTTTCCTCATCTGTCAAGTGGGGTAATAACCCCTGGGGTAACAACCCACCAGTTCCCTGTAAAGGCTCAGTGCATTGGGCAGCTCAGCCGGGGCCGGTACCCTTATTAACATAACACCACCAGCCCAGCACAGTGCGGACTGTCAGTGCTGCCTCCTCGGGCCCCAGGTCATTTCTCCAAATACCCCAGCGTCCTCCCTGCCCCTGAAACCATTCTCATCGAACCCCACTCCCCAGTTCCTCCAGGTAGCAGCCTCCACTGCAGTCCTTCCCCTGTCCCCCCAAAACCAGGGACTGCCTGGCCAGACTCTTGGAGCCGGGCCTCTTCAGGCCTGCAGACCTGGGGCCTGCATCAGCCCTTGACTGCCCGGGGTGCCCCAGTTCCCCCAAGCAGAGCACGGCCCGTGTTCCATGGCCCTCTCCTCTGCATCCCCATCTCCCACCTCTGGGTCACCCTGTCTCAGGCCCTGGCCCTCTGGCTCTCTCCGGAGGCCACCTCTTCCCTCCCTGTCTCGGAGAGATGCCCCCTCCCTATAGGGAGTGACACACGCGTGTGCACACACACACACACTTCATTCACTGCCAGGTGCTGGCATCTCAGTCCCAACCTGTGTCCTTCCCCGTAGCATCCCCTGAATCTGGGTCCTGCTAGACTCTCAGCCTGGCCCAGTCACCGCCCCCATGCTTCTCTTTGGCAAACCTGCCCAGGGGATGACAGTCTCCTCCGGTTTCTCCTGATATCCACTCTCTCCCATCCCCAGACCAGACCCCGGGGCCCTCCTGGGAATGCGGGGTGTTCGAGGCCCCTGAGACCTCTCCTGCCCCCTTGTGTCTTCATGGCCTCCAACCCCTTCCAGGCACTGTCCCCAAAATGCAGGTTCACTGGAGAGACATCAGGCGCCTGAAGATACTGGGGTGCTCCGGCTACCAACCTCCGATCTCATCCTTCGCCCCCACGTCCCAGCACCTCCCCCACTCCATCCCCACGCGCTCCCCCAATATTGGGGTCCCGCCCCCCCATTCTCCCCACCCCCAAGCTCACACTCCGCAGCTCTTGAGTCCGATCCTTCATCCTGCGACGGCTCCTCCTCCTCCTCCTAGTCCTCCTGCCTCTGCTGCTGCTCCGGGTCTCCCGCCTCTGTGCCGGAGGCCGGGGTCTGGGGGCGCCGGGGGGCGCCGCGGCCGCTGCGGGGGGCCTGCGGGCGGGGGCGGGGCCGGGGGCGACTGGCCGAGGGCCGGGCAGGGGCAGGGGCCTGGGCCGGGCTCGGCTCTGCCGGGCTGCGGTGGCGATGCGGCTGCGGCACAGGGTAGGATGGAGGGATGCGGGAGCCGAGCGCGGGGGAGGGGGGCGGAGGGAGGTGAGGAGGAAGCGAGGGCGGGGGGAGCGGGAGCGCGCAAGGAGCAGGGGGCATGCGCAGCACCCGGGCCGGGGGCGCCTGGGGGTTGTAGTCACGGGCTTGGGGGACACCCGAGGAGGGGGCGGGAGAGGCCTGGAGGCGGGTGGGGGTGGGCAGAGCCCGAGGAGCAGGGAGAGATGCGGAGAGCCAAGCGGAGATGCTAGGGTGGCCCGGGGGGTGGGGTGGCCCGGCGGAAAGAGGGGGTGACGGAATGAATTCAGGGAATAACCTGGGAGCCAGGATGTGGATCCCTTTCCAGGAGACACAGATCGCGGCTGTGTTTTGTGTCTGGTGTCTGCGTGAGGCTGCGCGCCGACCACCTCTGGGTGCGAGCCCATGTGTGTTCTTGCAGGAGGCTCTTTGGACACTATAAATAGAAAGACCGACCCTCTGTGTGGTTTTTACGATGCAGGGAACCAGCCAGGTGCTTGCTGAGAAGGACACGGGGCTTGTGTTGCACAGCCTGGGCCTCTCCCGCCGCGGTGGGTCTCGGAGCTCTGCTTGTCTGCCTCCAGGGACAGGGTGCTCACTACCTCCCAGGACCTCTTGGCCCATCTGCAGATGGCTCTGACTGTTGAACATGAAATTTGTCCTTAGTGGGAGGGGAAATCAGGTGCCCCTGAGGGTCTGAGTGACCTCCTGTTCTGATGCCCACCTCTCCTCTCCCCATCCTTACACCACACCAGCTCCTCCCACCCCCTGCAATGGGGCGCCGGTCCCCAATGGGACAGGTCTTGACTCTCAATCGATCCTCCTGCCTCAGCCTCCCAAAGTGCTGGGATTCCATGCCTGGGCCACCGCACCCGGCATTCTCTTGCCAGGTACCCAGTGACCTCCTTGGTGCCAAATCTGTGTCTGATAAACCCTCATCCCACACCGCCAGTCGGGCCTTACCATCCCTGACCTCTCAGCAGCATGTGACCCTGATGAGCCCCTCTTCCTGAAACCCTCCTGTCTGTGGTGCTCCGCCCACCTACCCCCCAACCTGATCTGTGAGTGTTGTCTCCCAGCCTCTTTCCAGGTCCTTACCTTTTTTCCCACAGCCCTTCAACCTCAGGGTTCCCTGGGCTCCGTCCATTCTCTCTTTTTTTTTTTTTTTGAGTTAGGGTCTCATTCTGTTGCCCAGGCTAGAGTACAGTGGTGCAATCTCGGCTCACTGCAGCCTCAACGTCCCAGGCTCAAGTGATCCTCCCACCTCAGCCTCCTGAGTAGCTGGGACTACAGGCACGCGCCACCACACCTGGCTAATTTTATTTTTTGTAGAGACAGGGTCTCACTATGTTGTCCAGGCTGGTTTTGAACTCCTAGGGTCAAGCGATCCTCCTGCCTCAGCCTCCCAAAGTGCTGAGATTACAGGCCTGGGCCACCATGCCTGGCATTCTCTTCCTTCTTTACCTGCATCTTTCTGCACCTCCGTGTCTGCAGTGCCCACATCTGTACCTGCGAGCCAGATCCTCCCCCTGTAAGACAGCCCCTACTATATGCCTAAGCTCTGAGCTGGGCACCAAGAAGACAGAGATTGAAGATGCCACCAGAGCCATGAGTAGATCCATGACTACAGTGGGCATGGCTAGCGCTGACGTGGGGACCTCAAGGAGGTGGCTGTCCCCAAAGTGTTCCTTCCTGTGTTCTCCCTCAGAGATGGCGTCATCTCCATCCACCCAGCCACTCAAAGCACAGAAAGCTGTCCTTGCCTCCCCGCCATTATAATGCCAGCACGTTCTGGGCATCCAACGTGTTGCATTCACTATGCTGGTAGCTCCCAGAAACCTCCCAACCTCACAGTAGCCACTGCTAAGATCCCAAGTGTATAGACAAGGACACTGAGGCTTTGCATGGTCACATAACATATCCAAGTTCACAAGGTTAATAAAGGGCAGGGCTGGGGTCTTGTTTGCTTTTTTTTTTTTTTTTCCAGAGACAGGGTCTCACTCTGTTCCCCAGGCTGGAGTGCAGTGGTGCAATCACACCTCACAGCAGCCTTGACCTCCTGGGCTCAAGCAATCCTCCCATCTCAGCCTCCTGAGTAGCTGGGACTACAGGTGTACACCACTGTGTCCAGCTAATTTTCTTTCTTTCTTTCTTTCTTTTTTTGAGAGAGAGTCTCGCTCTGTCACCCAGGCTGGAGTGCAATGGCGCGATCTTGGCTCACTGCAATCTCCGCCTCCTGGGTTCAAGTGATTCTCCTGCCTCAACCTCCCAAGTAGCTGTGATTACAGGTGCCTGCCACCATGCCTGGCTAATTTTTATATTTTTAGTAGAGACAGGGTTTCGCCATGTTGGCCAGGCTGGTCTGGAACTCCTGACCTCAAATGATCCACCCGCCTTGGCTTCCCAAAGTGCTGGGACTGCAGGTGTGAGCCACTGTGCCTGGCCCTAATTTAACTTTCTTTTTTTCTTTTTTTTGCAGAGACGAGATTGGTCCTAGCCTCCTGGGCTCTCACCTCGGCTTCCCAAGTGCTGGTATTATAGGCATAAGCCACTGTGTCTGACCTTGTTTGTATCTTTTGATTGCAAAGCCCATTCTTCTTTTCTTCTTTCTTCTTCTTCTTCTTCTTCTTCTTCTTCTTCTTCTTCTTCTTCTTCTTCTTCTTCTTCTTCCTCTTCCTCTTCCTCTTCCTCTTCCTCTTCTTTCTTCTTCTTCTTCTTCTTCTTCTTCTTCTTCTTCTTTTCTTCTTCTTCTTCCTCTTCCTCTTCTTCCTCTTCCTCTTCTTCCTCTTCCTCTTCTTCCTCTTCCTCTTCTTCTTCTTCCTTCTCTTTCTTCTTTCTTTTTTC
The DNA here is from genome assembly GCF_000001405.40 of Homo sapiens. Lineage (NCBI taxonomy): Eukaryota > Metazoa > Chordata > Mammalia > Primates > Hominidae > Homo > Homo sapiens. The sequence continues at coordinate 31,013,497 of NC_000016.10, forward strand.
CTTCTCCTTCTCCTTCTTCTTCTTCTTCTTTTTTAAGAGATGGGGTCTTACTCTGTTGCCCAGCCTGGACTCAAACTCCTGGGCTCAGTCTTCCTACCTCATCCTCCTGAGTGGCTGGGACTACAGGGGCACACCACTGCACCTGGCTCACAACCCATTCTTGTAAAAGCATGCTCTTATAGCTCCTCTCTCAACTGTGACACCCAGAGCCGTCTCTAGGCCCTCTCCTGTCCCCACCACCTCAGGTCAGTCTAGGCCCTCACTGTCTTTCACCTGGGCCGTCAGCACAGCCTTCTCTCTCTGGTCTTCCCACTTGAACAAAGCCCCTTTCCTTTACATATGTCTTCCTCCCCAGTCCTTAATGTGATTGCCCCCAAAACAAATGTGACCTGCCGGGCGCAGTGGCTCATGCCTGTAATCCTAGCACTTTGGGAGGCTGAGGCAGGTGGATCACCTGAGGTGGGGAGTTCGAGACCAGCCTGACCAACGTGGAGAAACCCTGTCTCTACTAAATATATGAAATTAGCCAGGCGTAGTGGCACATGCCTGTAATCCCAGGCACTAGGGAGGCTGAGGCAGGAGAATTGCTTGAACCTGGGAGGCGGAGGTTGCAGTAAGCCGAGATCATGCCATTACACTCCAGCCTGGGCAATAAGAGCGAAACTCCATCTCAAAAATACATAAATAAATACATAAAAATAAAAAATAAAAATATAAAAATTAGCCAGGTGTGGTAGCATGTGCCTGTAATCCCAGCTACTCTGGGGGCTGAGGCAACAAGTATGGTTGAACCTGGGAGGCGGAGGTTGGAGTGAGCCAAGATCGTGCCACTGCACTCCAGCCTGGGAGACAGAGCAAGACTCTGTCTCAAAAACAAACAAACAAAAAAATCAGAATGAATAAATGGCATATTCCTGCACCCGTTTTACCCAGGCATAAAGAACAAAGCAAACTGTGAAGGCAGGGAGTTTTGTCTGTTGTGTGTTCACTGCTGGTTCTCCAGTGGCTCCACGGCACCTGGCACATGGTAGGCGCTCAGTAATTATGTGTTATAGGAATGAATGAGTGAATGGCGCACCACTCAAATCTGTCTGCAGCTCTAAAGATGGACACAGGCACACACATATGGCAATTCCTCTCACTGATCAGTGATTTCAAGCTCATTACATTCATGACCACTTATGGGCTACCCAAAGTGAGTCATCTGAATCATGAAGGAACTTCCTATGCAGTCTCCTACCCAGTGCCCCCCACCCTTTTTTTTTTTTTTTTTTTTTTGAGATGGCGCCTTGCTCTGTCACCCAGGCTGGAGTGCAGTGGCACAATCTCCACTCACTGCAACCTCCACCTCCCAGGTTCAAGCGATCCTCCCACTTCAGCCTCCCAAGTAGCTGGGACCACAGGCATGTGCCATCTCACCCATCTAATTTTTTTGTATTTTTTGTAGAGACAGGGTTTCACCATGTTGCCCACGCTGGTCTTGAACTCCTGACCTCAAGCAATCCACCTGCCTTGGCCTCCCAAAAGTGCTGGGATTACAGGTGTGAGCCACTGTGCCTGGCCAAATTTTTAAAGCATTGATATAACCAGGCCAGCCCCTGATCAGAAAATTTCCCTGGTTTCCCATTGCTTATGGGGTAAAGCCCCAATTTCCTAACCTGGCTTTCCACTTTAGGGCATGCCACCTATTCCCACGCACCTTCTACTCCTATCCCGTTATTCCCTGCATTTTTATATCTCCATGCCTTTCCTCGTGTCATTCTTGTCCCCTGGAACTCCCTTCCCTCTAACATCCCCAAGCCCACCTCCTGCTCTTCTATCAAAGTTCAACTACGGTGTCTTTCTTGGCCCTCCTGACGCTAGAGGGAAAGCATAGCCAAATCCAGGCTCAGCTGCTCACTGCCCAAATGCTAAACACGAGACGAGAGTTGGGGGCTGAGCACGGTGGCTCATGCCTGTAATCCCAGCACTTTAGGAAGCCAGGATGGGTGGATCACCTGAGGTCAGGAGTTCAAGACCAGCCTGGCCAACATGGCGAAACCGTCTCTACTAAAAATACAAAAATTAGATGGGCATGGTGGCTCACGTCTGTAATTCCAGCTACTCGGGGGTGCTGAGGCAAGAGAATCGCTTGAATCCGGGAGGTGGAGGTTGCAGTGAGCCGAGATCATGCCACTGCACTCCAGACTGGGCGACAGAATGAGACTCTGTCTCAAAAAAAAAAAAAAAAAAAAGAGTTGGTAGGAGGAAAGCAGGTTTATTCGGAGAGCCAGCAAACCGAGGAGATGGCAGACTAATGTCTGAAAGTCTCATCTCAAAATTTTCAGGCTGGCTGGGTTTTTTTGAGACAAGCTCTCACTCTGTTATCCAGGCTGGAGTACAGTGGCACAGTTATAGTTCACTGCAGCCTTGATCTCCCAGGCTCAAGCGATCCTCCCATGTCAGCCTCTGAAATAGCTGGAACTACAGGCACGTGCCACCAACCTGGCTCACTTTTTGATTTTTTTTGTAGAGATGGGGTCTTGCTATGTTCCCTAGGCTGGCCTGAAACTCCTGAGCTCAAGTGATGCCCCTACAACCAGCAGCCCCCCACTTCGGCCTCTCAAAGTGCTGGATTACAGGCATGAACCACCGCGCCCAGCCGGTGGGGGTTGGTTATGAGAGGGGGTGGTTATGAGAGGGGATATATGGAAGCTATGCACAGGTTGACTCGAGGTGGGTCAGTGTGTCTGGTCTCATTGACAGTCTTGAGCAGTGGGCCATCTGGTGGTCTGGCTGGCACTGGTTCGGGTGCAACAGGAATACAGGAGGCACTCAGCATTCTTCCCAGGGCTGGACATGCTGCAACCTTGATTCCCTGCTTAGTTTTTCAAGGCCACTTCCTGGAGTTCTTTATGCCAAGCACTAGTTAACCATTATTAAAAACCCAGCATAAAAGGAAAGGAGGGGAAAAATAAAAGCAAAAAAGAATAACTGATTTTCAAGATGGGGTGGTAGTTTCTGTCTCAAAAGCCTATTTTTTTTTTTTTCAAGACAGCGTCTCACTCCATCACCCAGGCTGGAGTGCAGTGGCGCCATCTTGGTTCACTGCAACTCCACCTCCTGGGTTCAAGTGATTCTCTTGCCTCAGCCTCCCCAGTAGCTGGGATTACAGGCACGCACCACCACGCCTGGCTAATTTTTTTTTTCTTTTTTTTGAGATGGAGTCTGGCTCTGTCGCCCAGGCTGGAGTGCAGTGGCACGATCTTGGCTGACTGCAACCTCTGCCTCCCAGGTTCAAGCGATTCTCCTGCCTCAGCCTCCTGAGTAGCTGGGATTACAGGAACGCACCACCATGCCTGGCTAATTTTTATTATTTATTTTATCTTATTTTATTTATTTTATTTTATTTTATTTTATTTTTTGAGACAGAGTTTCGCTCCTGTTGCCCAGGCTGGAGTGCAATGTCGCAATCTCGGCTCACTGCAATCTCCGCCTCCTGGGTTCAAGCGATTCTCTTGCCTCAGCCTCCCCAATAGCTGGGATTATTACAGGCATGCGCCACCATGCCTGGCTAATTTTTTTTTTTTTTTTTTTTGAGACGGAGTCTTGCTCTGTCGCCCAGGCTGGAGTGCAGTGGCGCGATCTTGGCTCACTGCAAGCTCCGCCTCCCGGGTTCACGCCATTCTCCTGCCTCAGCCTCCTGAGTAGCTGGGACTACAGGCGCCCGTCACCGCGCCCGGCTAATTTTTTTTGTATTTTTAGTAGAGACGGGGTTTCACCGTGGTCTCGAGCTCCTGACCTCGTGATCCACCCGCCTCGGCCTCCCAAAGTGCTAATTTTTTTTTCTTTTTTTTTTTTGAGATGGAGTCTGGCTCTGTCACCCAGGCTGGAGTGCAGTGGCGTGATCTTGGCTGACTGCAACCTCTGGTTCCCAGGTTCAAGTGATTCTCCTGCCTCAGCCTCCTGAGTAGCTGGTATTACAGGCATGCACCACCATGCCTGGCTAATTTTTATTATTTATTTTATTTTATTTTATTTTTTGAGATGGAGTTTCGCTCTTGTTGCCCAGGCTGGAGTGCAGTGGCGCGATCTCGGTTCACTGCAACCTCCGCCTCCCGGGTTCAAGCAATTCTCCTGCCTCAGCCTCCCGAGTAGTTGGGATTATAGGCATGTGCCACCACACCCGGCTAATTTTGTATTTTTAGTAGAGACGGGGTTTCTCTGTGTTGGTCAGGCTGGTCTCCAACTCCCGACCTCAGGTGATCTGCTCGCCTCAGCCTCCCAAATTGTTGGGATTACAGGTGTAAGCCACCGCGCTCAGCCAATTTTTGTATTTTTAGTAGAAACAGGGTTTTACCATGTTGGCCAGGCTGATCTCGAACTCCGGGAGGCTGAGGTGGGAGGATCACTTGAGCCCGGGAGGCGGAGATTGCAGTGAGCCAAGATCACATCACTGCACTCCAGCCTGGGTGACAGAGCAAGACTCTATCTCAAGAAAACACACACACAAAAATATGAATGCAGCTGGGGTGGAGCACAAACATTGAACCCCTAACAGAATACCATGATCAAACTTTCATTTTGCAAAGATCCTGCTGGTGGCCGTGTGCGGGACCACCACAGATGGCTGTGCCAGAGTGCACTACGTGAAGCAGTACGCCCCAGAAGCACTGCTCACATCCCAGACATCATGTATTTGAATATTTATTATAACAATTATCTGACAGGTGGAGGTACAGTGTCATGAGGAAAGAATGCCTTTAACTAATTTCCACCAAGGTGCAGTCAAGTTGGCAGTAGCTCTGGCTCTGTGAAGGTTGATGGGGAGATCAGTTAGGAATCACCCAGGCCAAAAATAATGAGGCCTGCACCGAGGCCTAAAGGTGGGGATGGAACATCCATTACACAGGTGTGTCATGGGGGGAAATTTGTCAGACACGATTGCAGATTGGAACAGGTGATGAAGGAGGGAGGAGGGTCCTAGATCACTCCTGGGTCTCTTGCTGTTACTGTATGTGGAGTAAGTTTGATGGAATAAGAGAAAGATCTTGGCTGGGCGTGGTGGCTCATGCCTGTAATCCCAGCACTTTGGGAGGCCGAGGTGGGCAGATCACATGGTCAGGAGTTCGAGACCAACCTGTTCAGCATGGTGTAATCCCGTCTCTACTAAAAATACAAAAATTAGCCAGGCATGATGGTGCGAACCTGTAATCTTAGCTACTCAGGAGGCCGAGGCAGGAGAATCACTTGAACCCGGAGGCAGAGGTTGCAGTGAGCTGAGATTATGCCACTGCACTCCAGCCTGGGCAACAAGCGAGACTCCATCTCAAAAAAAAAAAGTGAAAGATCTTGAAATACATTGCCTTTATAAATCTTACCAGCAAACTACTAGGAAATGTAAAAATGCCATTTATAGAAATCTATAGTACCTGGCAGGGTGCAGTGGCTCACACCTGTAATCCCAGAACTTTGGGAGGCTGAGTTAGGAGGATCACTTGAGGCCAGAATTTCAAGACAAGCCTGGGGAACATAGCAAGACCCTGTCTCTAAGGAAAAAATTTAATTAGTTAAAAAAAAATCGCTGGGCACGGTGGCTCACACCTATAATCCCAGGACTTTGGGAGGCCAAGGCGGGCGGATCACCAGGTCAGGAGATCGAGACCATCCTGGCTAACACAGTGAAACTCCATCTCTACTAAAAATATAAAAAATGACCTGGGTGTGGTGGCACATGCCTGTAGTCCCAGCTACTCGGGAGGCTGAAGCAGGAGAATTGTTTGAACCCAGGAGTCGGAGGTTGCAGTGAGCCGAGATCATGACACTGCCGTCCAGCCTGGGCGATAGAGCAAGACCCCATCTCAAAACAAAACAAAACAAAACAAAAAACTATAGCGTTTAAGAATAAATCTTTAAAACATATGTTAATGTCCTTTATGAGAGAAAAGAATTAAATTTTATTGAAAGACTTTAGAGAAGTCCTTTTTTGAAACAGGATCTCACTTTGTCGCCCAGGCTGGAGTTCAGTGGCACAATCAGGACTCTCTGCTCTGCAGCCTTGCGCTCGCGGGCTCAAGTGATCCTCCCACCTCAGCCCCCTGAGTAGCTGAGACTACAGGAACATGCCACCATGCCGAGTAATTTTAAAATTTTTTGTAGAGACATTATGCTGCCCAAGCTGGTCTCAAACTCCTGGCCTCAAGCAATTCTCCCGCCTTGGCCTCCCAAGGCACTAGAATTACAGATGTGAGCCACTGCACCCTGCCCAGATGAACACTTGCTTTGCTCACCACTGTGTCTCTATGTAGCATCAGAGCATCGTCCTGGTACAAAGAGTGGGGCCTGAATAAAGATTTACTGGTTAATGGATGGATAGGTCAAATGGGTATTCATTCTTTTGTTCCTGAGCACAACAGGTGTAATAGGTCCTGTGCCAGGTGGCACGGGGAGGCAGAGATTAGTCAAATGGGGGCCAGGTGCGGTGGCTCACACCTATAATCCCAGCACTTTGGGAGGCCGAGGCGGGCAGATCACCTGAGTGCTTCTCAAGTGGCTGGGATTGCAGGCACACACTACCATACCCAGCTAATTTTTTTGTGTATTTTTAGTAGAGATGGGGTTTCATCACGTTGGCCAGGCTGGTCTTGAACTCCTGACCTCAAGTGATCCACCCGCCTCAGCCTTCCAAAGTGCTGGAATTACAGGCATGAGCCACTGTGCCCAGCCTCATATGCTGAATCTCTAATCTCCAATGTGATGGGAGTAGGAGGTGAGGCCTTTGAAAGGTAACTAGGTTTAGATGAGATCCCAAGGGTGGAGGATCATGAGGATGATGGGACTCGTGCCATTATTTAAAAAGGAAGAAGGCCAGGCATGGTGGCTCATGCCTGTAATCACAGGAATTTGGGAGGCCAAGGCGGGTGGATCACTTGAGCTCAGAAGTTCAAGAACAGGCTGGGCAACATGGCAAAACCCTTCTCTACCAAAAATACAAGAAAACTAGCTGGGCATGGTGCATGCACCTGTAGTACCAGCTACTTAGGAGGCTGAGGTGGGAGGATTGCTTGAACCCCGGAGGTTGCAGTGAGCCGAGATTGTGCCATTGCACTCCAGCCTGGGCTTTTTTTGAGACCCCCATCTCAAAAAAAAAAAAAAAAGGAAGAGACACCAGACACCAGAGCTTTCTCTCTCTCTGCCATGTAATAATACAAGAAGGTGGCTGTCTGCAAACTAGGAAGTGAGCCCTCACTGTGAACAGAATCTGCTCGCAGAATCTTGGACTTTCCAGCCTTTGGAACTGTGAGAAATAAATGTCAGTTGGTTAAGCCACCCCATCTATGGTATTTTGTTAAAGCAGCCCAAACTAACTAAGACATAGTTAAAATTGGTTTAAAATTACTCAAAGGTACCATTCTTTGATATATTACCTTTTAACATTCTTTCTTTTTTCTTTTCTTTTCTTTCTTTTTTTTTTTTTGGAGAAGGAGTCTCGCTCTGTTGCCCAGGCTGGAGTGCAGTGGTGTGATCTCAGCTCACCACAACCTCTGCCTCCTGGCTTCAAGCAATTCTCCTGCCTCAGCCTCCTGAGTAGCTGGGATTACAAGCGCCCGCCACACGCCCAGCTAATTTTTCCATTTTTTTAGTAGAGATGGGGTTTCCCTATGTTGGTTAGGCTGGTCTCGAACTCCTGACCTTGTGATCTGCCCACCTCGGCCTCCCAAAGTGCTGGAATTACAGGCATGAGCCTCCACGCCCGACCAACATTCTTTCTTTACCATTATTTATTTAATATATTTTTTCAAATAGGTAGTACTTTCACATAGTACAAAAATCTAAATATTACCAAAAGGGTTCAGTGAAATTCTTACTCTAACAGCTCTACTAGCCACTTTGTTCCCATGAACCACACCTACGGAACCACTTTTATTAGTTTCTTATAAACCTTCCAGAATTTCTTTATGCAGATGTTACCAGAAAGGGGTCTGGATCCAGACCTCAAGAGGGGGTTCTTGGACCTTCCTCAAGAAAGAATTCAGGGTGAGTTGATAGAGTAAAGTGAAAGCAAGTTTATTAGAAAAGTAAAGGATTAAAGAATGGCTACTCCATAGACAGAGTAGCCCCAAGGGCTGCTGGTTGCCCATTTTTATGGTTATTATTATTATTTTTTTTATTTTTTGAGACGGAGTTTCACTCTTGTCGCCCAGGCTGGAGTGCAGTGGCACAATCTCGGCTCACTGCAACCTCTGCCTCCCGGGTTCAAGCGATTCTCCTGCCTCAGCCTCCCAAGTAGCTGGGATTACAGGCGCCTGCCACCATGCCCAGCTAATTTTTGTATTTTTCGTAGAGACGGGGTTTCACCATTGGCCAGGCTGGTCTCGAACTCCTGACCTCAGGTGATCTGCCCGCCTCGGCCTACCAAAGTGCTGGGATTACAGGCACGAGCCACTGTGCTGGGCTGGTTATTTTTTGATTATATGCTAAACAAGGGGTGGATTATTCATGCCTCCTCTTTTTAGACCATATAGGGTAACTTCCTGACATTGCCATGGCATTTGTAAACTGTCATGACCTTGGTGGGAGTGCTGCAGTGAGGACGCCCAGAGGTCACTCTCATTGCCATCTCAGTTTTGGTGGGTTTTAGCTGGCTTCTTTACTGCAAACTGCTTTATCAACAAGGTCTTTATGACCTATATCTTGTGCTGATCACCTATCTTATCCTGTGACTTAGAACACCTTAACTGTCTGGGATGCAGCCCAGTAGGTCTCAGCCTCATTTTACCCAGTTCCTATTCAAGATGGAGTTGCTCTGGTTCAAATGCCTCTGACATAGATACAAGCACACACACAAACACACACACACAATTTTTTTCTTACATAACAGTAAGCATGATACACTTATTCTACACTTTGATATTCAATGAACAAATATTTCATATCTATGCAAAATGAAGTTTCTAATTCTTTTTGACAGCTCTGTACCTGCTGATGGACAAGTTATGATTATTGCAAATACTGGGTGAATTACATTGGATGGGTCATTTCATACATGCGCAGACGTGTTGAATTAAAATTCTATTTCCCCAACCTTTGAAGTTGGTGTGGACTTGAGACTTGCTTTGGCTAACAGAATGTGGTAGAAGTCATGTGCAAATTCTGAGCAAGGCCTCAAGATTTTGTTACTGTTTCCACTTTCACTTTCCTGGAAGTCTAAGGCCATTACGCTAAGAAGAAACCCAGGATGAAATGTAACATGCTGGGAGTGGCTCAACTGTTCCTGCCAACCTAGTCATCAGAGCTAGGATAGCAGACAACAGGTGAGTGAGTCCATCTTGGGCCATCCAGCCCCAGCCGCGGTGCCAGCTGACTGCAGTCACTTATATAATACAAGCCACCCAGCTCCTCTCAGAATCTGGAGAAACAATACATTGTTGTTTATCTCGGTAAGAAAACTCAAGGTTTGGGAGTGGTTTTTTACCCAAGAGTAGCTAACTGATAAAACAGAAATCTCTTTCAGATAGATTTTCAGAAGTAAGATGACTGGTTCAAAGTGTAAATGCTTGCTGGGCGCGGTGGCTCATGCCTGTAATCCCGCACTTTGGGAGGTCGAGGCGGGCAGATCACCTGAGGTAAAGAGTTCAAGGCCAGCCTGACCAACATGGAGAAACCCCGTCTCTACTAAAAATCCAAAATTAGCCAGGCGTGGTGGCTCATGGCTGTAATCCCAGCTACTCAGGAAGCTGAGGCAGGAGAATCACTTGACCCCGGGAGGCAGAGGTTGCGGTGAGCTGAGACTGCACCATTGCACTCCACCCTGGGCAACAAGAGTGAAATTCTGTTTCCAAAAAAAAAAAAAACAAAAAACAAAGTATAAATGCAGCTGGGTGAAGTGGCCCATGCCTGTCATCCCAGCACTTTAGGAGGCTGAGGCAAGGGGATTGCTTGAGTTTGAGACCAGCCTGGACAACATAGCGAGACCCTGTCTCTACAAATAACTTTTAAAATTAGCTGGGTGTGGTGGTGTGTGCTTGTGGTCCCAGCTACTTAGGAGGTTGAGGCAAGAGGATCACCTAAGCCCAGGAGATCAAGGTTGCAGTGAGCTGCGATTGTACCACTGTACTCCCGCCTGTGTTAAAGAGACCCTGCTCAAAACAACAACAATAAAACAAAATGTAAATACATTTGTAATTTTGATAAACATTTTCTGGCTTGTATCATTTTCCATTCCCACCAACAATGGGTGAAAGGACCCATCTCCCCACAATCTTGCCAAAAGAGTGTTTTGCCAAACTTACATCTGTATATGTGTCTAAGGCCTTATTGTTTTTGTGAACTGTCATGTTCTTTGCCCATTTTTTGTTGAACTACCGGTCTTTCTTATCAATATATGAGAGCTCTTTAAACAGTAGGGAGATTAGACCGTTGTATGCAATAATAGCTGCAAATATTTTTCCCAGTTTTTTTTTTTTTCCTGAGACAGGGGGTCTTGCTCTGTTGCCCAGGCTGGAGTGCAGTGGCATGATCTCAGCTCCCTACAGCCTCTGCCTCCCCAGTTCAAGCGATTCTTGTGCCTCAGCATCCCGAGTAGCTGGGGTTACAGGTGTTCACTACCACACCCAGCTAGTTTTTGTATTTTTAGTACAGATGGAGTTTCAACATGTTGCTCAGGCTGGTCTCCAACTCCTGGCCTCAAGTGATCTTCCCACCTCGACCTCTCAAAGTGCTGGGACTACATGCATGAGCCACTGCGCCCCAACAGTTGTCTTTTGATTTTACTTATGATGTTTTTTGCCATGCAGAATTGTTGTATGTAGACAAAGGTATTAATCTCTTCTTTTACAGTTTCTGTATTCTGAGTTGGAGTTGGAAGGGCCTTCCTCACTCCAGAAGTTATAAAAGATTTTGACCATATTTTCTTCTAGCATTTTATTTAATTTTTTTTTTTTTTTTTTTTTTTGAGACAGAGTCTCGCTCTGTCACCTAGGCTGGGGTACAGTGGTGCAATCTTGGCTCACTGCAACCTCCATCTCCTGGGTTCAAGCGATTCTCCTGCGTCAGTCTCCTGAGTAGCTGGGACTACAGGGGTGTGCCACCATGCCCGGCTAATTTTTGTGTCAGTGCACTCCACTTAGTAGAGGAGTACTACTCCTTTTAGTAGAGGCGGGGTTTCACTATGTTGGCCAAGCCGGTCTCGAACTTCTGACCTCAAATGATCCACCCACCTCGGCCTCCCAAAGTGTTGGGATTACAGGCATAAGCCGCCGTGCCCAGCCTCTTCTACCATTTTAATATAGTTTATCCAAACAAATTGTATGATCCATCACCTTTACAATAAAGTTCAGGGCAGGCCGGGTGCGGTGGCTGATGCCTGTAATTCCAGCACTTTGGGAGGCCAAGGTGGGCAGATCATCTGAGGCCAGGAGTTTGAGACCAGCCTTGGCAACGTAGTGGAACACTGTCTCTATTAAAAATACAAAAATTAGCCAGGAGTGGTGGGGTGTGCCTGTGCCTGTGTTCCCAGCTACTCGGGAGGCTGAGGCAGGAGAATTTCTTGAACCTGGAAGGCAGAAGTTGCAGTGAGGCAAGATTGCACCATTGCACTCCAGCCTGGGCAACAAGAGTGAAACTCCATCTCAACAACAACAACAACAACAAAAAGGAATAGGGCCGGGTGCGGTGGCTCATGCCTGTAATCCCAGCAGTGTGGGAGGCCAAGGTGGGCAGATCACCTGAGGTAGGGAGTTCGAGACCAGCCTGACCAACATGGAGAAACCCCGTCTCTACTAAAAAATACAAAATTAGCCAGGTGTGGTGGCGCATGCCTGTAATCCCAGCTACTCGGGAGGCTGAGGCAGGAGAATTGCTTGAACCCGGGAGGTGGAGGCTGCAGTGAGCCGAGATCGAGCCACTGCACTCCAGCCTGGGCAACAACAGCAAAACTCTGTCTCAAAGAAAAAAAAAAGGAATAAAGTTCAGGGCCAAAATTATGACATGAGTGACCCAATTGTAAAATTATGACAGTGTCATCCACGTGGATGGGAAACAGGAGGAAGAGTGGCTGGCTCAGGAGGTTCTCAGTGGGAGGCAATGCTTCCTGTTTGGGACACTTTCAGCTTAAAATGTCTGTGGGACCTCCAGGAGGCAAGTGGATTCAAGGGTCTGGAGTTAGGAGAAATTTGGGGCTGGAGATAGGGACTTGCAGGCCAGCATACGGTTATTCAAAGCCACAAGAGTATGTAAATAGTTTGAGGAAGAGAGGGTCTCAGATGAAACTCTAGGGAGTGGTCAAGTTTAAGCCCAAAACATGCCCATGGGGAGAGAGCTATGGGGGTGTATCGTCTCCATGGCCCTTAGGGCTTGGCACAGAAATAGCCTCAGAGATGTCTGTAGGGTTAACTGCAGCCCTTACTTGAGTCCTGTGTGGATATCTTTGGCTGCTTGGGACACAGCTCACAGGGAGAAGGGGAGGAACAATAACCTCGCTGGCAATCAGCCCTAACCCAGCGGTGTGGCAGAGACCTGAGACGGGGGCCGGGGGAGGCTCAGTGGGTATAAGTCATCTGCCCCTCCTCCCCCAGACAGTCCAAAGCAGGATATCAATAGGTGGCAGCAAGTCCCCAAGGGTAGGTGGAACACGGCCACCCGAACTGGTATTTCCCTGGGATCACAGTGCAGTGGTTAGGAGTACAAACAGTATGGGCCGGGAGCGGTGGCTCACGCCTGTAATCCCAGCACTTTGGGAAGCCCAGGTGGGAGGACTGCTTGAGACCAGGAGTTTGAAACCAGCCTGGACAACATAATGAGACCCCATTTGTACAAAAAAATAAAATAAAATAATTAGCCAGACATAGTGGCACTCGTCTACGGTCCCAGTTACTCTCAGTAAGCCGAGGTGAGAGGATCCCTTGAGCCCACGAATTCAAGTCTTCAGTGAGGCATGATCGCACCACTGAACTCCAGGCTGGGTGACAAAGCAAGACCCTGTCTCAACATCAATAACAACGAAAAAATACAAACTGTGGAGCTCCAGCATCTGGGTTAAAATTCCGGCTGTATCCTTTACTGGCTGTGTAACCTCAGGCAAGTTCCTCAATTTCTCTGTGCCTCCACTCCTTCCTTTATAAAATGAGAACAGTAATAGTACCTCCCTCATAAAACTGTTATGAGATTAAATGAGTTAATAAAGTGCTTATGTTAGTGTCTGGCACATAAAGTGCTTTATAAATATTGAATAAGAAATAATTTCATTCATTTGTGAGTATTTGTCAAGTGGCTACTGTGTACCAGGCACTGTTGTAGGTGCTGGGGGCACAACTGGGGGTAAGGCAGGCGAAAACCCTTGTCCTGTGGAGCTTACATTCTAGTTGACGGGGGAGCAGTGATAACAGACAATACGTAAAATTTTTTTTTTTTTTGAGATGGAGTCTCGGTTCTGTTGCCCAGGCAGGAGAGCAATGGCACGATCTCGGCTCACTGCAACCTCCACCTCCTGGGTTCAAGTGATTCGCCTGCCTCAGACTCCAGAGTAGCTGGGATTACAGGTGCACACCACCACATCTGGCTAATTTTTTATATTTTAGTAGAGACGGGGTTGCACTGTATTGCCCAGGCTGGTCTCAAACTCCTGAGCTCAGGCAATCCACTCGCCTTGGCCTCCCAAAGTGCTAAAATTATAGGTGTGAGCCACCACGCCCGGCCAATTTTTTTTTTTTTTTTTTTTTTTTTTTTTTTTGAGACAGAGTCTTGCACAGTCGCCCAGGCTGGAGTGCAGTGGCGTGATCTCGGCTCACTGCAAGCTCCACCTCCCAGGTTCACACCATTCTCCTGCCTCAGCCTCCTGAGCAGCTGAGACTACAGACACCCGCCACCACGCCCAGCTAATGTTTTTGTATTTTTAGTAGAGACGGGGTTTCACCGTGTTAGCCAGGATGGTCTCGATCTCCTGACCTCGTGATCCACCCGCCTCGGCCTCCCAAAGTGCTGGGATTACAGGTGTGAGCCACCGTGCCCGGCCTATTTTTATATTTAGCATAGACGGGGTTTCACCATGTTGGCCAGGTTGGTCTCGAACTCCTGATGTCAGGTGATCTGCCCGCCTCAGCCTCCCAAAATGCTTGGATTACAGAAGTAAGCCACCATGCCTGGCCTTTATTTTTTATTAAAAAAATTTTTTCTGAGACAGGGCCCTACTCTGTCACCCAGGATGGAGTGCACTGGCACAATCATAGCTCACTGCAGCCTTTAACTACTGGCCTCAAGCAATCCTTCTGTCCCAGCTTCCCAAGTAGCTGGGACTACAGGTGCGTGCCACCATACCCAGCTAATATTTTATTTATTTAAATTATTTATTTATTTATTTTTTGAGACAGAGTCTCACTCTGTCTCCCAGGCTGGAGTGCAGTGGCGTGATCTTGGCTCATTGCAACCTCTGCCTTCCAGGTTGAAGTGATTCTCTTGCCTCAGCCTCCCCAGTAGCTGGGATTACAGGCATGCACCACCACACCCGGCTAATTTTTGTATTTTTAGTAGAGACAGCGTTTCTCCATGTTGGCCAGGCTGGTCTCAAACTCCTGACCTCAGGTGATCCACCCACCTCAGCCTCCCAAAGTGCTGGGATTACAGGTGTGAGCCACCGCACCCGGCCTTATTTTTTATTTTGTAGAGATGGGGTCTCACTATGTCGTCCAGACTAGTCTCAAACTCCTGAGCTCAAGCAATCCTCCTGCCTCAGCCTCCCAAAGTGCTGAGATTACAGGCATGAGCCACCATGCCTAGCTCAATATGTAAATAAATTAGCAAAATATATGGTATGTCAGCTCCAAGTGGAGACACAAGAGATGGGTGTGAGCTGGCAAGGCTGATAGCCCTGGCCCTGGTGCACAGTGGGACCCAGAAGACGGAGAGCAGAAGGAAGTCCCCAGATAGGCAGCAACATGGACCCTCTAGCAGAGACATTAGAGCTGCTAAAAGATTCAGAGTAACAATCATCGCCGTCATACAACAGCAGGAAGCACTGACATACTGACATTCCACACCAGGTGCTGTTCTGTTTGCTTTACAAATATCACTTCATCTTTACAGCAGTCCTATGAATATGGTGCTATTATTATTTGGATTTTTCTGTTTCTTTTTTTTGAGATGGAGTTTCGCTCTTGTTGCCCCCAGCGTACAATGGCGCAGTCTTGGCTCACTGCAACTTCCGCCTCCCAGGTTCAGGCGATTCTCCTGACTCAGCCTCTCAAGTAGCTGGGATTACAGGCATGTGCCACCACGCCCGGCTAATTTTGTATTTTTAGGAGAGACGGGGTTTCTCCATGTTGGTCAGGCTGGTCTCGAACCCCGGACTTCAGGTGATCTGCCAGCCTTGGTGAGGGCCGGGAACGGTGGCTCATGCCTATAATCCCAGCATTCTGGGAGGCCAAGGCGGGTGGATCACCTGAGGTCGGGAGTTTGAGACCAGCCTGACCAACATGGAGAAGCCCCATTTCTACTAAAAATATAAAATTAGCCGGCTTGGTGGTGGGCACCTGTAATCCCAGCTACTCGGGAAGCTGAGGCAGGAGAATCACCTGAACCCAGGATGTGGAGGCTGCGGTGAGCCAAAATCACACCACTGCATTCTAGCCTGGTGACCTGGAGAGACTCTGTCTCAAAAAACAACAACAACCAAAAAAACAAAAACAAAAACAAAAACAAAAAAAAATGAGAACTGAGGTATAGAAAGGTTATATAACTTGCCTCCTAGAGTTATTACAGTGGGTGAATGGGCTGGGATTCCAACCCAGGTCATCTGGCTCCCATGTGGATAGGTCTGGACCCACAGGTAGAGGGGACAAGACAAATTGCCAAGCCTCAGGACTGGGTAGAGCAAGACAGGATCAACAACCTCTCCAGTAGTTGGCTCCAACCTAGCAGGTGTGGGAGAGGACCTGTGACAGGGGCGGGAGAAGGCTTAGTGGGGCCGGCAGTCCACCCACTCCTCCCCCAAGACAGTCCAAAGCAATAGGTGACAGCAAGCCCCCAAGGGTGGGTGGAACACGGGAAGCCACCCCAGCTGGTATTTTCCTTGGATCATAGTGTAGAAGTTAAGAAACACACCCCACCCCCCAACAGCTGCACAGTCTGGAGCGAATATACACGCCCACCACCCACACACCCAAGACCCAATACACTTTTTTAAACTTTATTTTTACTTCTATTTATTTATTTTTAATTATTTTTTAAAAATCTAATTAGAGATGAGGTCTTAGGCTGGGCACAGTGGCTCATGCCTGTAACCCCAGCACTTCGGGAGGCCGAGGCAGGCAGATCACGAGGCGGGAGGATCACGAGGTCAGGAGTTCGAGACCAGCCTGGCCAATATGGTGAAACCCCATCTCTGCTAAAAATACAAAAATGAGCTGGGCGCGGTGGTGTGCACCTGTAATCTCAGCTACTTGGGAGGCTGAGGCAGAATTGTTTGAACTCAGGAGGCGGATGCTGCAGTGAGCTGAGATCGTGCCACTGCACTCCAGTCTGGGAGACAGAGCGAGACTACGTCTCAAAACAAACAAACAAACAAACAACAACAACAAAAACAGAGATAAGGTCTTGGCATGTTGCCCAGGCTGGTCTCAAGTCCTGGGCTCAAAGGATTCTCCTGCCTCAGCCTCCCAAAGTGCTAGGATTACAGGCGTGAACCACTGCACCCACCCTACTTTTTTTTTTTTTTTTTTTTATACAGGATCTCACTCTGTCACCCGGGCTGGAGTGCAGTGGCAAGATCACTGCTGACTGTACCCTTGACCTCAGGGACTCAAGTGATCCTCCTGCCTCAGCCTCCTGAGTAGCTGGGACTACAGGAGAGCGCCAGCACACCTGGGTAATTAAGATTTTTTTTGTAGAGACAGACGCTATGTTGCCCAGGCTGCTCTCGAACTCCTGGCTTCAAGTGATACACCCTTGGCCTCCTAAAGTGCTGGGATCACAGGCATGAGCCACTGCACCTAGCCTAATATAGTTAATATCCCCGTCAAGGCTGCTCAGAGGGCCTGAGAGGAACAAAGGGCTCAGCTCTGGAGAGCTCCACCCCCAGCGCCAATCTCTCTAAATGGCCTCTTTCCTCTCCATATTCCACCACAAGGCTTGGAGTCCAGCTTCCTGTGACCTTAAGTCACCATTCCAAAGCCCTGCGATCTCACCCAGAGACCACAAGTGAAATAATATTATAATCCTGAGAAGTTTAGTGGACCAAGATGGCATGCCATCAAGACGCTGAGAAACAAAGAGGAAGATGGGACCAGGGGGCCCAGAAGACGCTGGAACCCACAGTATTAAAAGCTCAGAGAGGCTGGGCACAGTGGCTCACACCTGTAATCCCAGCACTTTGGGAGGCCAAGGTGGGTGGATCACTTGAGCCCAGGGGTTTGAGAACAGCCTGGGCAACATGGCGAAACCCAGTCTCTACCAAAAAATATACAAAAATTAGCCAGGCATGGTGGTGCGTGCCTTAGTACCAGCTACTTGGGAGGCTGAGGCAGGAGGATTGACTGAACCTGAGAGCACACCACTGCACTCCAGCCTGGATGACAGAACCAGACCTGACCTCAAAGAGAAGAAAAAAAAAAAAAAAAAAAAGCCCAGAGGGGAGGGTACCCTCAACAGTTTTCCAGCCCCTTCCACATCCTTCCTAACCTCACTTGATAGTGTTCAAGTCCTACCTTAGGCAAGGCAGAAATTATAGGACCAAGCCGCCAAATGGGGAAATTGAGTCCCAGAGAGAAGTAATGCATTATTTAAGATCCCATGCAGGACTATGAGTCAGGGGTCCAAGAGCCCTTCCACCGTGTGCCACTCAGAGACACAGAGTAGGAGGGGGAAGGGGGTCGGGTGGCAGGGGACAAAAGATGCAGGAGGCAAGCAGCAGTGACTGAAGAGGCAGAGGCTGACATGAAAGACCCAGGAGCAGAGAATCTTTCCTTATCATCTCCAGGGGACACCACTGGGCAGGGCTTGGCCTCCGGAAAAACCCTGCATTCCCTCTGTGGGTTCATCAGGGCACCACTCTCCTACTAGCTGGGTTTTTTTTTTTTGTTTTGTTTTGTTTTTGAGACAGAGTCTTACTCTGTCACCTAGGCTGGAGTGCAATGGCGTGATCTCAGCTCACTGTAACCTCCACCTCCCATGTTCAAGCAATCCTCCTGTCTCAGCCTCCCAAGTAGCTGGGATTACAGGCACCTGCCATCATGCCTGGCTAATTTTTGTATGTTTGTAGAGACAGGGTTTCGCCATGTTGGCCAGGCTGGTCTCCAACTCCTGGCCTCAGGTGATCTGCCTGCCTCAGCCTCCCAAAGTGCTGGGATTACAGGCATGAGCCACCACACCCTGCCTGAGCTGGGTTTTAACAGGAAGAGGAGAAGAGCCAAAACTCCTCACATAGAATCACACAGCACTTGACAGTTTCCAACCTCATCATCACTGAAGTTTAGAGCAGCCGATACCCATAAAGATGATCTCCCCATCCCCCTACAGTTACCCACTGTGCAGAGGGAGATCCACACTTAGAGACAGGAAGCGATTTCCAGAAGTCCATAGCAACTCAGTCCCAGGAATCTAGGTTTCCTGACCAGGGCATAGCAGAAAGGGTCCATTCCTTTCCTTGCTTGTACCTTCACAGAAGCTTCCTGGACAGAGCCCTGGGGTCCAGGAGACCTGTTATTCATTCCCGGCTATGCTGAGACTTGCTGAGTGACCTTGGGGACTCCTTCTAGAGAATATAAGTTCCACGAGTGCAGGAATTTTTGTCTATTAGTCCTTGATGTATCTCCAGCCCTAGAACAGTGTTTGGCCCATACTATGTGCCCAAAAAATATCCATTAAATGACTGAATGTTGCTGTGCATGGTGGTGCATGCCTGTAATCCCAGCACTTTGGGAAGCTGAGGCAGAAGGATTGCTTAAGCCCAGGAGTTAGAGACCAGCTTGGACAACATAGTGAGACCGCATCTCGTAAAAATTTTTAAAAATAAAAAATGAGTGAATATCTAGATAGCCAGGATTAGAGAAGTGTCACAGTCAGAAAGCCTGAAGCCTAAAGAAGACCAAGGAACCAGGGGCTTTATCCTCAGATACATGAAAGCCTGAAATTCTGTCCACAAGTATTTATAGAGGGCCCGTAATGTTCTTGGTACTGGGCTAGGAACTCCCCAGATTCAGTTAAGAACAAAGTCATTACCTGGCCTCAGATGCAAGGCAGGGGCTGGGGGGTGTGAGTGGCAGGGAGGCAGCGTGATCAATACAAACACTTTTCTTAGCCTGAGCTGCCCTGACATGGTCTGACGGCTCACAAGGTGGTGAGTGCAGCCGGGCTGCAGTGTTCAAGGAGGGCGCCGGCTGGCCGCCCACCTGTCAGAGGCTGCGCCAGAAGGATGCGGAAGAAGAGATTTCTGCCTTGGCTGAGGTCACTTCCCACCCCCAGATTCCCTGCCCACACAACCCTGCAATTTTCTGACGCTGACGACTCGGATCCTATTATTTCCCGATTTTCAAGGTCCCATGATGCTGACAGCCCCAAATGCTAAGTCGTCAGTCCGCCCACGCCCTGGACCCGAAAGCAATAAAGGCGAGGTCAGCAAGGGTCCTACCACCCACTGCCTCGAAAGGCCTCTGGGGGTGGTCGGCGCGCCCCTCCCCACCTCGCGGGGGCCGTGTGGGCGTCGCTCGGTCGTTGGGGTGCCGGGGACGTCGTGATGAGAACGGCGTCCCAGAGACGGCGGTGACAGAGCCGGGACACGTGACAGTCACAGGGTCACATTCTGCGGTCCACGAGTTTGGGACCGGGCTGGTCACGTGACGCGGTGGGGGCACCATGGGGTGATGTGAGATGCGGGTGTCTCGGATTACGTACAAATGACGTATTCCTACCCCTTTTGGCAACCAGATTTCCGTTGGAAGATGCAACGGTTCCGGTGACGGTAGCAAGTTCTCGCGTCCAGGCATCTCCGCTTCCGCTCGGGGCGCAACAACTTCCGACTCCACCTTCCCAGCCTCGGGCAAGGAAGAGACGCGACCATGTGCGCATGCCCCGAATTTATCACGGAGGGGCGGGGCTGAGGCTGCGGGAGCTGGAGCGGGGAAGAAAAGGGAATTCCAACCTGTGGAACCTTGGGGGGTCCCCGGGGTCGGCGCCTTCCCATTGACTGTGGGCGGTGCAAGGGACGGAGCCTCTGGCGGCTCGTGGGGGTGTTGGGGTCCGCAGGGGGAGGGAGGGGAGTGTCAGAGTGTGAGCGGGGTACGGGAATTCCAAATTTGAGGGCCTCCCGGCTCTGGCGCCGGGGAGGGAGAGCTCAGGCCGCCATGCGGGACAGGACCCACGAGCTGAGACAGGTGAGACGCCAGGGCAGCGGGGATGGGGACGGGCGGACGAACTGGAACGCAGGACTTCTGGTCTTCGGGATAGGGAGGGGTGGCTGATGGCCAGGAAGGAAAGTCCCGGAAGCCTGTGGGTCCTGCGGGGTAAGAGCCGCAGCGAAACGGTGGTGCCAATGACTCCGGGCCTGGCAGGGGGATGACAGCTCGGACGAAGAGGACAAGGAGCGGGTCGCGCTGGTGGTGCACCCGGGCACGGCACGGCTGGGGAGCCCGGACGAGGAGTTCTTCCACAAGGTAAGGGGCTGGGGTCTCCGCCTGGATTCGCGAGGGTGTAGGAGGACCCGAGGAGTAGCGTGGTCTGGAGTACCCCATATCTCTTTCAGCCCTCTCGGTCACCCTCCCCAGGTCCGGACAATTCGGCAGACTATTGTCAAACTGGGGAATAAAGTCCAGGAGTTGGAGAAACAGCAGGTCACCATCCTGGCCACGCCCCTTCCCGAGGAGAGTGAGTGAAACCCCGGCTGCAGGGCGCATGCTCCGCCCCAGGGATTGTGGGGGTTGTAGTTCCACGCAGGTGGTGGCCAGAGTGGTTTGTTGAGGTGGGGGCTGCTGTTTGGGAGTCTTGGCCTTCTCTTATTCAGGCATGAAGCAGGAGCTGCAGAACCTGCGCGATGAGATCAAACAGCTGGGGAGGGAGATCCGCCTGCAGCTGAAGGGTGAGCTCCTGGGACCTCAGACAGATCCTTCCCTCTGATCCTGCCCTGTTGTTGGTATATCTGGGGAGTGTGTGGCCCAGAGAAGCCAGTGATATATCCAGGTCACACAGCAGGCCTGGGTCTAGCATCTGTCTCCTGGCCTCCAGGCCATTGTACTCTCCACAGCACAAGTCCGCCTCTCAGGTTCTTTTATTTACAATGAAACCATTTACTTACACAGTTATCGCTGCCCACTGGGCATTCTTTGGGCAGGGAGATGGAGTTTTGTTAGGTGGCCTCTGCATACCTATGGGAACTCAGTGATGTAATGCAAAGAAAAATAAACTTACTTTCTCCTCTTAGAGGCTCAGCCTTAGTCATTTTATGATAAATTATATTTCCCTAAAAATCCTATGGAGACAAGTACCCCCAATACCCCTGTGTCTTCCCACAGCCATAGAGCCCCAGAAGGAGGAAGCTGATGAGAACTATAACTCCGTCAACACAAGAATGAGAAAAACCCAGGTGGGTTTTTTTTCTCAGAAATGAGGACATTTCAGCAAATGTTTCATGAAGTATTAGATGACAGGTGTATGAAGGAAGGGCCTGCAGAGATCATGGAGTCCAATTGGATGACTTTTCCAAATGGGGAAACTGAGCTCAGAGAGAGAAAGAACTTGCTCAAGGTCAGGAAGCCAGGTCTCCTGATGCTCAGTCCGGTTATAACACCCTGCTTTATTTTCTTCCATTCAATAGGAAGTTACTGTGACCCCAGACAAGACCTAGTCTTGGCTGTGGGACACATGTTTTCTTTTCTTTTTTTGCCTCAGCCTCCTGAATAGCTGGGATTACAGGCGGACACCCCCATGCCCAGCTAATTTTTGTAGTTTTAGTAGAGACTGGGCTTCACCATGTTGGCCAGGCTGGTTTCGAACTCCTGACCTCAGGTGACCCTCCTGCCTCGGCCTCCCAAAGTGCTGAATTACAGGCGTGAGCCACCATGCCCAGCTGGGACACATGTTTTCTGGGAGTCAAGATGAGGAGTTAGGGTTCAATAGGGGATAAAGACATTACTCACGTGGGACCTGGTGGCTAACGGCGCTGCCCAGGGAAGGAGAGTGAGAAGTCATAAATGACTGGCAGGTTTCCTATCTATGTGACAGGGACATCCTTAGTCCCACAGGTGGAATTCAAGAAGTCAGGAAGAGGAACTTCCTTGGGGCAACACTGAAGAGGAACTCCCCTGGTGTGATATCTTATTTTTTTAATTATTATTATTTTTTTGAGATGGAGTCTCACTCTGTCCCTCAGGCTGGAGTACAGTGGCACAATCTTGGCTCACTGCAACCTCCACCTCCTTCAAGCGATTCTCCTGCCTCAGCCTCACGAGTAGCTGGGATTACAGGTGTGCACCACCACACCTGGCTAATTTTTTATATTTTTGGTAGAAATGAGGTTTCACCTTGTTGGCCAGGCTGGTCTCGAACTCCTGATCTCAACTGATCCACCTGCTTTGGCCTCGCAAAGTGCTATGATTATAGGCATGAGCCACCGCGCGCGGCCCCTGGGGTGATATCTTAGTAAGGAGATTTGCAGTGATCTGACTGGCCCTCTCTGGGTCCCCAGTGAGGAGGATACCAGGAGGTCAGGGTTGGAGTAGTTGGGCCCAGGGCTCAGCAGGGACCCCAGATTGAAGATGGAGCAGCTTGGGCATCTTGGAAGGGTGAAGCTGGAACCAGGAAAGCAGATGTATCTCTGGAAAAGGAACTCCAAGGAATGAGCATATTTAAGGCCTCAGAAGAAGGGGCAAGGCAGAGCAGATGCCCCAGAACCAGTGTTTCTGGGGAAGCCTGTGGTGGTGATTGGCATGAGTGGTTGAGGGTCCATGTGGGCCTGTTGCACCTGTTTCGCCCAGGCAACATGTTCATCTCTAGGCGTAGGAGCTGTGGTGTAGGCAGCGAGGTTGGCATTCAGCAAGCATTCAGCAGTTACATATTGGGTGCCTACTGTGTGCCAGACCTTTTTGGAACTGTTTAGGATACAGCAGTGAACCAGTGATCCCTGTCCTCATGGAACTTCCCTTCTGGTGTAGACAATCACCATAATAAATAAGTGAATTATTTAGAACATAATAAGCATTAAGGAAAAAAGAGCAGGGGAAGAGGGACTAAGCATGCTGGAGGAGGTAGAGTTGCAGTTGAAAGCAGGTGGAGGAAGCTTCATTCAGAAGGTAACATCTGAACAAGAGACTTAAAGGTGTTTGCTGGGAATGAGCATTCTAGGTAGAAGGAAAAGTGAATGCAAAGGCTTAAGCTGAGAGTGTGCTTTGTCTAGGGAGGGGTAAGGAGACCAGTGTGGATGGGCAGAGGAAGGGAACAGTAAGAGGAAGTAAGATCAGAGAGGTCATGGGAGAAGGAGAGATCATAGAGGGCTAGCCAGGCACCGTGGCTCACGCCTGTAATCCCAGCACTTTGGAGGCTGAGGTGGGAGGATTGGTTGAGCCCAGGAGTTTGAGACCAGCCTGGGCAATATAGTGAGACCCCCCCCCCTTTTTTTTTTTTCCTTTGAGACAGGGTCTCACTCTGTTGCCCAGGCTGGAGTACAGTGGTGCCATCTCTGCTCACTGCAACCTCCGCCTCCTGGGTTCAAGCCATTCTCTTGCTTCAGCCTCCCAAGTAGCTGGGACTACAGGCGCCCACCACTGCACCAAGCTAATTTCTGTACTTTTAGTAGAGATGGGGTTTCACCACGTTGGCCAGGCTGGTCTTGACCTCCTGACCTCAGGTGATCCACCTGCCTCAGCCTCCCAAAGTGCTGGGATCACAGGCATGAGCCACCGTGCCCGGCCAACCCTGTCTCTATTAAAAATAAAAATAGGCCAGGTGCAGTGGCTCACGCCTGTAATGGAGGCCGAGGCAGGTGGATCACAAGGTCAAGAGATCAAGACCATCCTGGCCAACATGGTGAAACCCCATCTCTACTAAAAATACAAAAATTAGCCGTGCGTGGTGGCGCGTGCCTGTAGTCCCAGCTACTCGGGAGGCTGAGGCAAGAGAATTGCTTGAACCCGGGAGGCCAAGGTTGCAGTGAGCCGAGATTGTGCCACTGCACTCCAGCCTGGGCAACAAGAGTGAAACTCTGTCTCAAAAAACAAATAATAAATAAATAAATAAATAAATAAATAAATAAATAAATAAAAAAGATCATGGAGGACCACATAGGCCTGATAAGGGCTTTGGCTTTTAGTCTAAGAGAAATGGGGGAGCCTGTCAAGGTCATCACAAGGTGGTTAAGGTGGCAGATCCCGCATAAGAGCTCATGCTATTTGCTCACTGTACTATGGGGTTGCCGAGGCACCGACCGGGCAGGGATCCTCCCAGGGGCACTCAGCCTATATTCTTCATCTTTAGCATGGGGTCCTGTCCCAGCAATTCGTGGAGCTCATCAACAAGTGCAATTCAATGCAGTCCGAATACCGGGAGAAGAACGTGGAGCGGATTCGGAGGCAGCTGAAGATCAGTGAGTTGTGCATGCCCAGCCTGGCCCGCAGGGGCAGGTAATCCCAACCCAACCCTGAGCCTGGCCTTTTCCTTCACAGCCAATGCTGGGATGGTGTCTGATGAGGAGTTGGAGCAGATGCTGGACAGTGGGCAAAGCGAGGTGTTTGTGTCCAATGTGAGTGGCCACAGCCAGCCCCTCTCTGCTGTGCCTCCCATCCCCTCTGAGTCCTGTCCGTTTCTCGACCTCCTGGGCTCAGGTGATCCTCCTGCCTCAGCCTCCCGAGTAGCTGGGACTATAGGTGCAAGCCACTGCACCCCGCTTGCTGTGGCCCTTTCTGATTAAGGGCACCCTGAGGCCTCTAAGGGAATTAATTAGCCTGCCTGGAGTCACCCATCAGATTCCAGGCTGAGGGCTCCCCAGAAGCTCAACAGGAGTTTCTGACCTGCTGTCGGTCTCCCTGTGAACAGTTGCCCCACTCCTGTCCACCCCCCAGATCCTGAAGGACACGCAGGTGACTCGACAGGCCTTAAATGAGATCTCGGCCCGGCACAGTGAGATCCAGCAGCTTGAACGCAGTATTCGTGAGCTGCACGACATATTCACTTTTCTGGCTACCGAAGTGGAGATGCAGGTGGGTGCCCCGCGCAGCCCCAGACGTGAGACCAGGCTCAGTCCAAACTGCCAGCCTCCCGCCACCCTTAGATTCTCTCCCTGAGGCTTTTGTGTCTTCCAGGTTTGGCCATGCCCCCAGATTGGTGCTTATTCCTATCCTTAGCTGTACCCCGAGAATGGCACCTGCCTCTGCTGCTACACAGATGCCCACTCCCTTCTGCATAGCACCCTGCCCCCTCTCCAAAACTTGAGCCTGCCCAGGTCTGGCCCCAGCCCTCACTCCCCCTCCACTAACAGCATCCACCCTTATACCTCTCAGAGGTCCAGTCAGAGTTGCCCTAGAGGGGCTGCCTCCTAACATCTGTACAAGGCTGGGGTGGGGGCGGCGTTCCCCTGGCCCTGGTTGTGAGTTGAGTTGAGCTTCCAGCCCTGTCCTGGAGGAGCTGGCCTCAGTCATGCTACAGCCAATGCCCTTTTGCAGCTGAGACTTACAGGAAAGAGATCTCATTCAGTAGGAGTACTGAGACCTGAGGCTGGTGGTGCCAGGAGGAGGCAGGGATAGGGAGGGCTTTGCAGCAGCTGTAGATAGGCCTGGAAGAATGGGTAAATTCAGACAGATTTGTGAAGGCACAGTTCACCATCTGTGAAAGGTATGAGCCATTTGAGGCCCTTAGCTCCAAGCTACCACTGCAGATAGAGGTTGTATGGGATAAGTGAGCAGGGGACAAGGGACTACATGATAGAAGGGGCCTGGAAGCCATCCCCAAGGAGTCTGAACTTTTGTCAGATCAAGTCTTGCCCTTGTCTTTGTTAGTGCAATTTTTTTTTCCTGCCAGGAATGTTCTTCAGTCATCTGGGGTGGGGTGGGCAAAGGCATCCTTACCTCCCTGAACCACCCCATCCTCTGAGCAGGGGGAGATGATCAATCGGATTGAGAAGAACATCCTGAGCTCAGCGGACTACGTGGAACGTGGGCAGGAGCACGTCAAGACGGCCCTGGAGAACCAGAAGAAGGCGAGGAAGGTGAGCCTCCCAGGCCCGGCCACTGCCCCAGGCACCCTGTGTGACTTCCCTGACCCCCTCCTCTCCCACAGAAGAAAGTCTTGATTGCCATCTGTGTGTCCATCACCGTCGTCCTCCTAGCAGTCATCATTGGCGTCACAGTGGTTGGATAATGTCGCACATTGTTGGTGAGATGTTGTGGGCTGCCCCCTGGCCTGCCCCAGCCCTGGCCCCAGCCCTCCCTCCTCCCTCAGACCCTGTTCTCCCTCCTTTCCTTACAGGCACTAGGAGCACCAGGAACCCAGGGCCTGGCCTTCTCTCCCAGCAGCCTGGGGGGCAGGGCAGAGCCTCCAGTCGGACCCCTTCCTCACACTGGCCCCTATGCAGAAGGGCAGACAGTTCTTCTGGGGTTGGCAGCTGCTCATTCATGATGGCCTCCTCCTTCAGGCCTCAATGCCTGGGGGAGGCCTGCACTGTCCTGATTGGCCGGGACACACGGTTTTGTAAAAAATTAAAAAACAAAAAAAGAGCATAGAAAGCCCTGTGCACGTGTGTTCCTGGAAGGGCTGGCCCAAGGCTTCCGGGCATCCAACCTCCTTACCTCCTGGACGTCCCCAGGGCCAGGTCTGGCCCTGGCTGCTCAGGTCAAACTGCCAGGGGTGCTGTGCCCACAGCAGGCTGGTTCTGCCTTTCTGCACCCCCATAGGAATGGGTGGGCAGGGAGGGGTAACACCGGCATCTAGCTCCTGGCTCAGTACTGTCCCCGGGAAAGGACCACTGTGAGTATCTGTCTTGGAAATGATGAGGCTGACCAGGCCAGGCTGGGACGCAGGTGAGATGGGGGTTTGGGTGGCATCAGTGGGCCTTCTTGTGGCCCAGAGGAAGAGGCACCATGAAAAAATGCCTAATTGAGGCTGTCACTTTGGATGCAGTGGATAGGGATGGTCTGGTTTCAGCAGGGATGACATTGGAGTGGGATGTTAAGCTGGGGAAGAGGTTGCCAGTCAGAAAGCACAGGAGGCCGGGCCCTGTGACCAACAAAAGCATCATCTTTTACATAAGCGTTTAGGCAGGGTGTGGTGGCTCGCACCAGTAATCCCAGCACTTTGGGAGGCCCAGGCAGGAGGATCTCTTGAGCCCAGGAGCTTGAGACCAGCCTAGGCAGGATGGGGCAACCTCTTCTCTTTAGAGAATAATAATTTTACAAATTAGCCAGGCGTGATGGCAAGTGTCTGTCGTCCCAGCTACTCCAGAGGCTGAGGTGGGAGGATCGCTTGAGCCCAGGAGATTAAGGCTGCAGTGAGCCATGGTCATCCCACTGCACTCCATCCTGGGTGACAGAGCGAGACCCTGTCTCAAAAATAATAGCAATCATCATCAGTAGCAGCAGCAGCAGCAGCAGCAGCATAGAGAGCCAGTGATCCTGGATCAGTGCACCTGGTTGCTGAGGGTTACCTGGCTGAAGCAGGTGGTGGCAGCAGAAAAGCCTGACCTCTGATTTCTTCCATAAGGTACCTGAAATCCAAGCCCTGACTAAATTTCTTTTTTTCTTTTTTTTTGAGACAGAGTCTTGTTCTTTTGCCCAGGCTGGAGTGCAGTGGCACTATCTCAGCTCACTGCAAGCTCCGTCTCCCAGGTTCACGCCATTCTCCTGCCTCAGCCTCCCGAGTAGCTGGGACTGCAGGCACCCGCCACCACACCCGGCTAATTTTTTGTATTTTTAGTAGAGACGGGGTTTCACCGTGTTAGGATGGTCTCGATCTACTGACATCGTGATCTGCCCTCCTCGGCCTCCCAAAGTGTTGGGATTACAGGCGTGAGCCACCGCCTAAATTTCTAAGGGCTCCTAGTCCTGATGCCTAATTTCTGGAGTGGACGTGGCTCCTGTTCCCCGACACCTAGAGTTTTTGTTTGTTTGTTTGTTTGTTTTGAGACAGAGTCTCGCTCTGTCGCCCAGCCTGGGGTGCAGTGGCGCAATCTCGGCTCACTGCAAGCTCCGCCTCCCGGGTTCACGCCATTCTCCTGCCTCAGCCTCCAGAGTAGCTGGGACTACAGGCGCCCGCCACCATGCCCGGCTAATTTTTTTTTTTTTTTTGAGACGGAGTCTTGCTCTATCGCCCAGACTGGAGTGCAGTGGTGCGATCTCCGCTCACTGCAAACTTCGCCTCCCGGGTTCACGCCATTCTCCTGCCTCAGGCTCCTGAGTAGCTGGGACTACAGGCACCCGCCACCGCGCCCGGCTAATTTTTTGTATTTTTAGTAGAGACGGGGTTTCATCGTGTTAGCCAGGATGGTCTCGATCTCCTGACCTCGTGATCCGCCCGCCTCAGCTTCCCAAAGTGCTGGGATTACAGGCATGAGCCACCGCGCCCGGCCCCCGACACCTAGTTTTAAAGGGTAAGCCGGCTCCTGGCACCTGCCTACTTGCAGTAGGGCGGCGCCTAGCTCTGACCTCCAAGGTCTGGGGACTGCGTCGCAGCCGCCCAGTCCATCCCACTTTCAATCTTACAGGCCCCTGCTGTTGCTGCCGCTGCCGCCGCTCCCAGCTGCCCAGTCTGGCGGGCTCAGTCCCGCGTTGCCATGTGTGGGAGACCGCGTCGCGTAAGCGCTGGATGTGGCTTCGCTGATGCACATTGGACCGGGCTCTGGACTGGGCTAGGGGAAGGGCAGGAGGGCGGAATTGGGCCCGAGGGCCAGGCCTCGCCGACCCCCGACTGCGCCTCCCGGTGGCCCCGCAGCGCCTCCCGGTGGCCCTGGAGTGCAGGTCTTACCGTCCGAGATCGTCCGCAACTGGGCGAGCTGTGCATGGGGCGTGGCTAAGGCCGTGGTTTGGTTACGATTGGCCAGCGGGACTTAAGTGTTGTCTCTGAAGAGCATGGACATTAGTCTGGAGGGTCCTGGAAGAGTGATCCCCGCCCCACCATCAAATGGCGCTTAGGTCTAGGAAGCGGGTGTGGGTGGGGCCTTAGGGCGAGGCGCAGACATACCCCGAAGTGGTTGGATTGTATACCGCAAGGGGCTGGATCGAACCCCCCAAAGACACTGGAAGGCTGTGTGGCTGAGGAGGGCCCGGCAGATCCAGTGTGTCGTGGGCTTTACAGGAAAGAGCTCCACCTTCTCTGGAGTGTGCAGATGCGATCTAGGTGTGTCCACCCGATGGGAGCTGCGGGCCGGGCAGATGCTGCCCCAGTACAAAGCTGATTTGGACCTGGGGCCTCTGGACTTCCCTGATTCTCTGCTTGCATCTCCAGCAAAGTCCTGTCCCGTTGGCTGCCTTCATCCACTCTCTCACTTCTCTGCCTTCAGAGTAAAATTGCAAGATCTGTGGTGCTTACTGGGATCTGATAGAGTCTCTCGGCATCCACTGTCTATGCAGCGGGTGTCCACCTGCAGCGGGGGCCATGTGCAGCGGGGGGCCACGTGCAGTGTGTGCCTCTTCTTAGCCATGCTGGACAGCGCCGCCCCTGAAAAGCAGCTCCCCGGTTTCACCCAGAAAGCCATCCAGAACCTCCTGGAAAAGGTGGCCTGATGGCCAAGTGGCCTCGGATGCCAGGCTCAATCCTTTGAACTTTTCCTGTGGGCTGTCAGGACCCATAGAAGGTCTTTGAGCAGGTGAGTTTGGAGCAGATCTGGTAGGCAAGCGAACAGATGGATGCGTGCACTGGAGATTCCGTGGGTTCCCCTGTGTACATCTCTTCCCTTTGGGAAACTGCCCTGAGTGAGGGGCTAAGGGCAGGATTTGCATTGAAATCCTAGCTTTGCTGCTGTCAGCCCAACTTTTAGGCAACAGGGTCTTGGTTTGATGTGACATTTCCAAGTCCATCTTGTATCACAACCTGTCAGCTGCAGCTCACTTATTCAATCTATTGTGGTTCAAGTTCCCAAGAAAATGAATCAGTCTGGTCTGCTCTCCAGATCAGATTACGTTTACTTGCCTAGGAATTGTCTGCCCTTTAACTCAAGACTTTGCACTGTTGTTCACATTTGTAATCCCAGCACTTTGGGAGGCCAAAGCAGGAGTATTGCTTGAGCCCAGGAGTTCAAGACCAGCCAGGGAAATATAACAAGACCCTATCTCTACAAAAATTAAAATTAGGTTGGGCACTGTGGCTCATGCCTGTAATCCCAGCACTTTGGGAGGCCCTGGCAGGTGGATCACCTGATGTCAGGCGTTCGAGACCAGCCTGACCAACATGGTGAAACCCCGTCTCTACTAAATACAAAAAGTTAGCTGGATATGGTGGTGCAGGCCTGTAATCCTACTTGGGAGGCTGAGGCAGAAGAATCACTTGAACCCGGGAGGTGGAGGTTGCAGTGAGCCGAGATTGTCCCATTGCACTCCAACTTGGGCAACAAGAGCAAAACTCCCTCTCAAAAAAAAAAAAAAAAAAAAAAAAGCCAGGTACATGTCAGTGGTACGTGCCTGTGGTCCCAGCTACTTGGGAGGCTGAGGTGGGAGGATTGCTTGGGCCTGGGGTTGAGACCACAGTGAGCCAATATTGCACCACTGCACTCCAGCCTGGACAACAGAATAATACCCTGTCTCAAAAAAAAAAAAAAAAAAAAAGAAAAAAAAGAAAAGAAAAAGACTTTGCCCTTGAGTCAAGACTTTACCCTTTTACCCTTGGCTAAGATGGATGTAGGAAGTGACATGGTACAAAATGCTGCAGCAGAGCGTGTGTATGTGCTGGAAGAGGAGTTGACTAGGGCAGTGATTGACATCTCTGTTCCAGATATTTGCTTACCTTCCCTGCTGGGCCCCTCCCTATAGGAGCATTATATGCTCATTCCCTACTTACAATAGGTTTGGCTATAGGACTTGCTTTGGCCAGTGGAATATGGGTAGGAAGGCAAAATATCGGCCGGGCGCAATGGCTCACACCTGTAATCCCAGCACTTTGGGAGGATGAGGCGGGTGGATCAGCTGAGGTCAAGAGTTCGAGACCAGTCTGGCCAACGTGGTGAAACCCTGTCTCTACTAAAAGTACAAAATTAGCCAGGCATGGTGGCACGGGCCTGTAATCCCAGCTGCTAGGAAGGCTGAGGCAGGAGAATCACTTGAACCCGGGAAGGAGGAGGTTGCAATGAGCCCAGATCATGCCATTGCACTCCAGCCTGGACAAAAAGTGAAACTCCGTCTCAAAAAAAAAAAAAAAAGGTAAAGTATCACTTCTGCATAGAAGCTTTAGGGCACCATTGAGTACTCTAGCAGCTTCCAGTCTCTTCTCCCTCTGCTCAGGCTCATAAACCTGGCAGTTTCCAGATCTAGACTTCTCTTTCAGCCTGCAACCCAGAATGACAATGACATGAAGCTGGGCTACAGCCTACCTATAAAATGATGCAGAATTTAAGAAATAAATCTCTCTTGCTGTGAGCCATTGATATATGGAGGTTGTTTGTTAGCACATCCAAATGTTTAAACAAACTGTTACAGAATTAATACCCAGAAGTGGTGTGCTGCAACAATAAAAATTGAGCCTCAGCCGGGCACGGTGGCTCACACCTGTAATCCCAGCATTTTGGGAGGCCAAGGTAAGTGGGTCACCTAAGGTTAGGAGTTTGAAACCAGCCTGGCCAACATGACAAAACCCTGTCTCTACTAAAAATACAAAAAAAATTAGCCAGGCATGGTGGTAGGTGCCTGTAATCCCAGCTAGAGGCTGAGGCAGGAGAATCGCTTGGACCCAGGAGGCAGAGGTTGGCAGTGCGTCAAGATTGCGCCACTGCACTCCAGCCTGGGCGATGGAGTGAGACTCCATCTCAAAAAATTAAAAAATAAAAATAAAAATATTATTAAAAATTAGCCAGGTGTGATGGCATGTGCCTGTAGTCCCAGCTACTTGGGAGGCTGAGATGGGAGGATCACTTGAGCCCAGGAAGCAGAGGTTGCAGTGAGCCAAGATTGCACCACTGCACTCCAGCCTGGGTCCAAAAAAAAAAAAATCCCCAGCCAGGCATGGTGGCTCATGCCTGTAATCCCAGCACTTTGGGAGGCTGAGGTGGGTGCTGAGGTCAGGAGTTTGATACTAGCCTGGCAAACATGGTGAAACCCTGTCTCCACTAAAAATACAAAAATTATCCAGGCATGGTGGTGGGCACCTGTAATCCCAGCTACTCAGGAGGCTGAGGCTGGAGAATCGCTTGAACCTTGGATGCGGAGGTTGCAGTGAGCCAAGATCAAGCCACTGCACTCCAGCCTGGGCGACAGAGCAAGACTATCTCAAAAAAAAAAAAAAAAGCCTAAACTATGTAAACTATATGACATTGACGTTGAGCTGGACAGTGGCTGGTAAGGGAACTGTCATTGGAAGTTGGAAAGATGGTGACGTGTGTTATGCAATGGTGAATCGTTTGGTTAAACTGTAAGCTTATGACCAAATGAGCTTTAGGCTTTAGGTAAAGAACTGGGGAAAGGGAGTATTGGTAGCATGCTGTCACTACTATTGCATGCATTTGAGGAGTTACTAGAAGAAAGAGATGACTCAGAAATTAAATGGTCAGTTTATAAGCAGAAATGGAAGAGAATATAGAAATTCGAGGCAAGTGATCCACATTTTCAGTAAAAGATACAACTGAGAAAGTCCTTGAGCCACAAGGTTTTCGTTTTTGTTTTTGAGACAGTCTTGCTCTTGTTTCCAAGGCCACCTTCTGGGTTCAAGCCTTTCTCCTGACTCAGCCTCCCAAGTAGCTGGGATTACAGGCGTGCACCACCACGCTCAGCTAATTTTTGTATTTTCAGTAGAGACAGGTTTCACCATGTTGGCCAAGCTGGTCTTGAACTTCTGACCTCAAATGATCCTCCCACCTCGGCCTCCCAAAGTGCTGGGATTACAGGTGTGAGCCACTGCGACCGGCTGAGCTACAAGTTTTGATTAAAAGTCATCTTTGTGGCAAGGGCCATATCAAGTATATGGCTATTATGCCCTTTGTAAAAATCTCCAAACTGATCAAAGTGGTTCCTAATAAATCCTCTCAGCTAGTCAAGATGATTCAAAGGAAAGAGGTTAAGAGTGTAACTCACCTTGGCTGGGCGTGGTGGCTCACGCCTGTAATTCCAGCACTTTGGGAGGCTGAGGTGGGCGGATCACCTGAGGTCAGGAGTTTGAGACTAGCCTAACCAACATGGAGAAACCCCGTCTCTACTAAAAATACAAAATTAGCCAGGCATGGTGGTGCATGCCTGTAATCCCAACTACTTGGGAGGCTGAGGCAGGAGAATTGCTTGAACCTGGGAGGCGGAGGTTGCAGTGAGCCAAGATCACCCATGGCACTCCAGCCTGGGCAACAAGAGTGAAACTCCATCTCAAAAAAAAAAAAAAATGTAGCTTACCTGAGGGAGTCAGTAGGCTCAACTACAGTTAAGTCTAACGTCATGGTTATGTCTGAAAAGAATTATGGGTATGCTGTTGACCCATGGATCTGAATGGAGTAAAATACGTAAGTTCAGTTTTGGAGGGAATTGCCCTGCTTCCCCTGCCTAACACCCCCTCACCCTGACAAAAAGCCACCAGGTTAAATCTTGACCATGAGTGTTCAATACTTAGTATGATTTTTAGGTCCCCAAGTTTCTTTCTTTTTTTTTATTTCGGAGACCGGGTCTCACTCTGTCACCCAGCCTGGAGTGCAGTGATGCAACCACAGCTCTCTATAACCTCGAACTTCTGGGCTCACACGATCCTCCTGCCTCAGCCTCCCAAGTAGCTGGGACTACAGGCCCATGCCACCCCAGCAGGCTAATTTTTGTTTTTCAAATTTTTTTGAAACAAAATCTCACTCTGCCACCCAGGCTGAAGTGCAGTGGCACGATCTTGGCTCACTGCAACCTCCGCTTCCTGGGCTTGAGTGATCCACTTACCTCAGCCTCCCAAGTAGCTGGGACTACAGGTGTGCGCTACCATGCCCGGCTAATTTTTGTATTTTTTTGGTAGAGACAGGGTCTTGCTATATTGCCCAGGCTGGTCTCGAACTCCTGAACTCAAGCGATTCACCTGTCTTGGCCTCCCAAAGTGCTGGCATTATAGGCGTGCAGTGTACCACCATGCCCAGCCTATTTTTGTTTTGTTTTGCTTTGTTTTGTTTTGAGATGAAGTCTTGCTCTGTCACTCCAGCTGGAGTGCAGTGGCACAATCAAGCCTCACTGCAGCCTCTACCTCTAGGGCTCCAGTGATCCCCCCACCTCAGCCTTCTGAGTAGCTGGGACTACAGGCATGCGCCACCACACCTGGCTAATTTTTCTATTTTTTTCTGGAGAGGATTTCAGCCTGTTGCCCAAGCTGGTCTTGAACTTCTGGTCTTAAGGAGTTCTCCCTCGTTGGCTTCCCAAAGTGATGGGATTACAGGTGTGAGCCACCATGCCCAGCCTAATTTTTGTATTTCAGGTTTTTTTTTGTTTTGTTTTGTTTTGTTTTTAGTAGAGATGGGGGTCTCTGTATGTTGCCCAGGCTGGCCTCAAGCAATCCTTGCCTCAAGTGATCCTCCTGCCTTAGCCTCTCAAAATACTGTGATTGCAGATGTGAACCACCATGCCCGGCCTGGGTCTCCAAATTTCTTTTTTTTTTTTAGAGACGGAGTCTCGTTCTGTCACCCAGGCTGGAGTGCAGTGGTGTGATCTCGGCTCACTGCAAGCTCTGCCTCCCAGGTTCACGCCGTTCTCCCGCCTCAGCCTCCCGAGTAGCTGGGACTACAGGCGCCCGCCACCATGCCCGGCTAATTTTTTTTTGTATTTTTAGTAGAGACAGGGTTTCACTGTGTTCGCCAGGATGGTTTCGATCTCCTGACCTCGTGATCTGCCCGCCTCGGCCTCCCAAAGTGTTGGGGTTATAGGCGTGAGCCACCGCACCTGGCCATGGGTCTCCAAATTTCTATGGGCATGAAGGAGACTGAGAAAGCTACTCTACTTCAGAAAGACATAACCACCAGTGTCCTCTCAATTGTGGCCAAGGAGAATAAGTGGAAAAGGGTGGTTTACTCTAAGGGCAGAGCCAAGAACATGGTGAAGAATGAACTAGGGAACTCTTCCCACTCCCAGGGAAAAGTGGGGGTTCTTCTCAACATCTGCCCAGCAGCACTTTAGACTTAGTGGGGCCCAGAGCCTGCTGTGTGTCTCCTGTCCTTCCTTCCTTTTTTTTTTTTTTTTTTTTTTTTGAGACAGAGTTTCACTTTTGTCACCCATGTTGTAGTGCAATGGCACTATCTCGGCTCACTGCAACCTCTGCCTCCTGGGTTCAAGCGATTCTCTTGCCTCAGCCTCCCGAGTAGCTGGGACTACAGGTGCATGCCACCACGCCTGGCTAATTTTTGGTTTTGGGGTTTTTTGTTTTTGTTTTTGAGACGGAGTCTTGCACTGTCGCCCAGGCTGGAGTGGAATGGCACGATCTCGGCTCACTGCAACCTCTGCCTCCTGGGTTCAAGCGATTCTCCTGTCTCAGCCTCCTGAGTAGCTGGGACTACAGGGGCCCGCCACCACGCCCGGCTAACTTTTTGTATTTTTAGTAGAGACCGGGTTTCACTATGTTGGCCTGGCTGGTCTTGAACTCCTGACCTTGTGATCTGCCCCCCTCGGCCTCCCAAAGTGCTGGAATTACAGACGTGAGCCACTGCGCCTGGCTAATTTTTGTATTTTTAGTAGAGACAGGTTTTCACCGTGTTGGCCAGGGTGGTCTCAAACTCCTGACCTCAGGTGATCCACCGGCCTCGGCCTCCCAAAGTGCTGGGATTACAGGCATGAGCCACCGCACCGGGCCCTGTCCTTCCTTCTGAACGGGAGTGTGCTCTGCTGTTCTCCTGTCCTTGTTCTGCTTTATATGTTGGATGTGTTCGTGTGTGTGTGTGTGTAGAAATGGGGCACAGGTAACTTGTCTCTGTCTCTCTCTTATTTTGTAGCTCATAGGTCTCTGAATCAAGAGAAGCCACATCTGGACCTGATATAGAAGAGACTATTAGAGATCCTGGGCTTGAGGCTGATTCCATGTCAGATGGGTCACTTAGGTGGTCTCCCTTGGGAAGGGGATGCATTTATTTTGCATATGGAAGAAAATGCAAAGGCAGTATTTGTAAGGAAGAGGGCAGACGGGGGAAGATTTTATAATTGTTCAAAAACATTCACTGGGATGTGTGTGGTGGCTCACGCCTATAATCCCAGTGCTTTGGGAGGGTGAAGCAGGAGGATCACTTGAGGCCAGGAGTTTGAGACCAGCATGGGCAACATAGTGAGACCCTATCTCTACAAAAAATAAAACAATAAAAAAAAATTAGCTGGGCGTGGTGGTGCTTGCCTGTAGTCCTAGCTACTTAGGAGGCTGAGGTGGGAGGATCACTTAAGCTCAGGAGGTAGAGGCTGCAGTGAGTTATGATTGCACCATGCACCTATGCACTCCAGCCTGGGCAACACAACAAAACACTGACTCTAAAAAAACAACCAACAAAAAAAAATCACATGTATTCACTGGCCCTCTCTTTGGGGACCTGCTACATAGAATGGTTTTTTGTCCCCAGTTCACTGACATCAGGTATGGCTATGTGGCTTGCTTTAGACCATGGACTTTGAGTGGAAATGACATGTGCCACTTCCACGAGGAAGCTTTAAAAGCCGTCATGGGGTCTGCCACCTTTCCTCTCTTCGGTGTCTGGAGACGGAAAGTTCCAGCTTGAGACTTTTCCTTCAGACAGGGCTCTAGAATGAAGATAGCATAGAACAGAGTGGTCCCATGGAGGACATGGATATGAGTGAGAAATCAACATGGTGTTGTGAGCCCCTAAGATTTGGGGGCTGCTATTACTGCAGCGTAACTGGATCCCAGCTGATAGATGCAGCCTCCCTGTGGGATACCCTGCTCAGGTATCCTTTCCCATCACCATGACAACTGACACACCATAATGAGCTATGCTGATGTTAGGAAGTCTCCGCCTTTGCTCCTCTTCAGAGCTGTTCACCCTCAGGTCCTAACCAGTGAGCCTATTTCTTTTTTTCTTTCTTTTTTTTTTTTTTTTTGAGATGGAGTCTTGCTCTGTCACCAGGCTGGAGTGCAGTGGTGCGATCTCGGATCAATGCAACCTCTGCCTTCTGGATTTAAGCAAATATTGTGCTTCAGCCTCCTGAGTAGGTCTGGAACTCCTGACCTCAGGCCATCCGCCAGCTTTGGCCTTCTAAAGTGCTGGGATTACAGGCATGAACCACCGTGCCCAGCCAAGCCGAGTCTTCTTGATTCTTGCTGGCATTTGGCAACTAGTAGCAGCTGCTCACAGGAACTGTAAAAACATCTGGTGGGGCCCAGACCTTCTAGCATCAACATGGTGCCTAGTAAATATCAATCTCACATGCATCCTGAGATGCATTAAAAAGAAGCTGTCCAGGCCGGGCACGGGGGCTCACGCCTGTAATCCCAGCACTTTGGGAGGCAGAGGCGGGTGGATTGCTTGAGCCCAGGAGTTTGAGACCAGTCTAGGAAACATGGCAAAATCCTAGCTCTATTTTTAAAAAGGGGGGGAAAAAGAAATAAAAAAGCTGGGCATGGTGGTTCACACCTGTAATCCCAACACTTTGGGTGGCTGAGGCAGGTGGATCACTTGAGAGACCAGCCTGGTCAACACCATGAAACCCCATCTCTACTAAAAATACAAAAATTAGCTACACCTCATGGTGCACACCTGTAGTCCCACCTACTCGGGAGGCTGAGGCAGGAGAATCGCTTGAACCTGGGAGGTGGAGGTTGCAGTGAGCCCAGATCACGCCACTGCACTCTAACCTGGGCTAGAGAGTGAGACTCTGAAAAAAAAAAAAAAAAAAAAAAGAGAAAAGAACATAATGTTTGGCCAGGCATGGTGCCTTACACCTGTAATCCCAGCAGTTTGGGAAGCCGAGGGGGCGGATCACCTGAGGTTAGTTCAAGACCAACCTAATCAACATGGTGAAACCCATATCTACTAAAAAAAAAAAAAAAATTAGCCAGGCGTGGTGGTGGATGCCTGAAATCCCAGCTACTTGGGAGGCTGAGGCAGAAGAATTGTTTGAACCCTGGAGGCAGAGGTTGCAGTGAACCGAGATTGTGTCACTGCACTCCAGCCTGGGCGACAAGAGTAAAACTCCGTCTCAAAAACAAAACAAAACAAAAAAGAATCATAATGGTTAGTAAGTGAAAATTCTGAATTAGTTTGTGTATGTGTATTGTTGCATATAATAGAGACCCAAATTAACTGTGGCTTAAATAAGATAGAAGTTTATTTCTCTCTTCTATAAAAGTCCAAGTTAGTATGATGGATCTTTCCATGAAATCATTAGGAGCCAGATTTTTTGTATCATTCATTCATTCATTGATTCATTACTACCATTAATAGAGACAATTTTCTGCACCATTCAGGCTGGAGTGCAGTGGTGCAATCATAATTCACTGTAACCTCAAAATCCTGGGCTCCAGCGATTCTCCTGCCTTAGCCCCAACAAAGTAGCAGGGACTACAAGCACATGCCACCACGCCTGGCTAATTTTTCTTTTTCTTTTTTGTAGAGGTGGGGTGTTACTATGTTGCCCAGGCTGGTCTCAAACTCCTGGCCTCAAGTGATCCTCCTGCTTCACCCTCCCAAAGCTCTGGGATGACAGGCATGAGCCACTCTGCCCCTCCAGGTCTTTTTTATCTTGTTGCTGTTCCATCCCTAGGGCGTTGCCCTCACCCACATGATCCAATATGATTCACCACCACTTCCACAGTCTGGCCCTTCTGAGGGGTGATGGTTTGCCCTTTGCCCTAAAGAGCATGATTCAGAAGTACAGATCATTTTTGCTCTAATCCCCATAGCCAGGATGTAGTCATATGGCTACATCCCGATGAAAGTGTTGCTGAGAAATAGAATCTCTACCCTGAGCAGCTTTTTGCCCAGATAAAAGTTCAGTTACTCTGGGAGAAGGGTAGAATGGATACTGGGGGACCATAAGCTGTTGCCACCACACACATTGAATGTTAACCCATCCCAACTGTATCAATTTTTCCTTCCTTTCCTTCCTTCCTCCCTCCCTCCCTCCCTCCCTCCCTCCTTCCTTCCTTCCTTCCTTCATTCCTTCCTTCCTTTGTTCCTTTCTTTCGACAGTCTCCCTCTATCCCCTAGGCTGGAGTGCAGTGTTGCCATCTCGGCTCACTGCAACCTCTGCCTCCCAGGTTCAAGCAATTCTCCTGCCTCAGCCTCCTGAGTAGCTGGGATTACAGGCGTGCTCCACCATGCCCAGCTAATTTTTGTATTTTTAGTAGAGACAGGATTTCCCCATGTTGGCCAGGCTGGTCTTGAACTCCTGCCCTCAGGTGATCCACCCACCTCAGCCTCCAAAAGTGCTGGGATTATAGGCGTGAGCCACTGCCTTGGCCTCAAACGGTATCAATTTTCTGTTACTGATTTAACCAATTATCATACACTCAGTGGTTTAAAACCACACACATTTACTTTCTTACAGTTCTGGAAGTCAGAAGTTCAAAATCAGTTTCATTGAGCCAATGTCTGGTGTCAGCAGGGCTGGTTTTTGTTGGTGGCTCTGGTGGACAATGTTTCCTTGCCTTCTTCAGCTCTTTTTTTTTTTTTTTTTTTTGAGACAGGGTCTCGCTCTGTTACCCAGGCTGGGGTGCAGTGGTGCAATCATAGCTCACTGCAGCCTCCATCTCCCAGGCTCAGGCGATCCTCCCGTGTTAGCCTTCTCAGTAGCTGGGACCACAGGCTCACGCCACCACGCCCTGCTAATTTTGTTTATTTTTTGTAGAGATGAGGTCTCACTCCATTGCCCAGACTGGTCTCAAAGTCCTGGATTCAGGAGATCCTCCTGCCTCAGCCTCCCAAAGGTCTGGGATTACAGGTGTGAGCCGTTGCACCCCACCCTCTTTCAGTTTAGAAAGGCTACCTGTATTCCTTGGCTGGTGGGTCCATCCTCCATTGGAAAGCACATGAATCCATCTCTGCCTTCATCATCACTCCACTTTCTCCTCTGAGACTTATTCCTCCTGTGTGCCTCTTAGGAGGATGTTCATGATTACATACCGCCCTCTTGGATAATCCTGAATAATCTCTCCATCTCAGGATCCTTCACATTTTCAAAATCCCTTTCACCATATAACGTGACATTCACAGATTCCAGGAATAGGACGTAGACATATTTAGGGGGGTTCTCTATTCAGCCTACTGTACCATGCCATTCCACACTTAACTCCTTCACTCATTTATTCATAAAATATGTATTGAGCAAGACCTGTGTGCCAGGCATTGTGTTAGGTGCTAGAGAAATAGAGGTGAAAATACAGACAAGGCCTCTGCTTTCATGGAGTTTATATTCTAGTGAAGAGGACAAGTAAATAGCTAAGCTATTCTTTTTTTTTTTTTTTTTTTTTTTGAGACGGAGTCTCCCTCTGTCGCCCAGGCTGGAGTGCAGTGGCGCAATCTCGGTTCACTGCAAGCCCCACCTCCTGGGTTCACGCCATTCTCCTGCCTCAGCCTCCTGAGTAGCTGGGACTACAGGCGCCCGCCACCACGCCCAGCTAATTTTTTGTATTTTTAGTAGAGACGGGGTTTCACCGTGTTAGCCAGGATGGTCTCGATCTCCTGACCTCATGATCCACCCGCCTCGGCCTCCCAAAGTGCTGGGATTATAGGCGTGAGCCACCATGCCCGGCCAAGAGCTAAGCTATTCTAAGCTATAACGTGTATTATCAAAACAATTAAGGCCAGGCACAGTTGCTCACACCTGTAATCACAACACTTTGGGAGGCTGAGGCGGGTGGATCATTTGAGGTCAGGAGTTTGAGACCAGCCTGGCCAACATGGTAAAACCCTGTCTCTACTAAAAATACAAAAAAATTATCCAGGTGTGGTGGTGCATGCCTGCAGTCCCGGCTACTCGGGAGGCTGAGGCACAAGAATAAGAATTGCTTGAGTGGGGAGGTGGAGGTTGCAGTGAGCCAAGATCATGCCACTGCACTACAGGCTAGGAGACAGAGTGAGACCCTGTCTTAAAAAAAAAGCAATTAGGCCAAGTGCAGTGGCTCATGCCTGTAATCCCAGCACTTTGGGAGGCCAAGGAGGGCAGATCACGAGGTCAAGAAATCGAGACCAGCCTGGCCAACATGGTGAAACCCTGTCTCTACTAAAAATACGAAAATTAGCTGGGTGTGGTGGCGCGTGCCTGTAGTCCCAGCTACTCGGGAGGCTGAGGCAGGAGAATGCCTTGAACCCGGGAGGTGGAGGTTGCAGTGAGCCGAGATCACGCCACTGCACTCCAGCCTGACGACAGAGTGGGAATCCATCTAAAAAAAGAAAGAAAGAAATTGGCTGGAGAATCGCTTGGACCCAGGGGTGGAGGTTGCCATGAGCTGAGATTGTGCCACTGCACTCCAGCCTAGGCAACAAGAGCAAAACTCCGTCTCAAAAAAAAAAAAAAAAATCCCAGCACTTTGGGAGGCCAAGGAGGGCAGATCACGAGGTCAAGAAATCGAGACCAGCCTGGCCAACATGGTGAAACCCTGTCTCTACTAAAAATACAAAAAATTAGCTGGGTGTGGTGGCGGGTGCCTGTAGTCCCAGCTACTTGGGAGGCTGAGGCAGGAGAATGGCATGAACCTGGGAGGCGGAGCTTGCAGTGAGCCGAGATCACACCACTGCACTCCAGCCTGGGCAACAGAGCAAGACTCTGTCTCAAAAAAAAAAAAAAAAAGAAAAGAAAAGAAATTAAACAGTGTGATGTGACAAAAAGTGATAGGGGGTTGGAGACAGCTTTTCTGTTGGATGGTTAGGAATGGCTTCTTAGAAAAGATGACTGACACATGGGAGGCTGATGTGGCAGATCACGAGGTCAGGAGATCAAGACCATCCTGGCTAACACGGTGAAACCCCGTCTCTACTAAAAAATAGAAAAAATTAGCCGGGTGTGGTGGCGGGCGCCTGCAGTCCCAGCTACTAAGGAGGCTGAGGCAGGAGAATGGCGTGAACCCGGGAGGCAGAGCTTGCAGTGAGCTGAGATCACGCCACTGCACTCCAGCCTGGACGACAGAGCGAGACTCCATCTCAAAAAAAAAAAAAGAAAGAAAAGATGGCTGACACAGAGGGCAGAGCTGAGAGCCAAGAGGGCAGAAAAGAGCCATAGAAAACCATTTCCAGGCCTGGAAGCCTAAAGGAATTTCCCAGCTGGATTTGCAGTTGCTTTGGATTGGTGACTCCTTTTTACCTTTCATTGTTAGGGGACCTGCAGGTTCCTTTGCCTGCTGTGCAGCTACAGCTCCATTACACCAAGACAATAGGGATGCAGCAGAGAGAGTTACTGGTGCAGGGCACCTAGTGCAGAGATGGGAAGAGGCCCTCAAATCTATCTCCCCGAGCAATTCTGGGAGAGGGTTTCTAAGGGGACTGTGGAGGGTAGGGGATTGTGGAGGGTAAGGTTTTGGGCAACTGGGTCATTGATTGATTGGGGGAAGGATGTAGAAGCTGCGTTTTTGGGGGAATTAGCTCCTTGTGGGGTCCTTCAGGTCAGCTGAGTCAGTAGTTCCATGAGGACCTGAAGGAATCTCTTTTCTTTTCTTCTTCTTCTTCTTTTTTTTTTTTTTTTTTGAGATGGAGTCTCTCTCTGTCGCCAGGCTAGAGGTGCAGGGGGTCGCAGGCTAGAGGTGCAGTGGCATGATCTTGGCTCACTGCAACCTCCACCTCCCGGGTTCAAGCAATTCTCCTGCCTCAGCCTCCCAAGTAGCTGGGACTAGAGGTGCGTGCCACCACACCCAGCTAATTTTTGTATTTTTAGTAGAGACAGGGTTTCACCATGTTGGCCAGGGTGGTCTCGATCTCTTGACTTCGTGATCGGCCCCCGCCCCACCCTCGGCCTCCCAAAGTGCTGGGATCACAGGAGTGAGCCACGGTGCCCAGCCTTAATTTTTGTATTTTCAGTGGAGACGGGGTTTCACCATGTTGATCAGGCTGGAGTGCAATGGTGCAATCTTGGCTCACTGCAACATTCGCCTCCTGGATTTGAATGATTCTCCTGCCTCAGCCTCCCAAGTAACTGGGATTACAGGAATGCGTCACCACGCCCGGCTAATTTTGTATTTTTTTAGTAGAGACGGGGTTTCACCATGTTGGTCAGGCTGTCTTGAACTTCTGACCTCAAGTGATCCACCTGCTTTGGCCTCCCAGAGTCTGAAGGAATATCTCAAAGGGAACACTTAATGTTGTGTAATGTCCAGGTTGTGATCCATAGAGCAGTTAAAGGTAAAGGTAACTATAATTTTTTTTTTTTTTTTTTAGACAGAGTCTCCCTCTCTGTCACCCAGGCTGGAGTGCAGTTTCACGATCTCGGCGCACTGCAACCTCCGCCTCCCTGGTTCAACCAATTCTCCTGCCTCAGCCTCTCAAGTGTGTGCTGCCATGCCAGGCTAATTTTTTTTTTTAGACGGAGTCTTGCTCTGTCACCCAGGCTGGAGTGCAGTGGCACAATCTCGGCTCACTGCAACCTCCGGCTCCTGGGCTCAAACAATGTGTTTTTTCCCCTAGTACTTTGGTGTTTGATTATCTTTTTTTTTTTTTTTTTTTTTTTTTTGAGATAGAGTCTCGCTCTGTCACCCAGGCTGGAGTGCAGTGGTGCAATCTTAGCTCACTGCAAGCTCTGCCTCCTGGGTTCATCCCATTCTCCTGCCTCAGCCTCCCAAGTAGCTGGGACTACAGGCACCCACCACCACGCCCGGCTAATTTTTTGTATTTTTAGTAGAGACGGGGTTTCACCATGTTAGCCAGGATGGTCTCGATCTCCTGACCTCATGATCTGCCCGCCTCAGCCTCCCAAAGTGCTGGGATTACAGGCGTGAGCCACTGCACCCAGCCTGGTGTTTGATTATCTATTATGTCAAACAGGCTGGGTTTAGTGGCTCACGCCTGTAATCCCAGCACTTTGGGAGACTGAGGTGGGAGGATCACTTGAGCCCAGGAGCTGAAGACCAGCGTAGCAATGTAGCAACTCCCTGCCTCTACAAAAAGTTAAAAAATTTAGCTGGGTGCACCAGTAGACCAGCTCCTCAGGAGGCTGAGGAGGGAGGATCACTCGAGCCCAGGAGTTCAAGGCTGCAGTGAGCTGTGATCATGCCACTGTACTCCAGCCCAGGCAATGGAGCGAGACCCTGTCTCAAAATAAATAAAACATGAAGAATGTCGAACACATTATCTGGTTTTTGTTTTTGTTTTCTTTTTTTGAGATGTTGTCTCGCTCTGTCACCCTGGCTGGAGTGTAGTGGTGCGATCTCGGCTCACTGCAACCTCTGCCTCCCGGGTTCAAGCGATTCTCCCGCCTCAGCCTCCCGAGTAGCTGGGACTACAGGTACGTGCCACCATGCCTGGCTAATTTTTGTTATTTTTTTTTTTTCAGTAGGGACAGGGTTTCGCCATGTTGGCCAGGCTGTTCTGAAACTCCTGACCTCAGATGATCCACCCACCTCGGCCTCCCAAAGTGCTGGGATTACAGGTGTGAGCCATCGTGCCCGGCCTGTTTTAAAAAACCATATTGGCCCAACTCGGTGGCTCATGCCTGTAATCCCAGCACTTTGGGAAGCCAAAGCAGGAGGATTGGTTGAGCTTAGGAGTTTGAGACCATTCTGGGCAACATGGTGAAACCCTGTCTCTGCACAAAAATAGAAAAATTTGCCACCTGTGCTGGTGTGTGCCTGTAGTCCCAGCTACTCTCAAGGCTGAGGGAGGAGG
Organism: Homo sapiens; assembly: GCF_000001405.40. Classification (NCBI taxonomy): domain Eukaryota; kingdom Metazoa; phylum Chordata; class Mammalia; order Primates; family Hominidae; genus Homo; species Homo sapiens. The sequence continues at coordinate 31,058,330 of NC_000016.10, forward strand.
ATTGCTTGTAGAGCCTGGGAAGTCGGAGCTGCAGTGAGCCATGATCACACCACCACACTCTAGCCTGACAGAATGAGACCTTATCCCAAAAGAAAAAATAAATGATATTGTATTATATGTGAACTTTGAATTATATTGTGTTGTATCTGAAGTTTGAATTTTCACGTTATGTTTAAAAATCTTGGCTGGGCGTGGTGGGTCACGCCTGTAATCCCAGCACTTTCGGAGGCCAAGGCGGGTGGATCACCTGAGGTCAGGAGTTCGAGACAAGCCTGGCCAACATGGTGAAACCCCGTCTCTACTAAAAATACAAAACTTAGCCGGGCATAGTGACATGCACCTGTAGTTCCAGCTACTCGGGAGGCTGAGGCAGGAGAATCGCTTGAACCCAGGAGGCAGAGGTTGCAGTGAGCTGAGATCGTGGCATTGTACTCCAGTCTGGGCAACAAGAGTGAAACTCCATCTAAAAAATAAAAAAGAAAAAGAAAAAATAATACAAGAAATTAGCCGGGCGTGGTGACAGGCACTTGTAGTCCCTCCCAGCTACTCAGGAGGCTGACGCAAGAGAATTGCTTGAACTTGGGAGGTGGAGGTTGCAGTGAGCTGAGATCGTGCCATTGCACTCTAGCCTGGGAAACAAGAGCAAAACTCAGTCTCAAAAATAAATAGCTTGAACCCGGGAGGCAGAGGTTGCAGTGAGCTGAGATTGCACCACTTCATTCCAGCCTGGGTGATAGAGCAAGACTCTATCTCTAAATAAATAAATAAATAATCCTTTAGGATGGCAATGAATTTAAGGACTAAACTAGGGAGAATCGACTTTTTTTTTTAAAATGGAGTCTTGGTCTGTCGCCCAGACTAGGGTGCAGTGGGCGCCATCTCGGCTCACTGCAACCTCCACCTTCCAGGTTCAAGGGATTCTTGTCCCTCAGCCTCCCAAGTAGCTGGGATTACAGGCACCCGCCACCATGCCTGGCTAATTTTTGTATTTTTAGTAGAGATGGGGTTTCACCATGTTGGCTATGGTTGGCCAGGCTGGTCTTGAACTCCTGACCTGAGGTGATCTGCCTGCCTCGGCCTCCCAAAGTGCTGGGATTACAGGCATGAGCCACTGTACCCAGCCCATTCGACATTATTTATTTATTTATTTATTTATTTATTTTTTGAGGTGGAGTCTCACTCTGTCGCCCAGGCTGGAGTGCAGTGGCACAATCTCGGCTCACTGAAACCTCCGCCTCCCGGGTTCAAGCCGATTCTCCTGCCTCAGTCTCCCGAGTAGCTGAGATTAGAGGCAACCACCACTATACCCGACTAATTTTTGTATTTTTCAGTAGAGATAGGGCTTCACCATGTTGGCCAGGCTGGTCTCGAACTCCTGACGTCAGTTGATCCTCCCACCTCAGCCTCCCAAAATGCTGGAATTAAAGCTGTAAGCCAGCGGGCCTGGTGGACATCTTTTAATAATCAGTCTTTCCATTCAGGTATATGGTATATGTCTCCATTTACTTAGGTCTTATTTCATATCCTTCAGGTTGGAGCTATCATTTCTTTTCATACAGGTTTTGCACATTTCTTGTGAGGTTTATTCCTTCATGGTCCATGGATTTTGTTGTGAATTGGGAATCCTTTTTCCACCAAGTATATTTTCTAATTTGTTACTTTAGTATACAGGAAAGATAACTAATTTTTATCTGCAGTTTATTATCTATGAAAGGATAAAAGTAGAACTACTCAGTAAAAGGTTTCCATAATCAAATAAGTATGGGCTAAACAAAGCTAAACAGATGTGTTCACTGCTGGACTTATCAATGCTTGTGATAATTTTTTTTTTTTTTTTTGAGGCAGAGTTTTGCTCTGTAGCCCAGGCTGGAGTGCAGTGGCGGGATCTTGGCTCACTGCAACCTCCACCTCCCGGGTTCAAGTGATTCTCCTGCCTCAGCCTCCCGAGTAGCTGGGACTATGGCATGCACCACCACATCTGGCTAATTTTTGTAATTTTAATAGAGACAGGGTTTCACCATGTTGACTAGGCTGGTCTCAGAACTGTTGACCTCAGGTGATCTGCCTGCCTCAGCCTCCCAAAGTGCTGGGATTACAGGTGTGAGCCACCACCACCAGGCAATTGAAGACGTATATTCTATGAAGAAATGGGTAGATTTTAATGAACAATACCCCTTTTGTGGGCAGATTCCTAAGTCCCAGGCCCTCACAACAAAGGGGCAGTGGGCCTGGAGATGCCAGCTTCAGCTGCCAGAGGGACTGCTCCTCCAGGGCCACCCCAGCCCACTTTTGATCACCAAGTTTTGATCACCAAGAATCCCAAGAAGGGCACAGGGAATTTCCTTTCTTACCTGCCCATGAAACCTTTTGTCACTAGACATCCTGAAACATACTTTGGGAAACTGCATCCAAAGACCCTTCTAGTTTCAAATCTGTGGATCCAGGGGTCTCCACTGAACCTTACCTGATGCCCAAACTCCCACCCATTCACTCCCAACCAGAACACAGAAGATGACCTGGTGCCAAAATGAAAGCTTTAATGAGTGTTACTCCTAGACAGTCACGTCTCAGCTTCTGCCAGCCTCCACTGTCCCAGCTCTCTTAGCTGGCCGACAGGGGAGCTAGTTGCTGAGGGGTAGGGATCTGGAGTCTAAAGAGCAGAGCCAGGCAAAAGGAGGTACAGGAAGCCCCCGATGGGGGCTGGGCTCCCGGAGTGTGGTGCTGGGGGGTCATGGGCTTCAGGCCGGCCCCTCTTCAGGCATTCCTAGCAAAGCCACCAGGGGCTCCAGGGGTGTGGGGGTCCCCATGGGCACAGGGTGGGTGCGTTCATGCTTGCGCAAGTCGCTGGCACTCAAGAAGGCCTTGGGACAATGGGGGCAGGTGTAGGGGCGCACTGAGCTGTGAGTGCGGCTGTGTTTGCGCAGCCCAGCCCGGTCAGAGAAGCTCTTGCCGCACTGGGTGCAGGGGAAGGGCCGGAGCTCCGGGTGTGAGCGCTCGTGCCGACGCAGCAGCGTCATTGTGGAGAAGGTCTCCTTGCACTCTCGGCACACAAACTGGGGGGGCTTCTCGTCAGCCTCCTCACCCCCCGCCTCGCCTGCCCCTTCCAAGGGACCAGGAGCCTCCCGGACACCAGCATCTTGGCATTCCACATGCTCCACCGTCATGCCCACCACCTGCCACTGTGTGGCCATCACACCACCTGACTCCGGGGGCAGCCCTAGCAGCCCTGCTGGAGGGTCCCCCAGCCCCGCCCCTGCTGCCGGGGCGGCTGAACTCTCACCTGCCACGCCCACAGGCAGCGCCAACCCCACCACCAGCTCCTGTGCAGGGGGCACACCCGCGGCCTCACTGCTTCGATGGGTCCGCTCGTGCTTCCTCAGGCTCGACGACACCACAAAGGATTTCCCACATGCGTTACAGTGGAAGGGGCGCTCCCCCGAGTGCACCCGGCTATGCTTCGTGAGGCTGGCACGCTCGGCGAAGGCTCGCCCGCACTCCTCACAGCGGAAGGGCCGCTGGCCAGAGTGCACCAGCGCGTGCCGCTTGAGGTCCCAGGACGCCACGAACGTCTTGTCACATTGCAGGCACTTGAACGGCCGGTCGCCTGTGTGCACACGCCGGTGCATGGCCAGGTCCGCCGGCTGCCGGAAGTCCTTGCCGCACTTCTCGCAGTGGTATGGCTTCACCCCTTCATGGGCGCGCTGGTGGCGACGGAAGCTCGAGGGGTCGGAGAACATGCGGCCGCAGCGCGGGCACAGGAAGGGCTTCTCCCCCGAGTGCGTGCGCTCGTGGCTCTGGTAGGAACTGAGCTGCGTGAAGCCCTTGCCGCAGGCCGGGCAGCGGTAGGGCTTCTGTGCCGCGTGGATGCGCTGGTGGCACGTGAGCGAGGATGAGCGGGAGAAGCTCTTCCCGCACTCGGAGCAGAGGAAGGGGCGCTCGCCGGTGTGGGACCTGCGGGGGTGTGGAGGACTTGGCATGAAGGCGACAGACCCATAACGTGACCCCACTGCCTGTCTGGGCTGTACTTTAGGGGCTCCCCAAACGTTCGTGGGGGCCTAGGCTTAATCCCCTAAGAGCCACATGGCTGCACCCCAGAGGAAGAAGCCTTCAGGCTGGCTGGGTGTCTCTATTCCAAAGACCTGTCTCTGCACATTAAAGACCAAGATATGGGCCGGGCGCGGTGGCTCACGCCTGTAATTCCAGCACTTTGGGAGGCCGAGGTCAGGAGATCGAGACCATCCCGGCTAACACGGTGAAACCCCGTCTCTACTAAAACTATAAAAAATTAGCCAGGCGTGGTGGTGGGTGCATGTAGTCCCAGCTACTCGGGAGGCTGAGGCAGGAGAATGGCGTGAACCCGGGAGGCGGAGCTTGCAGTGAGCCGAGATCTTGCCACTGCACTCCAGCCTGGGCGGCAGAGCGAGACTCCGTCTCAAAAAAAAAAAAAAAAAAAGAAAAAGAAAAAAAAAAAAGACCAAGACATGGCCAGGCGCGGTGGCTCACGCCTGTAATCCCAGCACTTTGGGAGGCCGAGGCGGGCGGATCACCTGAGGTCAGGAGTTCAAGACCAGTGTGACCAAAACGGAGAAACCCCGTCTCTACTAAAAATACAAAATTAGCCGGGCATGGTGGCGCATGCCTGTAATCCCAGCTACTCGGAAGGCTGAGGCAGGAGAATCGCTTGAACCCGGGAGGCGGAGGTTGCGGTGAGCCGAGATCGCGCCATTGCACTCTAGCCTGGGCAACAAGATCAAAACTCCGTCTCAAAAAACAAACAAACAAAAACAAAACAAAACAAAACAGAAAACCAAGATACGTGTCCTCCGCCTTTTTTTTCCTGTTCCCCAGGCTGGAATGCAGTGGCCTGACCATAGCTCACTGCAGCCTCGACCTCCCAGGCTCAGGCCATCCTCCCACCTTATCCTCCCAAGTACCCGGGACTAGAAGTGTACATCCCCACGCTCGGGTAATTTTTTTATTTTTATAGAGACGAGGCTTGCTGTGTTGCCCAGGCTGGTCTTGAACTCTTGGGCTCAAGCAATCCTCCTGCCTCAGCCTCCCAAAGTGCTGGAATTATAGGCGTGAGCTATTGTGCCCAGCCTAGAAACATGTCATTAATGTAGAGGCTGAGAAAAAGAAAAAAAAAAATGACCTAGACAAACCAGGCCCCACTCACACCTCCTGGTCTCCACAAAAGACCCTCAGAACTGCCCAACTCCAAACCCCGCCCCCTTTCCAGCTGGCCTACAACGGAGGCCAATCTGACCCAATCCCATTCTCAGAGATCAACCTCAAGGTGGTTGCCACCTCTGCCCAATCAGGGGCACCAATTTCTCCCACATGCCTAGCCCCTCCCCTTGGATCTGCCATGCCCACCTTCCCATTGGCTCACTTTACCCTGAGACTCAAACCCAGGCCCCATTGGCTGCAGCAACGCTGTCGCCCTGCCCCGGAAGGCGCCCTGCCCCGGAAGGCACCCTCACCGCTCATGGTTGCGGAGGTCCTTGAGCTCCGCATAGGCTTTGCCGCAACGCTCACAGCTGTAGGGCCGCAGGCCAGCGTGAGTACGCCGGTGCTTGCGGAACACTGAAGGGTCAGCAAAGCTCTTGCCGCAGTCGGCGCAGGCGTAAGGCCGCTCGCCTGTGTGGCCACGCTGGTGGATCTTGAGCTTGGAGAGCGCGCCATAGGCCTTCGGGCAGTGCGCACAGCGGAAGGGCAGTTCGCCAGCGTGCGAGGCCAGGTGCACGCGCAGGCACACGGGCTGCATGAAGCGGCGGCCGCACTCGGGGCACGGAAAGGGCTTCTCCCCCGTGTGGCTGCGCCCGTGGCTGCGCAGCTCGGGTGCCGTCTTGTAGGCCTTGGGGCATAGCGGACACGCATAGGGCCTAGGCTTGGCCGCGGAGCCTGACACCTTCTCCCCACTGGCTTCCTCTGCCTTAGCTTCTGTCTCTGGCTTTGGCTTCACCTCGGCCACCTCTTCAGAGCAGTCTGCCGGCCCATGTGTGGCAGCGTGGCGCGCTGCCCTGGGCGCGTTTGGAAATGTCTTGGTACAGGACAGGCACTTGTAGCGGCGGCCCGAGCGCTTGTAGCCGGGGGCTGGGGACCGGGCCTCTGCAGCCTCCACTTCCATGGCCTTGGTGAACGGGGTTTCTCTGCAAGAGAAGCAAAGTTAGACCAAAGCCACATACCTTCGCCACTCCTGAAAGCCTCAGAGAGAACCCTATCTCATCTGCATTTCTCACCTCGGAACCCACACATCCTTCCTGCCCAGCATTCCTGGCTCTGACATCCTGCGTTCGTTTCCTCCCTGATCTGCTCATTGAAGAAAGGAGTTGGACCAAGTGTCCGCAGAGCCACTAAGAAAGGAGGCTGAGGGTCACAAAAGATTCACCTACACGTCCCCCCCCGCCCCCAACGGGCTTTTCCAAACACTGTGGCATTCCCAGAGGCCCAGGTTCCATCTGTCTCACCATCTTCCTTCTTCAGCTCAGTGTCCAAGAACTATGCCAGGATAAAGAGTGTACCCAGACGTGGGCCTGGCCTGAAGGTCTCCAAGCGCCCAGAAAAGACAGACCTGGGACCAGAAAAGGGCTGAGCCAATGGGCTAAATCTGGTAGCTGGCACTGTCTGGAAGTGACAGGTCCCCAGCATTTGTGTTTTCTTTCCTCCTCTGGATGGTTAGTCCTCAGAGACAGCAACTGTTCACACAGAATTCTGGCCTTGCACAGCTGTACGGGCCTCCGCCCCAGACTGGAATCTGTCCACTCTCTGCTCTGGAATCTTGTTGGCCTGTTCCCACAACTCTGGTAATGGAGAATCACTCAAGGCAGCCTGAGCCATTGCTAGCAGCTGGAAGCCTCTTTCTGAGTCATAACTGATGTATCTGATCTAACATGGCCTCCTGGGATACCAGCTCTAGCTGAGATCCCTACTTTCTGGTCCAGAACCCAGACGCCCTCCACCCAGCTGCTCCTGGGGATCATGGTTGGGAGGAAACAGGATTAATGGCTGTATTAGTCTTAACACCAGCTCATCCTCCCTGGGGGATGAAGGGAAGAGGATTATGGCAGATCCACTTAAGGAGTGCTCAGCAGCTGCTGCTGGGGGAAGGGGTCTGAGGAGTGGGGGCTGCAGGGAGCCAGGTGTGCCCAGAGGCTAGGGGGCCTACGTTCTACTTGCAGCCCTGTGGATTACTATGAGACCTCAGTGAAATGAGTGTTGTTTATAAGACTATTTCCGCCCGGCTGGGCGTGGTGGCTCACGCCTGTAATCCCAGCACTTTGGGAGGCCGAGGGGGGCGGATCACGAGGTCAGGAGACCGAGACCATCCTGGCTAACACAGTGAAACCCCGTCTCTACTGAAAATACAAAAAAATTAGCCGGGCGTGGTGGCGGGCGCCTGTAGTCCCAGCTACTCGGGAGGCTGAGGCAGGAGAATGGTGTGAACCTGGGAGGCGGAGCTTGCAGTGAGCCAAGATCGTGCCACCGCACTCCAGCCTGGGCGACAGAGCAAGACTCCGTCTCAAAAAAAAAAAAATAAAAAGACTATTTCCTCATCTGGACACGTTAGGGGTTGGTGGCTTCTAAGTTATGACACTGGGGTTCAGGAGGAGGAAACTGAGCTGAGCCACGAGGGTGCTAGGGGAAATACAGAGACTCAGGGCCCCTTATGCCAGGAAAGGGCGGGAGAAGCAGCTTACCTGGTTGACCCAGGGAGGACACAGGAGCCCCTGACGCGTGGCAAGGGCCACATCCTTAAAGTCAGCACCCTTCTGCCTGAAATCCCGGCCTCAGGCCTGCACGCTGCCCTCCCTCCCCAACCCCATGCAGCCGGTCTTCTCCCAAAAGTAATGAATGATGTTTCCTGTTCCCTGCTCAAGAACTTTCCATGGCTTCCACCACACCATGCAAATCCCCAGGTCCTTCCTGCTTGTTCCAAATCTGACAAGTCCTTCACTGGAGCCCCACTTCCACCAGGAGGATCCTCAAGCATCTCCCCTTTGGGTTTGGCCCCAATCCCACAAAACTCCATCTTATTCTCACTTGGTTATTTCACTTTTCCCACTAAATCCTAGGGCTTAGCCAGGTGTGGTGGCATGCGCCTTAAGTCCCAGCTACGTGGGAGGCTGAGGCGGGAGGATCCTGTGAACCCAGGGGTTCGAGGCTGCAGGGAACTATGATCGTACCACTGCGCTCCAGCCTGGGCAACCTGGTGAGACCCCATCTCTACTAAAAATAAAAATTAGCAGATGTGGTGGCATGTGCCTGTAGTACTGCCTACTTGAGAGGCTGGGGTGGGAGGACTGCTTGAGCCCAGGAGTTCAAGGCTGTACCACTGCACTCCAGCCTGGGAGACAGGGCAAGACACTGTCTCAATCAATCAATCAATCAATAATCAATCCTGGGGCTTGAAGATAAGTTAAAGGGACTGAATTCTAACCTTTCTGATGACTTGAATTCTTCCTACAGTTTCCAAGGGATCCCTCCCTATTTCTGGATGAGGTACTCACTACCTCTTCCAGACGGTTTCTGGAGAGTCTGCCTGATAATGTTCCTCCTTAATAAAAATGATAGCTTGGGCCAGGTTCAGTGGCTCACACTAGCACTTTGGGAGACCAAGGCGGGTGGATCGCTTGAGCCCAGGAGTTCAAGACAAGGCGGGTGGATCCCTTGAGCCCAGGAGTTCAAGACCAGCCTGGGCGATATAGCAAAATCCCATTTCTACAAAAAATACAAAAATTAGCCAGGCATGGTGGAGCATGCCTGTACTCCCAGCTACTCCAGAAGGCTGAGGTAGGAGAAATGCTTGAGCCTAAGGAGACTGAGGTTGCAGTAAGCCAAGATGGTGCCACTGCACTCCAGCCTGGCAACAGAGTGAGACCCCATCTCAAAAATAAATAAATAAATAAATGATAAAAAAGATAGTTCACATTTACTGAGCACTCGCCAAATACCAGGCAGTATCCTAAACTCCTTATGTGTATTAGCTCAGTTACCCTTCATGGCAACCCCATGAGGAAAGTTCTATTATTCCATTTTCACAGATAAGGGAACCAAGGTCCAGAGAAATGGTTCAGTATTTTGTTAAGTGCCCAGTCCCTGAAGCCAAACTGTCTGGCTTCAGATTTTGCCTCCATCACTTCCCAGCTGATGTGACCGTGTGTAATGTACTGCATGTCTTAGAACCTCAGTTTTCTAATCTGAAAAATGGAGATAATGACAGTACTTACCTGACAGAGTTGGGTGAGGAATGAATGAGTCAAAAATAATTACTGTCCTCAATTATCAAAGCGTCTTCTTAGAGCCAGACACATTGCTGGGTGTGCTGGTTTATTTAATTTAATGTCTTATACCTTTCTGAGATAGGGATTCTTGTCCCTACTTTACAGAGGAATAAATCGAGGTTCCAAGAGTTAAGTGACTTGCCCATGGTCCCACAATGGGTAACCTAAGCAGCTGGGACTTCAGTCCAGGTGTTTAATTTGCCTTAAGTTGCTGGGGTCTTGCTCAGTGGTCTGGGGCCTCTTACGCTTGTCTGCTGCCTCCGCCAGCCCCACAGTGACCAGAACCCTGAGCTCAGGTCATACCTGTGTCTTCTCTCATCCTTGCAGAACTGCCCTGAGACCCTGGCCGGCACCCTTTATGTCTCTGCTTCCCTCTCAGAGGGCTTGACCCAGTGGTTCTGAGCTCTGGCCCTTCTACTGCCTCTTGCCAGCTCTGGGTCTCAGCCTTCCTATCTGTGAGTTAGACACCAGGTAGCTGGAGGGGAAATCCCTCCTCCCATGGCACTTCCCAGGGGAAAAGGTAGGGGAGTGCCAGGTTGGTCTCAGCATGCGCCCAGCTACACAAAGAGGCCAGGTAGGCTAGGTCTCTGTCTAACATCCCACCATTAAAAAAAAAAAAAAAAAAAATATATATATATATATATATATATATAATTTTTGAGATGGAGTCTTACTCTGTTGCCCAGGCTGGAGTGCAGTGGCGCGATCTTGGTTCACTGCAACCTCCGCCTCCTGAGTAGCTGGGACTACAGGCACCTGCCACCACACCTGGCTAGTTTTTTGTATTTTTAGTAGAGACGGGGTTTCACTGTGTTAGCCAGGATGGTCTCAATCTCCTGACCTCGTGATCCGACCGCCTCGGCCTCCCAAAGTGCTGGGATTACAGGCGAGAGCCACCACGCCCAGACTTTTTTTTTTTTTTTTATTAAAGAGCTTGAGGTAGGCCTCAGGAATCTGTATTTTAAATACACTCTGGATCATTCCAGCCAATACTTTTGTTTGTTTGGTTTTGAAACAAGATCTCACTCTGTCGCTCAGGCTGGAGTGCAGTGGTGCAGTCATGGCTTACTGCAGCCTTGACTTCCCAGACTCAAGCAATCCTCCCACTTCAGCCTCCCAAGTAGCTGGGACTACAGGCATGCACCATCATGCCTGGCTAATTTTTATTTTATTTTTAGTAGAGATGAAGTCTTGCTATGTTGCCTGGGCTGGTCTAGAACTCCTGGGCTCAAGTGATCCTCCCACCGCAGCCTCCCAAAGTGCTGGGATTACAGGCGTGAGCCACCGTGCCTGCCCAACCAATACTTAAGAACCAAACACACATCCTTAGGTCTCCACGAGCTCTCAGGAGAGGAGCATTTTAAGTGTTCACTACACCTCTTTTTCAGATATTGAGATTAAGGTCCCCACAAAGGAAAAACTGTACACAAGGACACACAGCTGGTCAAGGAGCCAGACTCGAACCCAAGTCTCCATTCTCTCCCCCAGGTTGAATCATGAGACTTCCCACTGCTCCCAGGAAAAAGACCAATATCTTTTCCATGGCCAGCATAGCCCCAAACCATCTAAATCCTGCCTACCTGGGCAGATCACTTGAGGCCAGGAGTTTGAGACCAGCCTGGCCAACATGGTGAAACCCCATCTCTACTAAAAATACACACACACACACACACACACACACACACACACACACCTGCCTACCTCACCTCCCACTCCTCTCCCTGGCCCACTGGGCTCTACCCACAGAGGCCTCCTTTCTTCTCCTCAAAGAGCTAAATTCCTTCCCACCTCAGGGCAGTGGCACTAGCAGTTCCCTCTGTCTGAGCCACTCTTCTCCCACGATCTTTGTGTAGCTGTCTTTTTTGGTGTTATTTGGATCTCAGCTCCCAGTCACCTCCTCAAAAAGAGCTTTCTTGACCACCTTTCCTTTTCTTCCCCCCTTTTAATATTCCAAATTTTTTCCTTTTTTAACCAACCAAGGAGCACTGAATGACTACCTTTCTCAATGCTATCTTTACCCCTGATAATCATTCTCTATCTACTCTTTATTATTATTATTATTTTTTGACGGAATCTCATGATTATCTATCAAGCAGTTCTCCTGCCTCAGCCTCCTAAGTAGCTGGGACTACAGGTGCCCGCCACCACGCCCGGCTATTTTTTTTTTTTTTTTTTTTTTGAGACGGAGTCTCACTCCGTCACCCAGGCTGGAGTGCAGTGGCACAATCCTGGCTCACTGCAAGCTCCGCCTCCCGGGTTCATGCCATTCTCCTGCCTTAGCCTCCTGAGTAGCTGGGACTACAGGTGCCCGCCACCACGCCCGGCTAATTTTTTGTATTTTTAGTAGAGACAGGGTCTCACTGTGTTAGCCAGGATGGTCTCAATCTCCTGACCTCGTGATCCACCTGCCTCGGCCTCCCAGAGTGCTGGGATTACAGGCGTGAGCCACTGCACCCGGCCCAATCCCGGCTAATTTTTGTATTTTTAGTAGAGATGGGGTTTCACCATGTTGGCCAGGATGGTCTCGATCTATTGACCTCGTGATCCGCCCGCCTCGGCCTCCCAGAGTGCTGGGATTACAGGTGTGAGCCACCGCGCCCGGCCCTTTTTTTGAGACGGAGTCTTACTCTGTCCCCCAGGCTGGAGTGCAATGGCACAATATCTGCTCACTGCAACCTCCGCCTCCCGGGTTCAAGCGGTTCTCCTGCCTCAGCTTCCCGAGTAGCTGGAATTATAGGCGCCCGCCACTACATCTGGCTCATTTTTGTATTTTTAGTAGAGAGAGGATTTCACCATGTTGGCCAGGCTGGTCTTGAACTCCTGACCTCAAGTGATCCACCCACCTTGGCTTCCCAAAGTGCTTGGATTACAGGCATGAGCCACCGCACCCAGCCCTCTTTACTTTTTAAAAAATGTTTTTATTTTTATTTATATATTTATTTTTGAGACAGAGTTTCACTCTTGTTGCCAAGGCTGGAGTGCAATGGCACCATCTCTGCTCACTCCAACCTCCGCCTCCCCGGTTCACGAGATTTTCCTGCCTCAGCCTCCCGAGTAGCTGGAATTACAGGCATCCACCACCACGCCTGGTTAATTTTTTGTATTTTTAGTAGAGATGGAGTTTCACCATGTTGGCCAGGCTGGTCTCGAACTCCTGACCTCAGATGATCCACTGCCTCGGCTTCCCAGAGTGCTGGGATTACAGGCATGAGCCACCGTGCCTGGCTTATTTTTATTTATTTTATTATTTATTGTTATTATTATTTGAGACAGAGTCTCCCTCTGTTGCCCAGGCTGGAGTGCAATGGTGTGATGTCAGTTCACTGCGACCTCTGCCTCCTGGGTTCAAGCAATTCTTCTGCCTCAGCCTCCCAAGTATTTGGGATTACAGGTGCCTGCCACCACAGCCAGCTAATTTTTTGTATTTTTAGTAGAGATGGCCATGTTGGCTAGGCTGGTCTGGAACTCCTGACCTCAGGTGATCCACCCACCTTGGCCTCCCAAAGTGCTGGGATTACAGGCTTGAGCCACCATGCCCGGCCTATTTATTTCATTTTTATTTATTTATTTTCTTTGAGAGAAAGTCTTTGTTGCCCAGGCTGGAGTGCAGTGGCTGCATCTCAGCTCACTGCAGCCTCCACCTCCCGGATTCAAGTGATTCTCCAGCCTCAGCCTCCCGAGTAGCTGGGACTACAGGCGAAAGCCATCACACCTGGCAAACTTTTGTATTTTTAGTAGAGACAGGGTTTCACCACATTGGCCACGCTGGTCTCGAACTCCTGACCTCAAGTGATCCGACCGCCTCAGCCTCCCAAAGTGCTGGGATTACAGGCGTGAGCCACCGTGCCTGGCCTTTATTTTTATTTAGAGATTGGGTCTCACTCTGTCACCCTGGAGTGCAGTGGCTCAATCATAGCTCACTTCAGCCTCAAACTCCTGCACTCAAGCAATCCTCCTGAGTAGCTAGGACTATAGGCACCCACCACCACACCTCGCTAATTTATTAAAAATTCTTTGTATATAGAGATGGAGGTCTCACTACGCTGCCGACAGTGGTCTCAAGAACTCCTGGCTTCAGATGCTCCTCCACTATGGCTTCCTAAAGTGCTGTGATTACAGGCATGAGCCACAGTGACCAGCACCCCTCCTCTCTAATTTCCTTTATGGTGTCATCTGGACAATACTCCTTGCAAGCTTACCATGGGCAAGGTATCATTCTAAGCATTTTGTGCATAATACTCAACTACTCAAGCCAACTGCACAGCTGCCTAGCAGTTCATTATGAGTGAATGTTTGTGTTCCCTGTCCATTCATATATTGAAATTCTAACTCTCATTGTGACTGTATTTGGAGACAAGGCCTTTATGGAAGTAATTAAGGCTGAATGACGTCATAAGGGTATGGCCCTGGTCCAGTAGGATTAGCGTTCTTATGAGAAGTGACACCACAAAGAAACAAGCTTACTAGTCACGGTCCCAGCCAGTGTTCAAATCCCAAACACCTGCTCTCTGAGCCCTGACTATTGCTTTGCTAGCATTACACATCTTATGGTTTGGCTGTTAATTCTTCATCACCAGCACCAGAGTCCAGGCTGGCAAAGGGCTAGGAAACCGATCATCTGCCTCCTCTACACCCAGAACCCTGTGTGGTGACCCAAAACAAATGGAAAGAACCAACCTCAGATGAAATTTGAACCCAGGTCTGTAGCCTCTGCCTCCTCCACAGTAGGAGTTTGTGAGAATGTCCACCAATAACTGTTTATTAACTAAATTCCTCCACCTTTCCAACTCCACAAGGCTCAACTATTGCCCCAATATCCCACAGTGGGCTCCCTGTCGTGGCGATGAAGCCTTGCTTTGCCTCACTACTGGCTTAGGAAGGGGATGAAGTTCTGCTGTCTCACTAGGCAAGCAAAGATTCAATTTCCAAAAATCCTAGGCTAGGACCCTGGGGCAGGGATGAGGAGAAAAAGGAGGCACCTCAATCTTCCCATCTCTAAACAAGCAGTCACCACACAGGCCTCACGGCCAGGAGTGACGTAGTGAGCGGATGAACCCTGCAGAAGTGAGCGCTAATCATATCCTAGGCCTCCTACCGGGCCAGTTCACAACCTGATCCCAACCTACTTTTCCAGCCTCAGCTCCAGCGACAGAGTCCTCCTCCCGGCAGCGACCGAACCTCCAGCCACAATTCTCAATCCTCCACCTCTAGATGCAGTTTCCTGGGCTCGGGGAGCCCTTGCCTGCCTTCTCCAACGGGAAAGCCCCTTTACATCCTTCAAGAACCCCCTTCCCTAGTGCCCTCAGGAATACTTTATGGCAGTAGAGAGGTAAGGGCCCCACGCCGCTCTGGACCTCAGTTTCCTCATCAGTAAAATGGGGTCCCTTAAGTTTGTGGGAGTTTGAAGGGCGGTGGGGCCTACGAAGCGCGCCGAGGAGCCGAGAGTTGCAGAAACCCGGAGCTCCTCGCTCCTCGCAACCGTCTGTACGCGGCGCCCCCGCCAGCCAGGCAGCCCCTGGAGGGCAGGACCCCGGTTATAAGCCTCAGAAAACGTGGCTTCGGAGGACGTGGCAAGGAGGACTGAACGAAGGATGAGGAGATGAACAAATGAATGGACGGAAGGCCGAATGAGGGACAAAGGCTTGCAAGATGGCGTTCTCTAGGACCGCGGGAGTGGTGGCCGGGCCTCAGCAGGGGAGGGGGCCGCCGGCGCCTGGGATCTTGCAGCGCGGGCCACGCGACCGGGACAAAAACCCAAAACATGGCGGGCTCTAGGACCCCCGGGACCACACCGCGCCGGGCCAGCAGCCGCGCGGGCCGAGCCTGGGTGTCCGCAGCCCAGAACCGCGGAGACAGCCGGCGGGTTCTAGGACCTGCTGGGCCCGCAATGCGCCCGGGGCCGCTCACAGCCCGCCCCGCCCGCGCTGCTCGCGCTGGGCCAACCCGGCCCGCCCTCGGCGCCCGCAGGGAAACTGAGGCCAGCTCGGATCGTGGCCGCGTGGGAGCTGCCCGGGGCCCTCGCGGCTTCCCGCCGACGTTTCCTACCTGATGAGACTTGTGCTGACTCCGTGGCGTCGGCGTCGGCTCCTCGCACCGACGGAGCCCGGACCCTGCCAAACAGGGGCCGGCGCTAGGACCCAGCGGGGGGCGGGGAGGTGGGACCGGTGGCGCGGCGAGCGGAAGTGAGGGATCTTCCTCAGCTAGGAAGGAAGGGAAAGTTCCCGGGGAACCTCCAGCCTATGGCGGCAGAGAAGCATCTTGCAAGAGGTCTCTGTGTGTGCTGAGGCAAGGGGACGCCAGGCAGGCTGACGGTATACGCCCGCCTTGTGTTAGTCTGGGGCCAGGTCACCGGCAATGTCTTCAAGAACCAGAAGGTGGGAGGACAAAAAGGCCATGCTCAAGCTCTGCAAAACCTAAGTCCAATTATATTCCACAACATTTCCTTTAATAGCAAGGAGTGGGTTTCACGAAGTTTTCTCCATCTGCCTTGGGAAAAGTCCTCCAGAGAGCCCCACGAAAAGTGTCACCAAAGTACTGTGGCCAGGGCTGTAGAATCTTTTTCTCCCTTTCTGCGCCTATTCAATATGCACCGGAACGATTCTAGCTGCTCTTGCCGGAAGTGTGGCTAGCTTAGCGTGCAAAGACGCCGCGTTGTGACCTACGTGGGCGGAGTCAGCCGTGCAGACCTAGAACTTAGCGCCGGAAGTGTGTCTGCGTAAAACTGCGGCTCGGAGGCGGGACAGGCAGTGCTCCCGAAGCGGAAGTTTCGCGGGGAAGCTTTTGCACCTAAGGACACTTCCTGTTTCCTAGTAACAATAGGAAGTGTCCGTAGAGCTGGGAGTAGACTCCTGGCTCATGCCAGCTGCGCCCTCTTTTCTCTACCTCCTTCCTCTTCCCCCCTTCTCCTTTCCCTCTTTCCCTTCCCTCCCACCTCCCGGGAACCCTGGCTGAGTGTGCGTGTGTGGGAGCGCGAGAGCCCCCCGACAGCCACCCCTTGGGGCGCGCGGCTGCAGTTAGGGTAAGGGTCCCAGTGCGCAGGCGCGCTCTTGTTCGCGGTCCCCAACTGACGCGCCCGCGGCGGGAAGGAGAGGGGGCCGCCGGTGCGAGGTAGGCGTCCTGAGAGGAAATTGGCAGACGAGATGAGTGAGGTCAGAGGACTTCATTGGTGGTTGACTAGGGGAGGGGACTTTTGATCAAAGGGGCTTTGTGAGGTGAGAATTCCGGGGGCAGGTTCAGTGAAGGGGTTTACGGTCGGAGACAGTTGTACTGGGGTCCCATGGGAAGAAGAGTCAGAGTTGGAGAAGGACAAGACGATGTAGGGGGCATGAGAGAGCAAGGGCTTTGGGATGAAGACCGCCTCAGTCAGGGGGTTTGCTGTTACGTGAACTAGAATAACAGGCATTGCCGTGTGTTCTGAGGATTGAGTAACACAATGAATATAGTTAGCACAGTGCCTGGCACATGGTAATATAATACTCTTCATGAGTTGCTGTCATCATCAGTATTAAGAGAGGAGGCAGAAGAAAAAAATGAGAAAGACTGGTGAGGGTAAGATCAGGAGGCATGGGAGAGAAAAGGTAGGCAATGAAGTGACATTACAACCTGGTATTGATGTTATTCCCAAGATGGAAGATAGTTTGAGTTCAAGGGAAGTAGATAAAAGAAGTCGCTAAGAGAGTCTTTTGGGGTTTTTTGTTTTTTTGAGATGGAGTCTCGCTCTGTCACCCAGGCTGGAGTGCTGTGGTGGGATCTCAGCTCACTGCAACCTCCACCTCCCAGGTTCAAGCAGTTCTTCAGCCTCAGCCTCCTGAGTAGCTAGAATTACAGGTGCCCACCACCACGCCCGGCTAATTTTTGTATTTTTAGTAGAGACAGGGTTTCACCATGTTGTCCAGGCTGGTCTTGAACTCCTGAACTCAGGTGATCCACCAGCCTCGGCCTCCCAAAGTGCTGGGATTACAGGCGTGAGCCACCACACCTGGCCCAGTTAAGAGAGTCTTAACTCTCTTAACTCTCTTGTCACAAGGAAAAGAGACCTTGTGACACTGAAATGACTCGGGGTGGTGGGGGAACAAGCCAGCCCTTTCCCTGAAGGAGGCCTCTAACCTCTCCTCTCAGGTCCTCAGCTATTAACTGGAGGAAACAGCTGCTTTTTCAGTGCTTCTCAGCTACTCTGTTTAGCTGAGAGATGAAGTAGGAAGATTTGGACTTCTCTTATTGAAAGGCCTAGAGAAGGTTTTGGTGTCCTTTTAAGATGTCACAGAAAATTTTTGTTTCAGGATTGTAGGGAGCAGATTCCTACTGTTCTTAAAGGACAGTAATGCCTTTTGAGTCTGGTCTGAAGAACATAACAGGTCTGTGATCAGAAGTAGGTTGCATCTCTCTCAACTTTAATTTCCTTAGCTATACCTGTAGGGATGACTTAAGCCTAGGGGAGCTCCTATATTTGGGAAGCTTGTGCACAGGGAAGCCTTAAATGATGGTGCCTGCAGATTGGATCTAGTAGAAATTAGGTCCTTGGGCATGGATGCTTGGGGAACCTCTCAGTGACCTCAGGTGAACTTGTTGCTCGTAGAGCCAAGAGGCGAAGTTAATTCAGGCCTTCCTTTTGACCACTGCCCCCTCTTCCTAGGCCTTGGCCCCTCCACCAGAGGAAGGTGCTGCCACGTGTCTGCTCCTTCTGAACCTCCAGGTTTCTGCTACGTTGCCCCATGGAGGACACACCCCCCTCACTCAGCTGCTCCGACTGTCAGCGCCACTTTCCCAGCCTCCCAGAGCTCTCTCGGCACCGAGAACTGCTCCATCCATCTCCCAACCAGGACAGTGAGGAGGCTGACAGCATCCCTCGGCCCTACCGTTGTCAGCAGTGTGGGCGGGGCTACCGTCACCCCGGGAGCCTGGTTAACCATCGTCGGACCCACGAGACTGGCCTTTTCCCCTGTACCACCTGTGGCAAGGACTTCTCCAATCCCATGGCTCTCAAGAGCCATATGAGGACACATGCTCCTGAGGGCCGCCGCAGGCACAGGCCCCCACGCCCCAAGGAAGCCACTCCACACCTCCAGGGTGAGACGGTGTCCACTGACTCCTGGGGCCAAAGGCTTGGCTCTAGTGAAGGCTGGGAAAACCAGACAAAACATACAGAAGAGACACCTGACTGTGAATCTGTACCTGACCCCAGGGCAGCTTCGGGTACGTGGGAAGATCTGCCCACCAGACAAAGAGAAGGCTTGGCAAGCCACCCAGGTCCTGAGGATGGTGCAGACGGCTGGGGACCCTCCACTAACTCTGCCAGAGCCCCTCCTCTCCCCATCCCAGCCAGCAGCCTTCTTAGCAACTTGGAACAGTATCTGGCTGAATCAGTAGTGAACTTCACAGGGGGCCAGGAGCCCACCCAGTCCCCTCCTGCTGAGGAGGAGCGGCGGTACAAATGTAGTCAGTGTGGCAAGACCTACAAGCACGCCGGGAGCCTCACCAACCACCGCCAGAGCCACACGCTGGGCATCTACCCCTGTGCCATCTGTTTCAAGGAGTTCTCTAACCTCATGGCTCTGAAGAACCACTCTCGACTGCATGCCCAGTATCGGCCTTACCACTGTCCCCACTGCCCCCGTGTCTTCCGGCTCCCCCGGGAGCTGCTGGAACACCAGCAGTCCCATGAGGGTGAAAGGCAGGAGCCACGCTGGGAGGAGAAAGGGATGCCCACCACCAATGGGCACACAGATGAGAGCAGCCAGGACCAGCTCCCCAGTGCACAGATGCTGAATGGCTCTGCGGAGCTCAGCACCTCTGGGGAGCTGGAGGACAGTGGCCTGGAGGAATACCGGCCTTTCCGCTGTGGGGACTGTGGCCGTACTTACCGCCATGCTGGGAGCCTCATCAACCATCGAAAGAGCCACCAGACAGGTGTCTACCCCTGCTCACTCTGTTCTAAGCAGCTGTTCAATGCGGCTGCCCTCAAAAACCATGTGCGGGCTCATCACAGGCCCAGGCAAGGAGTTGGGGAAAATGGGCAGCCATCAGTCCCACCAGCTCCCCTGCTGCTGGCTGAGACCACCCACAAAGAGGAAGAGGACCCCACCACCACCCTGGACCATCGGCCCTATAAGTGCAGTGAGTGTGGTCGTGCTTACCGCCACCGGGGGAGCCTGGTGAACCATCGCCACAGCCATCGGACTGGAGAGTACCAGTGCTCACTCTGTCCCCGCAAGTACCCCAATCTCATGGCCCTGCGCAACCACGTGCGGGTACATTGCAAGGCTGCTCGCCGAAGTGCAGACATCGGGGCTGAGGGTGCCCCCAGCCACCTCAAGGTAGAACTCCCGCCTGACCCAGTGGAGGCAGAGGCAGCCCCGCACACAGATCAGGACCATGTGTGCAAACATGAAGAAGAGGCCACGGACATCACCCCAGCAGCAGACAAGACAGCAGCACATATCTGTAGCATCTGTGGGCTGCTCTTTGAAGACGCTGAGAGCCTTGAACGTCATGGCCTGACTCATGGGGCAGGGGAAAAGGAAAATAGCAGAACAGAGACCACAATGTCACCTCCTAGGGCCTTTGCCTGCCGAGACTGTGGAAAGAGCTATCGCCACTCAGGCAGCCTTATCAACCACAGGCAGACCCACCAGACAGGAGACTTCAGTTGTGGGGCCTGTGCCAAGCACTTCCACACCATGGCTGCCATGAAGAACCACTTGCGCCGGCACAGTCGGCGGCGGAGCAGGCGGCATCGGAAGCGGGCTGGCGGTGCCAGCGGTGGGAGAGAAGCCAAACTCCTGGCAGCGGAGAGCTGGACCCGGGAGCTAGAAGACAATGAAGGCCTGGAGTCTCCCCAAGACCCTTCAGGGGAAAGTCCTCATGGGGCTGAAGGCAACCTGGAAAGTGATGGGGACTGTTTGCAGGCTGAATCTGAAGGGGACAAATGTGGGCTTGAGAGGGATGAGACCCATTTCCAGGGTGATAAAGAGAGCGGAGGCACTGGGGAAGGACTGGAAAGGAAGGATGCCAGTTTACTTGACAACTTGGACATCCCAGGTGAGGAAGGTGGTGGCACTCACTTCTGCGATAGCCTCACTGGGGTGGATGAAGACCAGAAGCCAGCCACTGGCCAACCCAACTCCTCTTCCCACTCTGCCAATGCTGTCACTGGCTGGCAGGCTGGGGCCGCTCACACATGCTCTGACTGTGGGCATTCTTTCCCCCATGCCACTGGCCTGCTGAGCCACAGGCCCTGCCACCCACCAGGCATCTATCAGTGCTCCCTCTGCCCGAAGGAGTTTGACTCTCTGCCTGCCCTCCGCAGCCACTTCCAGAACCATAGGCCTGGGGAGGCGACCTCAGCACAGCCTTTCCTCTGCTGCCTCTGTGGCATGATCTTCCCTGGGCGGGCTGGCTACAGGCTTCACCGGCGCCAGGCCCACAGCTCCTCTGGCATGACTGAGGGCTCAGAGGAGGAGGGGGAAGAGGAAGGAGTGGCAGAGGCAGCCCCTGCACGCAGTCCACCACTGCAGCTCTCGGAAGCAGAGCTGCTGAATCAGCTGCAGCGGGAGGTGGAAGCGCTGGACAGTGCAGGGTATGGGCACATCTGTGGCTGCTGTGGTCAGACCTACGATGACCTGGGGAGCCTGGAGCGTCACCACCAAAGTCAGAGTTCTGGGACTACTGCAGACAAGGCTCCCAGCCCCTTGGGAGTGGCAGGTGATGCCATGGAGATGGTCGTGGACAGTGTCTTGGAGGACATAGTGAATTCTGTCTCTGGAGAGGGTGGAGATGCCAAGTCTCAAGAGGGAGCAGGCACCCCCTTGGGAGACAGCCTCTGCATCCAGGGTGGGGAAAGTTTGTTGGAGGCTCAGCCCCGCCCCTTCCGCTGCAACCAGTGTGGCAAGACCTATCGCCATGGGGGCAGCCTGGTGAACCACCGCAAGATCCACCAGACTGGAGACTTTCTCTGCCCTGTCTGCTCCCGCTGCTACCCCAACCTGGCTGCCTACCGTAATCATCTGCGGAACCACCCTCGCTGCAAAGGCTCTGAGCCCCAGGTTGGGCCCATCCCAGAGGCAGCAGGTAGCAGTGAGCTGCAGGTTGGGCCCATCCCAGAAGGAGGCAGCAACAAGCCCCAGCACATGGCAGAGGAGGGGCCGGGGCAAGCAGAAGTCGAGAAGCTCCAGGAAGAACTTAAAGTGGAGCCCCTGGAGGAAGTGGCCAGGGTGAAAGAAGAGGTGTGGGAGGAGACCACTGTGAAGGGGGAGGAGATAGAGCCCAGGCTGGAGACTGCCGAGAAGGGCTGCCAGACTGAAGCCAGCTCTGAGCGGCCCTTCAGCTGCGAGGTGTGTGGCCGATCCTACAAGCACGCCGGCAGCCTCATCAACCACCGGCAGAGCCACCAGACCGGCCACTTTGGCTGTCAGGCCTGCTCCAAGGGCTTCTCAAACCTCATGTCCCTCAAGAACCACCGGCGCATCCATGCAGATCCCCGACGTTTCCGCTGCAGCGAGTGTGGGAAGGCCTTCCGCCTGCGGAAACAGCTGGCCAGCCACCAGCGGGTCCACATGGAACGGCGTGGGGGTGGGGGCACCCGAAAGGCGACTCGGGAAGATCGGCCCTTCCGCTGTGGGCAGTGCGGGCGGACCTATCGCCACGCCGGCAGCCTCCTGAACCACCGGCGCAGCCACGAGACGGGCCAGTACAGCTGCCCCACCTGCCCCAAGACCTACTCCAACCGCATGGCCCTGAAGGACCACCAGAGGCTGCACTCAGAGAATCGGCGGCGACGGGCTGGACGGTCCAGGCGCACAGCTGTGCGTTGCGCCCTCTGTGGCCGCAGCTTCCCTGGCCGGGGATCTTTGGAGCGGCACCTGCGGGAGCATGAGGAGACAGAAAGGGAGCCAGCCAATGGCCAGGGAGGCCTGGATGGCACAGCGGCCAGTGAGGCGAACCTGACTGGCAGCCAGGGACTAGAGACCCAATTGGGTGGTGCTGAGCCAGTACCCCACTTGGAGGATGGAGTCCCAAGGCCAGGGGAGCGCAGTCAGAGCCCCATCAGGGCAGCAAGCTCAGAAGCCCCAGAGCCACTGTCCTGGGGTGCAGGGAAGGCAGGTGGGTGGCCGGTAGGTGGGGGACTGGGGAATCATAGTGGAGGCTGGGTTCCTCAGTTCCTAACTAGGTCAGAGGAGCCAGAGGACAGTGTCCACAGGAGTCCTTGCCACGCTGGTGACTGCCAGCTCAATGGACCTACTCTGAGTCACATGGATAGCTGGGACAACAGAGACAACAGCTCTCAGCTGCAGCCAGGGAGCCACTCCTCTTGCAGCCAGTGTGGCAAGACTTACTGCCAGTCAGGCAGCCTCTTGAACCACAACACCAACAAGACAGACCGACACTATTGCCTGCTCTGCTCCAAGGAGTTCTTAAATCCTGTGGCCACAAAGAGCCACAGCCACAACCACATAGACGCCCAGACCTTTGCCTGTCCTGACTGTGGCAAAGCCTTTGAGTCCCACCAGGAACTGGCCAGCCACCTGCAGGCTCATGCCCGGGGCCACAGCCAGGTGCCAGCCCAGATGGAGGAGGCCAGAGATCCCAAAGCCGGGACTGGGGAGGACCAGGTGGTTCTCCCTGGTCAAGGGAAAGCCCAGGAGGCCCCATCAGAAACCCCCAGAGGCCCAGGAGAGAGTGTGGAGAGAGCCAGGGGAGGACAAGCGGTGACGTCCATGGCGGCTGAGGACAAGGAGCGGCCCTTCCGCTGCACCCAGTGCGGGCGCTCCTACCGCCATGCTGGCAGCCTGCTGAACCACCAGAAGGCCCACACCACAGGGTTGTACCCGTGCTCCCTCTGTCCCAAACTTCTCCCTAACCTGCTGTCTCTTAAGAACCACAGCAGGACCCACACGGACCCCAAGCGCCACTGCTGCAGCATCTGTGGCAAGGCCTTTCGGACAGCTGCCCGGCTGGAGGGCCACGGGCGGGTCCATGCACCCCGGGAGGGGCCTTTCACCTGCCCCCATTGTCCCCGCCACTTCCGCCGCCGAATCAGCTTCGTGCAGCACCAGCAGCAGCACCAGGAGGAGTGGACGGTGGCCGGCTCCGGTAGGGGGCATGAAGGGTCCCAGGAGGAGGTGGGCACACAGTGGAGGGGGAAGTCCAGCCCCAAAGTCGGTGGGGGAGCAAGGAGTGAGAGGAGAGAGCCCCGGGGATTCTAAGAGGTGGGTGGGGGCTTGGCTATGGGGTGAGAGAAGTAGCTTGAGGATGTGCTGAGCTGAGCACCCGCAAGTCAGGTATAACAAATAGCAGGGTGGGTTGGGCAGCACGTGGGGGCGTGGTCAGGCCGAGGCTGCTACCTGGGCTCCTCCATTACACTGTAGCCAGAATGGAATGGTCTTTCTGTTCAGGGGAAGGTCACTGGGTACCCCCTGGCTGCTGTGTCTGGAAACCCTCCTGAGTCAGCCAGTAAAGTAATGACTTCCAGAGAAAAAGAGGAAGCCATTGGTTTGGTCTAGGTTCCATTCTTTCCTGGAGCAGGCCGGGTGCCAGGGAACAAGGGATGGGGCATGGGCTCCACGGCTTCCCTGCTGACTTGGCCACGGAAACTGGTTCACTGGTTGGCACCCTACTCCCTGTCCCTCTTTCCCTGCGCCTTGTCTCTGCTGCTCCTCTCCTTGGAAACTAGACCTCTGGTCCTTCCCTGTCAGTGTTGCTCCCATCTCTTCTCTAACCTTTATTCAGCCCCTTTTCCCTCTGCTGCCAACGGCCTTTTTAGGATCCAACCAAACCACCCTTTCTACCTGCGCACCCTGCCACCCTCTGCACACCTTTAACTGGAGGACTGAGTCACAGATAATTGTTTCCTTGAAGTCCAGGCCCAGCTGCAGCAACAACAGTCATTAGCCCGTGTCACATCCCTGATCAGAGGGCATCTCCGTGGGGAATCGCCTCCACCCAGCACTGCTGGAAGCCGCAGCTGCCAGGGAGTGGGGCGGCCGGTTCCCTCAGCAGGACCTGGGCTGGCCTCTCCACCTCCCCTAGTAGAGGCGGACCCATTCCATCTAGTGGCCACCGAGGGTGGGTGGCCCTGAGATGGTGGGCCCTTGACAGGCCTTGTCAGAGCAGAGGGCAGGTGGGAGTCACCTGAAAGCTGAAGGAATGGCTTTAAGGATAGAAGATTTCTCATGACCTCAAGGGATATGAGGGAGGAGCCAGTTTGCCAGGGCTGGGAAAATAATTAGGAGGCCTAGAATCCCTGTTCTCATCTGGGCCTCCGGGGCCAGGGGCAGGGGAATGGCCTGCAGGGCTGGGAGGGGGTACACGCTGTGCGGGGTCTGCCCCTCAGTTGGTGACCTCCTCTCTCTCTCCCCCCAGGAGCCCCAGTGGCACCAGTGACGGGCAGAGGGGACTTGCCATTGCCCCCTCCACCCACCCCCACGACCCCACTCCTGGATCCTTCACCCCAGTGGCCTGCAGACCTCAGCTTCTCCCTCTGAACTTCAAGTCTCCAAAGATCAGAATCTGGGGGAGGGAGCGCGTGCAGGGAGGGGCTTGATCTCCACATTTTCTCAGGAGTAGTTCGGGCATCCCCATATCTTCTCCTCTCCCCTTGTGAAGAGGACCCAGATCTGGCTTCTTTCCCAAGGAGGGGGTGGGGTGTTCCTCGCGTCCCTGTCCTTGAAGGACCTCCTTCCCCCAGCCTCATCACCGTGCTCTTCTCAGCGCCACCCTCAGCAGCCAGATTGCAACACCAGGGAGAGGCGGATGCAGAGCCCCACCGGTGGGAAAGTTGCCTGTGGAAGGGAGCCTTTTGCTACAATTTGTAACTTATTTTCTAAAGTCTATTTTGTAACAATTTATTTAAGTTTAAAAAAAGGAAAACTGCTGCCCCCCAAAAAAAGAAATTTTCAAAACAACGTGGCTGGCGTGATTGTATCTGAAAGGGTAAAGGAGGAGGAAAGCTGAGACGCCTGCTTGGTAGCAGAGTTGGGTGTGGGAGTGTCCACAGACACCCCTGTCCTGCAGGGTGGGGAGTGGGCACCTGTGGCCCCAGGCAGGTTCCTTCCCACAGCTGCTGGGCTTCTGGGCCTGCCCTGGTGCCTGGAATCACACATGACAGGGTGGGGAGGACAGGGGCAGTAATGCCATTTGCCTGCCTGCATTCTCTTGTCCTGAGAATGGCCAGGTCCCCTGTCAGCAGCTGGTTGGTTGGCCTGTGGGGAAGGAAGGAGGGTGGAGTTGTCCTCATCCTCACGGCTTTGGTCCCTCCCTCCCTCCCCATTCCTCGAAGGAACAGGGTCTGTCTTGGCCGCCATGACAGATGAGAATACTGAGGCTCAAAGCGGTTGAGCAGCCTGCTCCAAGTCACACGATGACAAAGAACCAGAATCTGAATCAAATGGGTCTGCCTGTTGCTCCACCCTACCCAAGGCAGCTGGAGTGGGTTAGAACGGCACGTTCTCACTGGAGAGAGAAGGGTCCTGGAGAGGCAGGGTTTGGCAGGAGGCCCCGGGGCCACATACTTATGTTGGCCAGGCAGCTTCCAGGCTCAGCCTCGGGCTCTGGTTCCTCGGCGAAGTAGACCTGCCAGTCCAAACTGCTGACCCAGTCCTCATAGGCAGGGAGCGCGGTGAAGACCGCCGGCCTGGCGGGGCCTTGGCAAGCATCTCCGAAGCTGTGCAGCCCGGCCAGGAACCATGTGCCCCTCACCTCATGCACCAGTGGTGCCCCAGACAGGCCCTGTCAGGGGTCAGGTGACACTGGGTGACTTTTTATAGGCAGCTGTGCAGGACGGTAGAGCAGGCTAGGGAACCTCTGGCTGTTTGGGGGCTAATTGGCAAAAAGGCTTAGTTTCAGGTGGGAGGTGGGTCCAGAGGCCAAGCCTGGAAGGTCCGTTCTTGAGCTATTGGGTGAGGGGATGCCAGGGGCCTGTTAGGTAAGGTGTGGGGGCCTGGGGCTCACCTCACAGCTGGGCAGCTCACCCACAGCACTGGTACACACCATCCCCGGCAGAATAGGGCTGCCATCACCCCCAGGAGCTGCATGCAGCCGGCTGCAGGCCCTAGGCCCCAGGAGGGTCACGGGCACTGTCTGGAGGGAGCTGATGCCTGTGGAGCAAGGGAAAGCTGGCTGCCCCGGCCTGCAGGTTGGATGGACAGCAGCCCTGGCCCTGTGCCCACCTACCTGCTCCTGGGCGGGCCCGTCCCAGAACCCAGCCACGCTCCCCATCAGGCAGGTGGTGGTCAGGATAGGGCAGGCAGAGGGGCCGCAGGCTGGCTCCCAGTGTCACAGGCTGGGCCAGCAGCAGGAGGGCCATGTCGTAGCCCCCCTCAGGGTGGGTGTAGGCTCCATGCAGGATGAGCTGCTTCAGGCCCCACTCCTCCGGTCTGGTCCCCAGCCCTACGCTCCATTCCTCTGGGGCCTGGCGCCTGTGCAGAGGCAGTGTGGACGGCACCAGGTGACAGGGCTGCCGGCAGGGGCAGGGGGCACAGCAGAGAGGGATCCAAGACTCACCCAATGAAGCAGTGGGCAGCAGTTAGCACCGCCTCCTCTGACACCAGGGCTCCGCCACAGGCCAGCTGTCCCTGGTGCATCAGCCTGGCCTCCCAGGGCCATGGGGAGGGTGCTCCTGCCTGGGGACCTGCTGTCCTCAAGGATCCACAGGCTGAAACAGATAAGTGCCTCATCTGACTTCTTGCTAAGCACTTCCCACTTCCCATCAAATCCTCACAGTAGCTTTTGAAATTGAATTTTGTTCCCCTCATTACTGAAGGTAACCAAAGTTCCAGAGAGGTTAAGAGACTTCCTTGCTCTGTAACTACAGGCAAGTGGCAGACTTGCGATTCGCAAGCCAGGGCCTGAGCTTTTAGCCCTGTTGGTCTGATGGGACCCCTGTCCCAGCCTCGTGGGAATGCCCCTACTTGTCACTCCCCTGCTCCACCCGTCTGCACCCTCCAGGATGGGCCTGCCTCCCGTATTCCTGACTCATTAGTGCATCTCTTATCATCAAGACATAATATCCGTCCCAGGAATTACTTTGCATTCAATTTGCATGCCAGTCACTTAATGCCGGAATTCTGACTGGGAGCCCTACCCTGTGCAGGCTCGCTGGGTCCCTGCTGGAAGCCTGCCACTTCCCCAGAAACCCAAGTCAGGTCTCAGAGATTCCTCTTCTCACCTAAACTCCAAACCTGTAGAGTTCCAAAGTGCCTGTGCCTCTCAGCCCTAACAGGGCTGTTCCCATCCCAGGGGGTGAAAGAGCCCCCTAATTAGGCTCGGCGGTGTGGATGCCTATGCCAGTTCTCTAGTCCTAACTGAGGTTTGCTTCACAGTGGCTTCTGCCCACTCCCAGCATGCCCCACTCGTACCTACACAGCTGTCCTCATCACTCATCTCCGGGGTCTCTGGGCTCTGGGCCAGGAAAGCTGCCCCCTGAACTCGAGCCTGCAGCCAGGAACTGTGAGCAGCTGTGTTGGTCAGCAGCACAGGAGCGTCCTCCTGGGCACAGCTTGATGCAAAGCTGATGATGCCAGCCTGAACCCAGTGTCCGTCAGGCTCGAGGCACAGCACAGGGCCCCCGGAATCTCCCTGGAGCCAGGCAACAAAGCCAAGGACAGATGCCTGAGCCCAGCTATGGCAGACACCCTCTGATTGCAGGTCTTTCCCCCAGTCCTGTGAGTCCAACCCCCAGCCCAGGGTTAGGCCCCTCCCCTTCTGCTCCTTCTCTTCTCCCTATCAGACCTGACAGGGGCCCTGCACCCCAGGCTGGGGGCCCCCACATAGCATCCCAGGCCGGGCCGGGTTGGACAGGTGTCGCTGGTGCAGCTGGTTGTAGATACAGTTACATGTGGGGCGACTGATGAGACGCAGGCGCAGATTGCGTAGGGTCCCAGGAGCTGGTGAAAGAGACGGGGCTGGGGCTAGAGTCTGGGATCTGGGAAGCAAGGGAGACTGGAAGCCAGGACAGTTGGGAGCTGAGACTGTGACGCTGGGCAAGCAGAGTGCCTCTCCGAGCTTCAGTCTGGGCCAGCACTTACCATCACTGGTGTCCTGATCCCAGCCAGTGGCCCAGCAGGAGGCTCCAAAGGGGAAGCGATGGGCGGGCTGGGGCAGGCAGAGGGGTGTGTGGGTCGTGGGGTGGGCGAGCTGCAGCAGGGCCAGGTCTGAGCCCTGGCTGTAGTGGTTATAGGCCCTGGGCAACTGCAGGGCAGCCACCCCCACCTCTTCGGCCCCAGGGCTGAGTCCCTCACGCTGCAGAGAACCCAGGACCACTGACCAGGAATTCAGTTCTGTTGCTGCTGCCCTGGAAGGGGAAGGACAAGGTCCAGGCTGCTGAGTGCAAGGGTAGACAGTGACACCATGGGAGACCCCACAGGTAGGTGGAAGATAGCAGAGAGCACTCCACGGCTTTTTCTTTTTGAGGTAGGGTCTCGTCCTGTCGCCCAGGCTGCAGTGCAGTGGCATGACCATGACTCACTACAAGCCTTGACCTCCCAGGCTCAAGCGATCCTCCCACCTCAGCCTCGTGAGTAGCTGGGACTACAGGCGTGCACCACCATGCCTGGCTAATTTTACAGTTTTTGTAGAGACATGGTCTTGCTATGTTGCACAGGCTAGTCTTGAACTCTTGGGCTCAAGCGATCCTCCCTCCGTGGCCTCCCAAAGGGCTGGGATTACAAGCGTGAGCTACTGTGCCCGGCCTCAGTCTGTGACTTTAAGCGAGGTCATTCCCTTGCAACCTGAGTTTTCTGATTTGTAAATCTTCTACCATGAAAGGTGGTTGTTACAATTAACTTGACAATATGTACCCAGTACATGGCAGATTCTCAGTAAATGGTTCTTTATTATTACTCTAGAGGCAGGGACTAGCCTTGTGGGGCTTGAGACAAATTGTCCACTCCCCAGAGCCGGAGACCCTGCCTGACCCCAGCCATGACTTACTTTTCAAAGCAGTGGGCAGCAGTGAGGACCCAGGTGTCTGCCACCAGGGAGCCGCTGCAGATGTGGGCTCCTTGCCTCCTCACACTGGCCTGCCAGGGCCACTCGCCAGGGACTGTGTTGCCCTCCTGAGGCTTGGGGGGGCCGGGGCCACGCTGTCCACAGGCTGTGGAAAGGAGTTAGTCACACTGACAGCAGATACCTGTCCTGACCTCACCCCAGTCCCAACCCAGACCCAAGTAAGACCTAGGCCCCGTGTCCCCAGACCTTACCACGCTGAGCGGCTTGAAGACCTGGGAAGAGAGAGACACAGGTAAGATGCAGGGACTCCAGGCCTGCCTAGCTTTGGGGAGGAGAGGGGATGGGCTGGGGGGCGGGCCCAGGGTCCTTGCCTGTGACTCTGATTACCTTACCAGCCCCTCCCAGAATGAAAATATTTATATGAGGCCGAGACAGCTTTTATTGGAACCTATTCAGTGTGCACACTCAGTAATTAATTCTCCTTCAGCTGTGCTCAGCACTCTGGGGCTTGGGGTTCAGCTTGGGAGTAGGCCAGCCCTCCTCCAGGCTTCAGAACCCCCAACTCCTGCCCCCGCCACTGAGTCAGCCAGGCGGCCTGTGTGTGTAGAGAGCATTAGCTTAATTGTCCTCTTAGCAGCAGAGGCCTAAGAGGAAGGATTAGAGGCCTGCATCATTTCCAAGTGGGGAGGGCCCCAAGAAATGGAGACTTACCTCACCCTGGTCTAGAGACTCAGTCTTCCCCACCTTCCCAGAAACTGTCTGAGAGCCCGCCAGAGAGAGGGCCCCTGCCCACCGCCCCTCACAGGCACACAGGCACCCCATGAGACAGCTGAGCCAGGCTGCCCAGAGGATGGATGAAAAGAAAGGGAAACTGAGGCCAGAGGAGCCCAGAGTTTGCCTGACGTCATTGTGGAAGTCGAGGGGGAGGCAGGCACAGGACACACGCAGGCAGCACCTCACACACACACAAGACCACAGGCCCCGCCAACGCAAACTGCAGCTGGCCCGAGAAAATCTCATCCATGTTGACACAGGTGGCCACATATACCACCCCACAGAGTCCTACGGAGTTACATCCCCACTGGTGGACTGTCGCCCACAGGCGGTCCCCCCACCAAGAAGCAGGGACTGCTGGGGCAGAGATGGCCCCTGAGCCCCCACCAGGCCACACCCATACCCCAGCACATGGCGGCTTACCCTCCATGAGGACTGTGGCACCCGCGATGAGCAGCACTGGGCCCCAGCACCACTTCATGCTGCCCCGGGCCACTCTGCCACCTGTGCTCCACTCTGAGAGAGGCCACCTGGGTCTCCCTGGCTCCACCTCTGCTCCACCTCCAGTTGGCTAGGATTCAGCTGTCTGCTTGCCCTAGCCAGCAGTTCCTAGCTCTGGGGCTGTGGCTGTGTGACCCTAGGCTTGTCACCACCCCTCTCTGGGCCTTAGCCGTGGAGCCAAATTGTCTGGGTTTAAATCTGTTTCCTTACTACTTGAGTGGCCTGGGAGAGCTAACCTGCCTGTGCCTTGTCTGAGAAACAGTTGTTGAATGGAAAACGTCTCAATGACAGCCTGGCACAGGGCAAGCTCACTCCCAGCATGAAAGTGCCATCCTGGAACCATGGAGGGCACGTGGGCAGCTCCTCCCAGTCCCCACTTTTCATTTCCACTCCCCCACTTCTCTTCCAGCCAGGGCTAGGTGGGTTTCACATGCCTTCTCCCAGGTCTGCTCAGAGACAGTGTGTGCCAGGCTGAGTGGTGAGGAGCCAGCACCCACTGCTGCTTGCTCGCTGTGAGCCTTTGGCAAATCCCAGTATCTCCCTGGGCCTGCTGGCTTCCTGGGAAACAGGGTGACAGCGGTGCCCACCTTCCTCATAGGCGCAGAGGACTCGGTCAGGCGGGAAGAACACTTTGGCGCGTGCCTCCTCTTCCTCTTCCCACTCCTAACTCAGGCTGGCCCAGACCATTCAAGAACCCTGACCCCAAGACAGAGGCAGCTGTGGGTAAGGTTTAGCATATATTATAGATGCTGGCCGGGCATGGTGGCTCACGCCTGTAATCCCAGCACTTTGGGAGGCCAAAGCAGGCAGATCACCTGAGGTCGGGAGTGCGAGACCAGCCTGACCAACATAGAGAAACACTGTCTCTACTAAAAATACAAAATTAGCCAGGCCTGGTGGCGCATGCCTGTAATCCCAGCTACTCGGGAGGCTGAGGCAGGAGAATCACTTGAACCTGGGAGGTGGAGGTTGTGGTGAGCCGAAATTGTGCCATTGCACTCCAGCCTGGACAACAAGAGCGAAAGTCCGTCTCAAAAACAAACCAACAAAAAAAAAAGCATATAGATGCTGGAGCCAGATGGACCAGGTGGATTCAAATCCTGAGAGCCTCCTGCAGTAGCTGTGTGATCTCAGGCATACTAATTAGCCACTCTGTCCCTATCATCAAGATAGGGATAATAATAGTACCCACCTCATAAATCACTGTAAAGATTAAACGAGTTTAACACGTTAACACAAGTTTTTTTTTGTTTTTTGTTTTTTTTTGGAGACGGTCTTGCTCTGTTGCTCAGGCTGGAGTGCAGTGATCATGGCTCACTGCAGCCTCAACCTTCTGGGCTCAAGCAGTCTTCCCGCCAGCTTCCCGATTAGTTGGGACTATAGGTACATACACCACCATGCCTGGCTAATTTTTTTTTTTTTTTTTTTTTGTAGAGACAGGGGTCTCACTATTTTGCCCAGGCTGGTCTGGAACTCCTGGCCTCAAGTGATCCTCCTGCCTTGGCCTCCCAAAGTACAGGGATTACAGGTGTGAGCCACTGCACCCTGCCAACACAAGTTCTTAAACAGTGCTTGGCATGTAGGTAAGTGGTCAGGGCATAATAGGCAAAACAAAAACCTTCACAACCTGGCCCTGACCCTCCAAGGCTACCAATACTGGCTTGGAATGGTCGATAAGGCAACTGGAGGGGTTAAAGTTAAACTCAAGGAAGAACTTCCCAGCAAGCATTTACAGAACCAGAAGGGCAGCCTGCCCTTCCAGGTGTGTGCTCAGCCTTCCCAGGAGAGGAGGCCTGGCTCCTGTGGGCAGCAGGAGCGAGCTGCCAGCCTGTTTCCTGGGGGTGGGGGCCAATGGTGCCCCAGGCCTTGCTGACTCCACACACTGGAGATGAGACTACCCATAACCACCCTTCCCAGCAGGCCCTCCACTCTCCCTCTGACTCACCCTTCCCAGCTCCAGAGAAGGCAACACCGAGGGAGGCCCAGCACCACAGTCCATGGCAGACACATGGTTCAGACTTGGCTGATTGATCTAAGAAACTTTATTGCTCAGAACCTTCCCTCCCTGGGCAATGGAAAGAGCTTTGGAGACCAGCCCATGGGGACAGAGTCAGAGGCACTGGGTGTAAAAAAGAGCGAGCGTGTGGCACATTTGGTCCATTGTCATGTGCGGGTATGGCAGGAGGAGGGGGTAATCTAGAAGCCCCACATCTAGGGCCTTCTAGGGACCCAGATATGCCCCCTTAGGCAAGGCTCACATGCCAAAGCAAAGCAGATGAGGTCAGCCTGGCTTGGGTTGAGGGCTCAGTGCCTCTTAGCCTTGCCCTGGGGTTCTTGGACCTTCCGGAAACTGAGCCACATCAGGCTCACGTTGATAGCATAGGTGGTGATACAAACAATGCAGAAATCATAGAGCACGAAGAACAGGATCCAGGCCAGGTAGACAGAACCAGCGAGAGACACCAGGGAGCTCAGCAGCATCAGGACAGAGGCCCAGCGTGTCCGCAGGCAACCTGCAAGGCAGAAGAGGGTCCGGTGTGGGCTTCAGGCACTGGCCACCTCCCGAACACTCCATGATGTCACTGCACTACCTAGATGCCAGGAGCTGCTGGGAAGGGTCTCTAAAACAAGAGGCTCCAGGGCAGATGTGGTGGCTTACGCACGTATTCCAAACACTCTGGGAGGCCGAGGTGGGAAGACTGCTTTAGGCTAGGAGTTCAAGACCAGCTTGGGCAACATAGAAAGACCCGATCTCTATCAAAAATTTAGAAATTCAGCTGGGCACGGTGGCTCATGCCTGTAATCCCAGTATTTTGGGAGGCCAATGGGGGTGGATCACCTGAGGTTAGGAGTTCGAGAGCAGCCTGGCCAACATGGCAAAACCCCATCTCTAATAAAAATACAAAAATTAGCCGGGTGTGTTGATGGGCACCTGTAATCCCAGCTGCTGGGGAGGCTAAGGTGGAGAATCGCTTGAACCTAGGAGGTGGAGGTTGCAGTGAGCCGAGATCATGCCACCACATTCCAGCTTGGGCAGCAAGAGCAAGACTTCGTCTCAAAAAAAAAATGCCCGGTGAGGTTGACTCACGCCTGTAATCCTAGCACTTTGGGAGGCCAAGGCGGATGGATCACCAGGTCAAGAGATTGAGACCATCCTAGCCAACATGGTGAAACCCTGTCTCCACTAAAAATACAAAAATTAGCTGGGCGTGGTGACACGCGCCTGTAGTCCCAGCTACTCAGGAGGCTGAGGCAGGAAAATTGCTTGAACCCGGGAGGCAGAGGTTGCAGTGAGCCAAGATCGTGCCACTGCACTCCAGCCTGGTGACAGAGCGAGACTATGTCGCAAAAAAAAAAAAAAAAAAAAAAAAAAAATTAGCTGGGTGCAGTGACATGCCTATAGTCCTAGCTACTCAGGAGGATCGCTTGAGCCAGGTTACAGTGAGCTATGATTGTGCCACTGCACTCCAGCCTGGGCAACAGAGCAAGATTATTTCTTAAAAAAAAAAAAAAAGAAGGCTTCAACAGGTCCCCTCCAAGGGACTGGTCTCTGAAGCTCTTGCCATTGCCCAGGGAGGGAAAGTTCTGAGCAATAAAATTTCTTAAATAAATCGGCCAAGTCTGAACCATGTGTCAGCCAGGACCATGGTGCTGGGCCTCCCTCAGTGATGCCTTCTCTGGAGCTGGGAAGGGTGACTCAAAGGGAGCGTGGGAGCCTGCTGGGAAGGGTGGTAATGGATAGTCTCATCTCCGGCATATGGCATCAGCAAGGCCTGGGGCGCCATCGTCTTCCACTCCCTTGGTTCCTCTCTCTGTTCTTATGGGACTAGATACAAATTTTCCTGCTGAGCACTAAATGAGACAAAAGATAGCTCATGCTCAGCTTCTCCTTAAAAAGGAATTTCGGCATCTTTTCCACAAAACTGGGGTGTTGGTGGGGCATGGTAGCTCACGCCTGTAATCCCCCCAGCACTTTGGGAGGCTGAGGCAGACAGATTGCTTGAGACCAGCCTGGGCAACATGGCGAGACACCATCTCTACCAAAAAAAAACAAAAACAAAAATTAGCTGGGCATAGTGGTGCACGCCTGTGATTCCAGCTGCTTGGGAGGCTAAGGTGGGAGGATCCCTTGGGCAGGGAGGCAGAGGTTGCCATGAACTGAGATCACGCCAGTGCACACTAAGGGCATCCTAGACCTCACTTTGGGCAACAGAGCCAGACCCTGTCTCAAAACAACAACAAACAAAAAACCTGGGGACCTAGGATGTCTTTAAGGGCCCTTCAGCCTCTAACAGTACTTAAACCAATTAAAAGACTCCTGTTAGTTACCTCCCCACATCCCCACCCGCAGGACGCTCCGTGATGAGCAGCTAGCTGGCTGTCAGCTGTGTGGATCACCAAGATTGCATGGAGTGGGGCTGAGCTGACCAAGGGGGATGAGGGGCGGGGCGGGGCGGGCAGGGAGGGGGCGGAGCCACTCACCTAACAATAGCTGTAGTGTGTAGAAGATGCAACCGAATATGCTGTTGGATTGATTGAGGATGCTGTCCTGTCCCAGCACATGCTCCACCAGCCCGAAACCCCTGCCCCACCTGGCAGAGGGGTGGGGTGGGGTGGAACCAGGTTAGGACTGTCAACCCAGTGCCTTGGACCCTGCCCGAGAAAGGTGATTTCCAAGAAGCCACCTGGGCTATCCTCTGTTCCCCGACCTCCCATCCTAGTCCAAGGGTCGATGATCTCCTGGCACCGGGCACCTTTGGCCACGTCAGGATTCCATGTCACTGACCCTATCCTCCCCTCTCCCCAGACCAGGCCCGGACGTGGCTACTCCGTAGGCCCTGCTTTTCATCTTAGACCTTAAGTAAGTCTCTTTTTTTTTTTTTTTTTTTTTTTTTTTGAGACGGAGTCTCACTCTGGCCCAGGCTGGAGTGCAGTGGCGCGATCTCGGCTCACTGAAACCTCCGCCTCCCGGGTTCAAGCGATTCTCCTGCCTTAGCCCCCCCGAGTAGCTGGGATTAAGGCACCCGCCATAGCGCCCGATTAATTTTTCTATTTTTGGTAGAGACAGGCTTTCACCATGTTGGCCAGGCTGGTCAACTCCTGACTTCAAGTGATCCATCCGCCTCGGCCTCCCAAAGTGCTGGGATTACAGGAGTGGGCCACCGCGCCCGGCCCTTAAGTAATTCTTAAAATGGCAAGGCTGGTATAACGGTTCACTCGGTTTTGCATCAGAGACTGGGAGTCGGGGGCAGATTATCTTTGCCCTGGACCCCAGAATCTCCAGCTCCCTGGCCACTCACTCGCCTCCTCTGTATTCCGTCATTATGCTAACGCCTGGCCATCACGCACAGCCAGACCGGGCCACCTTGTTCCTGGGCGCAGCCATCGCCAACACCCCCCTTCACCTGCGCGCCGTCCTTGAGACCATCGTCAATCTCTACCGCCATCCTGCCTCCCCGCCTTTCCTGGTCACCGTTATTCCTTGGCATCCAATTCACGTGCGAGTCCCCGGAATAATCCCAGTCCCCAGCACTGTCTGGTCCCTTGCCTCGCACTCTTATTTCGAACACCAGTATCGCTGGGTAGCTCAGCCCCTGTGCAACGACCCCGCGAGCAGTCCAGCCCCGTGTCCGTTCCCCGGGCACACCGATCCCAGACTCCAGAATAATCATCTGGCATCCTGGCCGCCCTGCTCCGAGGCCCCACGCCTCCCACTCCCGTGCACACCTGGAGGAGAAGACGCGCGAACAGCTGATGGCGGTGCCCACGTCGCAGAGCGCGCGGTAATCCCGGTCCCGGGCGCGCGCCGCCTTCACGTGCAGCGCGTAGAGCGAGAGCACTAAGCCCGTCAGGCAAAGAGCGAGCCGCACCCAGCCAGGGCTCCCCCAGGTGCTGCCCATTATCTCCAGGTTCCGCCCGAGGCGCCCGCGGAGAAAACCAGCCACGGAGCAGGGGCCGGGCGGCGAATGGCCGCGCCCCTCCTGGCCCTCTGACTCGGCGATTGGCCGGCCGTGCTCGCACTCCACGACCCAAATGGCTGTTCCAGGGCGCTAGTCAAGCGGGCGAGTTAGGAAAACAGCGAAGAATGCCGGGACTAGTGAAGCGGGTAAGGGACGTGCGGAATCGCGGCCCCAGCGGCTGCCAGGCATGATGGGAGTTGTAGTCGGCGCGGCTGCAAGGCATCAAGGGAAATGAAGTCTCCACAGATTTAAAAACTGTTGGCCGGGCACGGTGGCTCACGCTTGTAATCCCAGCACTTTGGGAGGCCGAGGCTGGCGGATTACCTGAGGTCAGGAGTTCAAGACCAGCCTCGCCAACATGGTGAAACCCCATCTCAACTAAAAATACAAAAATTAGCCGGGCGTGGTGGCACATGCCTGTAATCCCAGCTACTCGGGAGGCTGAGGCAGGAGAATTGCTTGAGCCGGGGAGCCGGAGGTTGCAGTGAGCCGAGATCGTGCCACTGCACTCCAGCCAGGCCGACAGAGTGAGACTCTGTCTCAAAAAAAAAAAAGAAAAAAAAAAGTGTGTTAGTGTGGTTAACAGCATTTGCGCTTACCCTATGCCAAGTCCTGTTGTAAGAATTGCAGCATCCGGGACCTAGAGACCAGCGGATCAGGGGATCCAGCGAATACGGCGATCCGATTCGGGAACCAAGCATTTCCCCTGAAACTATTTCAGGCACCATTCGGGCTGCAGCCTCCCATCCTCCCGGGTCCTGCCTCACCAGTGCTTCCTGGTGGTCGGTCTCCCTTTCTCCCATACATTCACAGAACCACTCCTTTGGCCACACACACCCTTGACAGTATCCTAACCTCTCTACTATCATGGCGCCCGCCTGGCAACACCTGAGCTTGCATCAACTCAACAGTCAGTCTCTCCTTTCCAAGCTGTGGGCCAGATGAGGTCTCTCCTTCACAGACGTCCCATCTGATGGTGACCCATCTCTCCTACACCTTCAACCTCTCCATCCTCCCCATCTACACTGCAACTTGTTTCTCTTTCCCATCTCAGAAACAGCAACAAATCTCCCTTCACTAAGAGGTCCTTCACCAGCCTCCTCTCCCGGCATTATCCCATCTACCCCTCCACATTCAAGTTTTTGGAAAGATTCTACACTCCCAGTCTCTACTTCCTCACTTCTTCCTTGCTGCCCACGCCATAAACTAGCTGCTGCCTCCAGCATTGCCCTGACACCTAGTGGCTGGTGTCACCAAGACGCTAGACCCAATGGTTATTTATTTATTTATTTACTTATTTTGAGACGGAGTCTCACTCTGTCGCCCAGGCTGGAGTGCAGCGGTGCCATCTCGGCTCACTGCAACTTCCGCCTCCAGGGTTCAAGTGGTTCTCGTGCCTCAGCCTCCCAAGTAGTTTGGACTACAGGTGCCTGCCACCATGTCTGGCTAATTTTTGTATTTTTAGTAGAGACAGGGTTTCACCATGTTGGCCAGGCTTGTCTTAAACTCCTGACCTCAAGTGATCCACCCACCTCGGCCTCCCAAAATGCTAGGATTATAGGCGTGAGCCACCGCACCCGGCCAATGGTTGTTTTTCAGGTCTTCTCTTGCTTGACTTCCCAGAGGGATCCCTTACTGTTGCACCTACCCTTCTGGGAACTCTCTTCCTCTGGCGTCTGTGATATTTCCCTCTCCTGCTGGCTCCTCCCTCTCCAGATGCTGTTTCTCACATCTACTCTCTTCTAGAGAGTGTGGTAGACAGAATAATGGTCACCAAAGATGTCCCTGCATGAATCCCTGGAACTTGTGAATATGATAGGTTAAATGGCCAAAAGGGAATTAAGGTTGCAGATGGAATTAAGCTGACCAATCTCCTGATTTTATTTTATTTTATTTTGTTTTTGAGGTGGAGTTTCGCTCTTGTTGCCCAACTGGAGTGCAATGGTGTGATCTCGGCTCACTGCAACCTCCGCCTGCCAGGTTCGAGAGATTCTCCTGCCTCAGCCTCCCGAGTAGCTGGGATTACAGGCACCCGCCATCATGCCTGGCTAATTTTTTAAATTTTTAGTAGAGACAGGGTTTCGCTATATTGGCCAGGCTGGTCTTGAACTCCTGACCTCAGGTGATCCGCCCACCTCGGCCTCCCAAAGT
This sequence comes from Homo sapiens, assembly GCF_000001405.40. Lineage (NCBI taxonomy): Eukaryota > Metazoa > Chordata > Mammalia > Primates > Hominidae > Homo > Homo sapiens. The sequence goes on from NC_000016.10 coordinate 31,096,941, forward strand.
GCTGGGATTACAGGCGTGAGCCACCGTGCCCAGCCTATCTATCTATTTATTTATTTATTTTTGAGATGGAGTTTTGCTCTTGTTGCCCAGGCTAGAATGCAATGGTGCTATCTCGACTCACCGCAACCTCCACCTCCCCGGTTAAAGCGATTCTCCTGCCTCAGGCTCCTGAGTAGCTGGGATTATAGGCATGTGCCACCACGCCTGGCTAATTTTTTGTATTTTTAGTAGAGATGGGGTTTCTCCATGTTGGTCAGGCTGGTCTCAAACTCCTGACCTCAGATGATCCACCCACCTGGGCCTCCCAAAGTGCTGGGATTATAGGCGTGAGCCATCATACCAGGCTCTATTGATTTATTTTTATTTTTATTTTTGAGACGGAGTCTCGCTCTGTTGCCTAGGCTGGAGTGCAGTGGCACAATCTTGGCTCATTATAACTTCCGCCCCCCCCCAGGTTCAAGCCATTCTCCTGCCTCAGCCTCCCGAGCAGTTGGGACTACAGGCGCGTGCAACCATGCCTGGCTAATTTTTGTATTTTTAGTAGAGACGGGGTTTCACTGTGTTGGCCAGGCTGGTCTCGAACTCCTGACTTTGTGATCTGCCTGCCTCAGCCTCCCAAAGTGCTGGGATTACAAGTGTAAGCCACCACGCCCAGCCTATTTTGTTTATTTTTTCAAAGACCCTTGACACCCAGGCTGGAGTGTAGTGGCACTGTCATAACTCACTGCAACCTCCGTCTCCCAGGTTCAAGCGATTCTTGCACCTCAGCCTCCCTAGTAGCTAGGAGTACAAGTACGTCCCACCACACCTGGCTAATTTATTTTTATTTTTGTAGAGATGGGGTCTCACTTTGTTTCCCAGGCTGGTCTAAACTTCTGGTTTCAAGCAACCTTCCCACCTCAAAGTGCTGGGAGTACAGGCATGAGCCACCACCACACCTGGCCTAATTTGCTGATTTTTATTTATTTTTTATTATTTATCTTAATTTTTATTTTGAGACAGAGTCTTGCTCTGTCATCCAGGCTGGAGTACGGTGGTGCAATCTCAGCTCACTGCAACCTCCCCCTCTCGGGTTCAAGCAATTCTTGTGCCTCAACCTCCCAAGTAGCTGGGATTATAGGTGCTGGCCACCACGCCTGACTAATTATTGTAATTTTTTTTTTTTTTAGTAGAGACGGGATTTCACCATGTTGGCCAGGCTGGTCTTGAACTCCTGACCTCAAGTGATCCACCTGCCTCAGCCTCTCAAAGTATGGGGATTACGGGTGTGAGCCGCCGTGCCTGGCCCAATTTTTGTATTTTCAGTGGAGATGGGGTTTTGCCATGTTGGCCAGGCTGGTCTGGAACTCCTGACCTCAGGTGACCCGCCTGCCTCCGCCTCTCAAAGTGCTGGGATTACAGGCATAAGCCACCATGCCTGGCCCACAGGGGTCCTTAAAAAATGAAGGAGGATGGCAGAAGAAAGTCAGAGGGAGATGTGAGTAAAGAAAAAAGACACAGAGAGCTGCAATGTTTCTGGTTTGAAGATGGAGGAAGGGGATTGTGAGCTAATAAATACGGGTGGCCTCTAAAGGCAAGAAAGGGTAAAGAACTGGATTCTCACTCTAGAGTCACCGGGAAGGAACTATCAACATCTTGATTTCAGCCCAGTGAGACTCTGTCAGACTTCTAAGCTACAGAACTGTAAGATAAATTTGTGTTGTTTTACATCATTAAATGTGCAGTAACTTGTTACAGCAGCAATTAGAAATGAATACAGAGGACTGGGCATTAGGCCTGTATCTCAGCTTTCTCTGATCTCCTGGTGTGTTCCTGTTATTTATTGTTGGTTTCCCCCAGAATGAGTGATCTAAGAGGAAGCAAAATAGAAGCCGCAATCTCTTTATGACTTAGCCTCAGAAGACACACACTGGGGCCAGGTGCAGTGGCTTATGCCTATAATCCCAGCACTTTGGGAGGCTGAGGCAGGAGGACCACTTGAGCCCAGGAGTTTGAGACACCCTGGACAACACAGGGAGACCCTCACTCTATAAAAAATAAACAAAATTAGCCAGGTGTGGTGGTGCACACCTGTAGTCCCAGAACTTTGGGAGGCTGAGACAAGACAATGACTTGAGCCCAGGAGTTTGAGACAGGTCTGGACAACGTGGTAAGACTCTGTCTTTATAAACATTTTTAAAATTAGGCGGGGCATGGTGGCTCATGCCTGTAATCCCAGCAATTTGGGAGGCTGAGGTGGGTGGATCACCTGAGGTCAGGAGTTTAAGACAAGCTTGGCCAACATGGCGAAACCTCGTCTCTACTAAAAATACAAAAATTAGCCGGGCATGGTGGTGGGTGCCTGTAATCCCAGCTACTCAGGAGGCTGAGGCAGGAGAATCATTTGAACCCGGGAGGTGGAAGTTGTAGTGAGCCGAGATTGCCTTCCTCACTCCAAGAGTTATAAAAGATTTTGACCATATTTTCTTCTAGCATTTAATCAATTAATTAATTAATGTGAGACAGTCCCACTCTGCTGCCCAGGCTGAAATGCAGTGGTGCAATCTCGGCTCACTGCAACCTCTGCCTCCCGGATTCAAGTGATTCTCCTGCCTTAGCCTCCTGAGTAGCTGTGATTACAGGCACCAGCCACTATGCGTGGCTGATTTTTGTGTTTTTAGTAGAGACGGGGTTTCACCATATTGGCCAGGCTGGTCTCAAACTCCTGACCTCATGATCCGCCCTCCTTGGCTTCCTAAAGTGCTGGGATTACAGGCGTGAGCCACTGTGCCTGGCCTTTTTCTTTCTTTTTTTTTTTTTTTCATTAGAGATGAGTTGTTGTTATGTTGCCTCTAACTCCTGGGCTCAAGCAGTTCTCCCACCCTGGCTTCCCAAAGTGCTGCTGGGATTACAGGAGTGAGCCACTGCCCCCAGCCTCTGACAGTTTTTGTGCACTAGGAATTTGGGAAGACAATTTTACCTGGCTATTTCTGGCTCATACAATTGCAGTCAGATGGTGGCTAAAGCTGGAACAATAAGCAGCTAAAACAGCTGAAAGATAACCTAGCATTCTCTCTCCCTTTCTCTGAGTAGTCTCCGAACCTATCTATGTTGTCCTCTGCATGGGCTAGCTTGGGCTTCCTCACAGCATGGCAGCCTTAAGGCTTTAATAGTCAGCTTCCAAAATGGTCCTCAGTGATTCCTGCTTCCTGGTATTGATACCATTGTGAAGTCTCTTCTCACATTGAAAGGGGCTGAACTGGCCCATTGGGATAATGCAGAAATGACAGTGTGTGACTTTAGAGGCTAAATCATGAAGATATTGTGGCTTCCATCTTGCTCCTTTGTAGATCACTCATTCTAGACAAAGCCAGCTACCATGATATGAAAGCACTCAAGTAACCCTAGGGAGAGAGGTCTCCTTAGTGAGGAACTGAGGCCCTGTAAGAAACGTGGGTGTGCTGCAGTCAAGTGGGCATAGGCCAAAGTAAACATCCAGAGTGACTCAGTGAGTTTAGAGTGCAGGCATATAGCTCCACTTGTTATCACAGCCGTGTAGCCATAACATGGGAAGGCTCATCACTTGGCTCTGAGCCACTGTTGTCTGTAAAAGGTATAATTGCCCTGCTGACACTGTGCACAGGGCTCGGCCCAACATGGCTTGACATGGGACATGGCTCTTGTGCAGGTGCTTGTACCCAGAGAAAGAGAGAAAGCCAGAGCTGTCCATCTCGGGGAAGCCAAGACACAGCTCAGCTAGCTCATGCCCAGAGGGAGAAAGAGTAAGGCTGTGGGGTGTGGTGGCTCATGCCCATAATCCCAGCACTTTGGGAGGCCAAGGCAGGTGGATCACAAGGTTAGGAGTTTGAGACCAGCCTGGTCAACATGGTGAAACCCCTTCTCAACTAAAAATACAAAAATTAGCTGGCCATGGTGGTGCATGCCTGTAATCCCAGCTACTCAGGAGGCTGAGGCAGGAGAATTGCTTGAACCCAGGAGGCAGAGGTTGCAGTGAGCCGAGATCACACCACTGCACTCCAGCCTGGGCAACAGCGCGAGACTCCATCTCAGGAAAAAAAGAAAAAAGAAAAGAAAAGAAAGAGTGAAGCTGCTGACCCTGAAGGGAGAGCTGGCCACACAGCTGTGTGTGTGTGGGAGCTGCCGGAGTAAGCAGCTGAGACAGAGCAGACAGTGCGAGAGTAAGATGTTGATGATGAGAGAGCTGCTGAATAAAGCCATGTCTCATTTACCTGCTGTCTCTCGAGTGTTCTTCTAGCTCCCTGCCTCACGTCCACTGCTTCCTCTCACACCTCAGCTGGGGCTGGACCCCAACCCTGAGCATGACGGGCCTTCTGTCAACAACCAGCAGTAACCTGCTGGGCATGTGAGGGAGCTACCTTGGAATCAGATTCTGTAAAACAGTCACGCCTTCAGATGACGGTAGCATTGGCCAACATTTTGACTGCACTTCATGAGAGACCCTGAGCCAGAACCCCCTAGATTCCTAACCCAAGGAAACTGTGTGTGATAAGTGTTTATTGTTTTTTTTTTTTTTTTTTTTTTTTGAGAAAGAGTCTCGCTCTATTGCCCAGGCTGGAGCACAGTGGCACAATCTTGGCTCACTGCAAGCTCCGCCTCTCAGGTTCACACCATTCTCCTGAATCAGCCTCCTGAGTAGCTGGGACTACAGGCACCCACCACCACGCCTAGTTAATTTTTTTGTATTTTCAGTAGAGACAGGGTTTCACCGTGTTAGCCAGGATGGTCTCAATCTCCTGACCTCGTGATCCGCCCGCCTCCGCCTCCCAAAATGCTGGGATTACAGGCGTGAGTCACCACACCCGGCCAGTGTTTATTGTTTTAAGATATTGGCTAGGCGCAGTGGTTCACACCTGTAATCCCAGCACTTTGGAAGGCCGAAGTGGGAGGATCACTTGAGCTCAGGAGTTCAAGTTCAAGAACAGCCTGGGCAACATAGTGAGACCTTGTCTCTATTTAAAAAAATGTTTTTAAGATGTTATGTTTGAGCTGGGTATGGTGTGGCTCACGCCTGTAATCCCAGCACTTTGGGAGGCTGAGGTGGGTGGATCACCTGTGGTCAGGAGATGGAGACCAGCCTGGCCAACATAGTGAAACCCCGTCTCTACTAAAAATACAAAAAATTAGCTGGGCATGGTGGTGGGCGCCTGTAATCCCAGCTACTAGGGAGGCTGAGGCAGGAGAATCGCTTGAACCCGGGAGGCAGAGGTTGCAGTGAGCCAAGATCGTGCCATTGCACTCCAGCATGGTGCTATGTTTTGGAGGTAATTTGTTACACAGCAATAAATAATTCGTACAGGGCACCAGCCTGGCCAACATGGAGAAACCCTTCTCTAGTAAAAATTATCCGGGTATGGTGGTGCATGCCTGTAATCCCAGCTACTTGGGAGGCTGAAGCAGGAGAATCCCTTGAACCTGGGAGGTGGAGGCTGCAGTGAGCCAAGATCGCACCACTGCACTCCAGCCTGGGTCACAGAGCAAGACTCTGTCTCAATTTAAAAATAAAATAATAATAATATAGGGCAGTCAGACTGCCCACCTGGCAGCTCAGGACTAGCACATGTGCTCCAGAAAGCCAGGTGGAAGCTACATATTTTATGATCTAAACTCAGAAGTCATATAGCATCTGTTCCACTGTAATCACAAGCCTTCCCAGTTCCAAGGGGAGGGAACATAGACTCCCTCACCTCTTGATACAAGAAGTGTCAAAGTTATATGGTAAGAAGTTGGCCAGGCCCTGCTTGTCTCTGTTGTTCATGCCTGTAATCCCAGCACTTTGGGAAGACGAGGCAGATGGATCACCTGAGGTCAGGAGTTTGAAGCCAGCCTGGCCAACATGGTGAAACCCTATCTCTACAAAAATACAAAAATTAGCTGGGCATGGTGGTATGCACCTGTAATCCCAGCTACTTGGGAGGCCAAGGCACGAGAATTGCTTGAAGCTGGGAGGCAGAAGTTGCAGTGAGCCGAGATTGTGCCACTACACTCTGGCCTGGGTTACAGTGCAAGACTCTGTCTCAAAAAAAAAAAAAAAAAAAAAGAGAGAAGTTGGTTGGGCCCAGTGGCTCACGCCTGTAATCCCAACACTTTGGGAAGCTGAGATGGGAGGATCGCTTCAGGCCAGAAGATCCATCGTTACCAGCCTGAGCAACACAAGGAGATCCCGTCCTTACAAAATTTTTTTAAAAATCAGCTGGGTGTGGTGGCAGGCACCTGTGGTCACAGCTACTCGGGATGCTGAGGTAGGAGGATCGCTTGAGTCAGGGAGGTTGTGGCTGCCGTAAGCCATGAACATGCCATTGCATTCTAGCCTGGGTAACAGAGTGAGACACTGTTTCAGAAAAAATAATAAAATAAAATAAATAATGTTGTAGGACAGGCGTGGGGCTCACGCTTGGAATTTCAGTGCTTTGGGAGACTGAGGCAGGAGGATTGCTTGAGAACAGGAGTTCGAGGCTGCAGTGAGCTGTGATCGCACCACTGCACTCCAGCCTTGGTGACATGAGCGATATCTTGTCTCAATAAATAAATACATACAGTTCTCTTTTACATCGAGTATATGTAAATTTTTAAAAATACATTGAAAGCGCTTAGAAAGCCGCCTGACTCTCCCTCTCCCTCTCCCTCTCCCTCTCCCTCTCCGTCTCCGTCTCCGTCTCCGTCTCCGTCTCCGTCTCCGTCTCCCTCCACGGTCTCCTTCCACGGTCTCCCTCTGATGCCGAGCCAAGGCTGGACGGTGCTGCTGCCATCTCGGCTCACTGCAGCCTCCCTGCCTGATTCTCCTGCCTCAGCCTGCTGAGTGCCTGCGATTGCAGGCGCACGCCGCCACGCCTCACTGGTTTTCGTTTTTTTTTTTGGTGGAGACGGGGTTTTGCTGTGTTGGCCGGGCTGGTCTCCAGCTCCTAGCCGCGAGTGATCCGCCAGCCTCGGCCTCCCGGGGTGCCGGGATTGCGGACGGAGTCTCGTTCACTCAGTGCTCTGTGGTGCCCAGGCTGGAGTGCAGTGGCGTGATCTCGGCTCGCTACAGCCTCCACCTCCCAGCCGCCTGCCTTGGCCCCCCAAAGTGCCGAGATTGCAGCCTCTGCCCAGCCGCCACCCCGTCTGGGAAGTGAGGAGCGTCTCTGCTTGGCCACCCATCGTCTGGGATATGAGGAGCCTCTCTGCCTGGCTGCCCAGTCTGGAAAGTGAGGAGCGTCTCTGCCCGGCCGCCATCCCATCTAGGAAGCGAGGAGCGCCTCTTCCCCGCCGCCTTCCCATCTAGGAAGTGAGGAGCGTCTCTGCCCGGCCGCCCATCGTCTGAGATGTGGGGAGCACCTCTGCCCCGCCGCCCTGTCTGGGATGTGAGGAGCGCCTCTGCTGGCCGCAACCCTATCTGGGAGGTGAGGAGCGTCTCTGCCCGGCCGCCCCGTCTGAGAAGTGAGGAAACCCTCTGCCTGGCAACCGCCCCGTCTGAGAAGTGAGGAGCCCCTCCGTCCGGCAGCCACCCCGTCTGGGAAGTGAGGAGCGTCTCCGCCCGGCAGCCACCCCGTCCGGGAGGGAGGTGGGGGGGGTCAGCCCCCCGCCCGGCCAGCCGCCCCATCCGGGAGGTGAGGGGCTCCTCTGCCCGGCCGCCCCTACTGGGAAGTGAGGAGCCCCTCTGCCTGGCCAGTCGCCCCGTCCAGGAGGGAGGTGGGGGGGTCAGCCCCCCGCCCGGCCAGCCGCCCAGTCCGGGAGGTGAGGGGCGCCTCTGCCCGGCCGCCCCTACTGGGAAGTGAGGAGCCCCTCTGCCCGGCCAGCCGCCCCGTCCGGGAGGGGGGAGGGGGGGTCAGCCCCCTGCCCGGCCAGCCGCCCCGTCCGGGAGGGAGGTGGTGGGGGTCAGCCCCCCGCCCGGCCAGCCGCCCCGTCCGGGAGGTGAGGGGTGCCTCTGCCCGGCCGCCCCTACTGGGAAGTGAGGAGCCCCTCTGCCCGGCCAGCCGCCCCGTCCGGGAGGGAGGTGGGGGGGTCAGCCCCCCGCCCGGCCGGCCGCCCCGTCCGGGAGGTGAGGGGCGCCTCTGCCCCGCCGCCCCTACTGGGAAGTGAGGACCCCTCTGCCCAGCCAGCCGCCCCGTCCGGGAGGGAGGTGGGGGGGTCAGCCCCCCGCCCGGCCAGCCGCCCAGTCCGGGAGGGAGGTGGGGGGATCAGCCCCCCGCCCGGCCAGCCGCCCAGTCCGGGAGGGAGGTGGGGGGATCAGCCCCCCGCCTGGCCAGCCGCCCCGTCCGGGAGGTGAGGGGCGCCTCTGCCCGGCCGCCCCTACTGGGAAGTGAGGAGCCCCTCTGCCCGGCCAGCCGCCCCGTCCGGGAGGGAGGTGGGGGGGTCAGCCCCCCGCCCGGCCAGCCGCCCCGTCCGGGAGGGAAGTGGGGGGGGTCAGCCCCCCGCCCGACCAGCCGCCCCGTCCGGGAGGGAGGTGGGGGGATCAGCCCCCCGCCTGGCCAGCCGCCCCGTCCGGGAGGTGAGGGGCGCCTCTGCCCGGCCGCCCCTACTGGGAAGTGAGGAGCCCCTCTGCCCTGCTTGAAGGCAGCATGCTCGTTAAGAGTCATCACCACTCCCTAATCTTAAGTACCCAGGGACACAAACACTGCGGAAGGCCGCAGGGTCCTCTGCCTAGGAAAACCAGAGACCTTTGTTCACTTGTTTATCTGCTGACCTTCCCTCCACTATTGTCCTATGACCCTGCCAAATCCCCCTCTGCGAGAAACACCCAAGAATGATCAATAAAAAATAAAAATAAAAAAAAAAAAATAAAAAAATAAAAAAAAAAAAAAAGAAAGCCGCCTGACCTGTATACAGTATTCTGAAAAGGGGGTCGCGAGGTGCATGTCCAACCTCCGCCGCCGGGGGCAGCAGCGAGTCCAGGCCGAGCCGGGGCCTAGCGAGCGGGGTCAAATGGGGTGAGGCCTGTGCCAGACCTCTCCACCTCGGTGGCAGCCGCAGCCTCCTCCGCCTGCGGCTCCTGTCCACGCCGCGGCCACGTGAGCGCCAGATTCTGGCGCACAGACCACTGCCAGTCCTTTGCTGCTTTGCGCAGCCTGTCCTCCCCGCCAGGAGCACCCTTCCCGCTCCCTTTTACCACGGGCTCCAGCCGTGGCTGCCTTGGGGCTGCCGCCGCCTGGCTGTACTCCAGGACGTTGGGAAAGAACGGGTGGGAATGGTGTGGGTGGGGGTCAAAGAGGAAACCCAGAGATGCAGGGCGCCCCTTTCCCGTGGTCTGCCCCCAATTGCTCAGGCAGGCCAGTCACGGTGAGGCGTCCTCCCTCCAAGTTTATATTTATTATTATTTATTATTTATTTTTTTCACCTTCAAGTTTATTATTTATTATTTATTTATTTATTTTTGAGACGGAGCCTCTCTCTGTCGCCCAGGCTGGAGTGCATTGGCACGATCTTGGCTCACTGCAACCTCCGCCTCCCGGGTTCAAGCGATTCTTCTGCCTCAGCCTCCCGAGTAGCAGGGATTACAGGTGCATGCCACCACATCCGGCTAATTTTTGTATTTTTAGTAAAGACAGAGTTTCACCATATTGGCCAGGCTGGTCTCGAACTCCTGACCTCAGGTCATCTGCCCGCCTTGGCCTCCCAAAGTGCTGGGATTACAAGCATGAGCCACTGCACCTGGCTAACCTCCAAGTTTAAAGACAGCCGCCAGGCCCAGTGGCTCACTCCTGTAACCCCAACAACTCAGGAGGCTGAGGCCAGGAATTTGAGACCAGCCTGGGCAACATAGCGAGACCCCGGCTCTAAGAAAAATAGGCCAGGCACGGTGGGTTACGTCTGTAATCCCAGCACTTTGGGAGGCTGTGGCAAAAGGATTGCCTGAGGGGGAAAAAATCACCCTGGGGGTAGTGGTGCACACTTACAGTCTCGGCTACTTGAGAGGCTGAGGTGGGAGGATCATTTAAGTCGGAGGCTGCAGTGAGCTACTATGGAGCGACTGTATTACAGCTTGAGCAACAGAGCGAGACCCCATCTCCAAATAAATAAATAAAGATAGCCTCCAAAGATGTCACTTGCTTCACTTAGCACTTTTTATTGAACATATTTAGGAAATATATAACCATGGTAAAGAAAATTGCAATTAGTACAAATACACACTACACACATATGCACGTGCACACACTGAAACGTGTCCCTTCCAGCGCCTCCTGCCTGGATAATTTTTTTTTTTTTTGCAACGGAGTTTTGCTCTTGTTGCCCAGGATGGAGAGCAGTGGCGGGATATCGGCTCACTGCAACCTCCTCCTCCCGGGTTCGAGCGATTCTCCTGCCTCAGCCTCGCGAGTAGCTGGGATTACAGGCGCCAGCCACAACACCCGGCTGATTTTTGTATTTTTAGTAGAGACGGGGTTTTGCCAAGTTGGCCAGGCTGGTCTGGAACTCCTGAGATCCGCCCACCTCGTCCTCTCAAAGTGCTGGGATTACAGGCCTGAGCCACTGCGCCTGGCCTAAAGTAATTGTCTTCTTATTGGTTTCTCTGCCTTTGGTCTCACCAAACGCCCCACTCTAAATCACTGCAGACAAGGGGTTCTGTCTAAGGAGGAGAGCCCACCAGTTAAAACCCTTCAGTAGTTCCTAACTACCCTAGGACAAATGCAGACTTATCCTTCGCTCTCTGCTGCCGCCCCTCTCCTTCCCAGATCCCATATGGCTCCAGCCATATCCTCAGACCATCTGGGCTGTTGTCTGTCCTGCCACACACCCTTCCCACCCCGCTCCCTTGCAAGTCCTACTCAGGCTGCACCTACACAGCTGTCTCAGTTTCTATCTGAGGCTCCCGCAGCCTCCTCTGAAAGTCCTCATCACAGCCAATGATACTGAAACTGTTTTCTTATGCAGGGCACGGAAAGATCTATTCAACTCACTGCCCAATCTCCTCTCCTGGTGCAGAAAAGACACCCAGTCAGCGACTTGCATTATCTGCAGGCATGAGTGAATAATAATAATGCCTAACCCTTATATAGTGCTAATTCCACGCCTGGCACTGTTCTAGGCACTCATATAAATTCATGTAATCCACACAACCCCAAAACTGATGATATCTCTTCATCTTACCAAGCACTGAGCAGTTAAATAACTTGCTCCAGATATTAAGGGGTCGAGCTGGGGTTTGAAGCCTGGTTACCCATAAATGAACCAAGAACTGGAAGGAGGACAAGAGCTCCGAGAAGGAGTCAGGTAGGGCGTGATCTGTGCGCTTTACATCTAAGATCTTCCAGCTCCCAGGGAGCCCGTTTCATAGAGCAGGAGATAGAGGCTGGGAGGGACACGGAGAGCCTCGAGAGCCGTGTGGAGGAAGCGGTGCTGTTTGGGGTCCGGGAGCAAGGGCGTGGCCTGGATGCGCGGGCGCCCGGGACGGCACGTCCTCAGACCAAACTACAACTCCCAGGACCCAGCGGGCGCTGCCGCCCACGCGACGTCACGGCGGCGGAGGGCGCAGGCGGCTGGGCGCCTGGCGAGTGGACTGTTCGAGCCCTTCCGCTGGGACCCGGGCCCTGGCTCCGGCCCCGCGGTAAGTGGGGCGACCCCAGCCTACTCAGTCCGCGGAGGCCCCGCGGCGCACGTCCGCAGCCTCCATCACAGCGCGGGCGCGCAGACGGGGCTGGCATCTACCATATGGGGGGCATCCGGGCCGAACCAAGTGACCCGCGTGGGGGGTCCCGCTGGGGACTCCGTGCCGCACCCTCCCAAGCCGGCCCCAGGGGCCCAGGGCTGGTGTCGCACGTTCGCTGGCCGCGCTCCCAGGGCCCGGGTTTGAAGGCGCTGGGCAGGCAGGGGCAGCCCCGCCCCCTGAGAAGGGTACCCGGGACCCCGGGGCGCTGGGGCGAGGTTTTCGGGCTGGAAGGGTCTGAGGGGCTCCTCCCCCGACAGCCCTCCCACCGCCAGTAGAGCCTCGGGTTGGGGAATAGAAGCCCCCGGGAGGCTAGGTCCTTTGGGCGCGGCCTGTGTGCATCTGGGGAGACGGTGGGAGTGGTGGGGAGAGGTCGCCCGGGTCTGGGGAGACCGATGCACAGGTGGAGAGATGGTGCGGGTTCTGTGGATTCGGATCCTTACAACTTCCTCTTCCCCGCCCCGGTAGATGGGAGCTGCTCTCCGCGGGCTGAGCCTGTCAGCATCCTCGACGCACCCTGGTCCCTGAAGTCGGAGAAGAGCCCCTACCCACCCACACCCCCTTGCCCCATTTTGGGTCGCCTGGGTCCTCAGTCCTAGCGGATCCTCAGTCCTAGCGGCCACCGGGTCTGAAAGGAGCAAGACGATGATCCTGGCGTCGGTGCTGAGGAGCGGTCCCGGGGGCGGGCTTCCGCTCCGGCCCCTCCTGGGACCCGCACTCGCGCTCCGGGCCCGCTCGACGTCGGCCACCGACACACACCACGTGGAGATGGCTCGGGAGCGCTCCAAGACCGTCACCTCCTTTTACAACCAGTCGGCCATCGACGCGGCAGCGGAGAAGGTGCGCAAGGGGGCAGCCAGCCCAGGGTCCGGGATGTAGGCGGGAGGGAGAGTGTTGGGGGTTCTCTGCTCAAGGCCTCTCTCCCTCTCTAGCCCTCAGTCCGCCTAACGCCCACCATGATGCTCTACGCTGGCCGCTCTCAGGACGGCAGCCACCTTCTGGTAAGATTCACGCCCTCTATTTTCCTCGTGGATCCTGGAGCTCTCCCAGACACTCAGGCTCCAGCCCCGCCTTCCCTTCTCATTTTCTCCCAGAAAAGTGCTCGGTACCTGCAGCAAGAACTTCCAGTGAGGATTGCTCACCGCATCAAGGGCTTCCGCTGCCTTCCTTTCATCATTGGCTGCAACCCCACCATACTGCACGTGGTAAGGTAGAGAGGACCTTAGGTCAGCGGGCCACCCTGCCCCGGGGGCAAGTGGGGAGTCTGGGGCCCAGAGTGGCAGACGATTGCTTGCCTAAAGGTGTCAGGGCCACACAGGATTCAACCCCAGGCCTTCAGAAGCCAAAGGTGTGTATTCACGGAGCCTGGAAGGGTCGAAGTGGGGGTTTGATCACGTGGTCGACCAGCTGGGTGGTGATCCCCATGGGTAGGTGGGGGTGGCTGTTCTCTGCTCAGTGCCCATGCGGCTTTGTGAATTCCCACACCTCTTCCTTGCAGCATGAGCTATATATCCGTGCCTTCCAGAAGCTGACAGACTTCCCTCCGGTGAGTGCTGGGCCAGAGCAGGGTGAGGGGCTGAGAGGTTGGGCTTGGACCACCCTTCCTCATGACTCTGTGACCTGCAGATCAAGGACCAGGCGGACGAGGCCCAGTACTGCCAGCTGGTGCGACAGCTGCTGGATGACCACAAGGATGTGGTGACCCTCTTGGCAGAGGGCCTACGTGAGAGCCGGAAGCACATAGAGGTTGGGGCAGCAAAGGAGAGGCCGGGCCTGCTGGGGGTGGGAAGGGCACGGGATTCTGAGACCTCACTCTTTACAGGATGAAAAGCTCGTCCGCTACTTCTTGGACAAGACGCTGACTTCGAGGCTTGGAATCCGCATGTTGGCCACGCATCACCTGGCGCTGCATGAGGACAAGGTGGGGCTCTGGGACCTGAGACCCACCTGGGAACATTAAGTGAGACAGAGGAGACTGGGCTGGGGATCCGGGTCAAGGGCCTGGGGGCTGAGGCTGTGGGGCTGGTGCTTTGGGGCAGTTCCGAAGTTGCCAGCATCTTGGGGTGGGGCTAGGGGCGTGGGTAGTCCTGACCTCCTTTCTCCGGCCAGCCTGACTTTGTCGGCATCATCTGTACTCGTCTCTCACCAAAGAAGATTATTGAGAAGTGGGTGGACTTTGCCAGGTGAGGCAAGAATGGCTCAGGGGGTGGGCAGACATCTGGGGCAGGGAAGGCTTGGGTCTGAGCCCTTGCCCGGGGCATGATCTGCGGGGAGCAGGGTTTCTCAACCATGGCACTATTGACATTTCCAGCCAGATAATTCTTTGTCACAGGGGCTGCCCCGTGCACGTTAGGAAGTTCAGCAGCATCCCTGGCGCCAGCAGTACTGCCTAGTTGTGACAAACAAAAATGTCTCTGCACATTGCCATATGTTACTTAGGGGGGCAGAATTGTTTCCAGTTGCAAACCACTGGTGGAGGGGCCCCTGACTGAACCCTCGCTCCTATCCGCAGACGCCTGTGTGAGCACAAGTATGGCAATGCGCCCCGTGTCCGCATCAATGGCCATGTGGCTGCCCGGTTCCCCTTCATCCCTATGCCACTGGACTACATCCTGCCGGAGCTGCTCAAGAATGCCATGAGGTGGGGTGGCTTGATGTGCTGGCTTGGGGGCGGACAGGAACCGGGGTGCTTGTACCTACTGGTCTTTCCCCTCTGCATAGAGCCACAATGGAGAGTCACCTAGACACTCCCTACAATGTCCCAGATGTGGTCATCACCATCGCCAACAATGATGTCGATCTGATCATCAGGTTTGCCCTGAGTGGGAGTTGAGCTGAGGTGGATGGGATGGGGGTCTAGGCACTGTTTCTGACTTGATTTAGGACCTTGAGCCCCTTCCTGCCCCATTCTGGGACTTGGTCCCTGACCAGACAAACTATTCTCTGAATCCTGAGATGGCCATGAGCTGCTTATTAATGGATCTGGGGCCAGCTGCAGGCCTAGGTATCCTGCCTCTGTCAGCAGCTGAGGAGCTTGAAATTGAGAAATAGTCAGGAGTCGGTCTAGGATGCTGGGCCGAGGATAAATGTCACATCCTGTGAGAAGGTATAAGCAGTCAGTGGCCCTGGCAGGGGTGAGGATGATATAAACAAGGCCCAAGGGTCTAGGTGGACCACATTCCAGCTCTGGGTGGAAGGAACAGGAAGGCAGACTTTGCACTGTCTGCTTGGGGGGTGGTGAGTACCCCATCAAAGCTGAGCCAAGCCCATTGTTGTTGCCATCTTGCTAGGATCTCAGACCGTGGTGGAGGAATCGCTCACAAAGATCTGGACCGGGTCATGGACTACCACTTCACTACTGCTGAGGCCAGCACACAGGACCCCCGGATCAGCCCCCTCTTTGGCCATCTGGACATGCATAGTGGCGCCCAGTCAGGACCCATGCACGGGTGAGACCCTGCCAGGCCAGGATGGAGGGGTGGGGGACCCCAGGAGACTCAAGCCTCTGAAGCCTCCTGTCCTGTCCCCCTGCCCACCCCCAGCTTTGGCTTCGGGTTGCCCACGTCACGGGCCTACGCGGAGTACCTCGGTGGGTCTCTGCAGCTGCAGTCCCTGCAGGGCATTGGCACGGACGTCTACCTGCGGCTCCGCCACATCGATGGCCGGGAGGAAAGCTTCCGGATCTGACCCCACAGCCTTTGGCCTGCTCACCCGACCAGCCTGGGCCGCATTCCCTGCAGGACCTCCCGGGTCAGGCAGGGCGGCCCCCTGCTCCACACACTGCTGCATCTTGGGTCTCAGGGACCCAGACAGATGGACTTACATGGAGCTGGGCACTGCCCTGCCTCAACAGGGTCCATTGCCTCCTCGCCTCCAGAACTTGGAGCAGGGAAGTGGGCACCCTGAGGCCTCCAGCACCAGTTCCGTCATTCTCGTTCCTGGGGAACCCCCACTCTGACCTGTTATTAAAGTTCACATTTTGAATGCCCTCTCGGGCCCCGTGTGTGGGGAGGGCAGGTGAACTTTTGTTTCTGCCCCCATTCAGGTTCACTGAGCCCTTGGGTTGAACTGGTTCGTGTCCCAGTCTCTTACCTGCCCTGAGAGCCTGGCAGGCCAGGAGTAGAATGGGTCCCAAGTCTGTTGCATGTTTGATTTGGTGGGAGTGGGATGACTGCAGCACCTTATACAAAGAGCTTTCATTCATCTTGTTGAACAAATGTTTCCGGGTCCCAGATAATATTGAAGGCCCAGACTGACCCAGCTTCGGGCATCAGTTTTGACTCTTCCTTTCCTGGCAGTCACAGTTTCTAGAGGTGAAGGTCACCAGACTGGGCAAACTCCTGAGCCAACTGCTTCCCAAGCCTGAGTAGGTTAAAAATACTGTGTCTGCTGCTGCCAAGGAAAAGAACATACAAGGTTGTGCCTTGGCAGGCCCTAGCAGGGACTGGGTGCCCCACTGCAAGGAAAGGTGGGGCCCTGATAGAAAGGACCAAGGATTTGGGCAAAGATATCAGGTAGGCTCAAGGTTAGACCTGAATCAGAACTCCAGATGACATCTTAGGTAGGAACACCCTACCCACCTTGCCAGGGAAGAAAGGCCTAAGGGCGGCCTGGTGGGGCTGGGAGGAGAACTGGAAAGTTCTCTTGCCTTCACATGTGAGCTCCCACAGCAAACTTCCTGAGGCTGGCTCTAGGCCTGTACCATCTCCTACCCTTCACGGGGATGGAGGGGAAGTTGTATGTGGAAGCCAAATGGCAGGGGCTAGGAAACCACAGTGACTTGCTAGACTGAAAAATCCCGCCAGCTGCAAGGCAGGGTGCTGAGGCTGGAGAGGCAGGCAGCAGTCAGAGGCCAGGGCCCTGAAACATGGGATTTATCTTGAGCCATAGGGATCCATGGGTGAGTTTTTATTTATTTAGAAATGGGGTCTTGCTCTGTTGCCCAGGCTGGAATATGGTGGCTGCAGAGTTCACTGCAGCCTTGAACTCCTGGGATCAAGAGATTCTCCCACCTCAGCCTTCTGAGTAGCTTGGACCATCATGCCAGGCTAAATTTTAAAATTTTTTGTAGAAACAGGGTTTCTACAAAGCCCTATGTTGCCCCGGGCTGGACTTGAACTTCTGGGCTCAAATGATCCTTCCACCCCAGCCTCCCAAAGTGGTGGGGTTACAGGCATGAGCCACTGCAGCTGGCCCATGAGTGGGTTTTGAGCTGGGAAGGGATGTTTCTGGTTGGAGTCCCTGAGAGGATTCATGTCCACGTGATTTCTTAAGAAAGTGCTCCCAGAACAGAGTAGGGGAAGTAGGAAGGGGAAGGGGAGGAAGCCAAGCAAGGATGTGACCTCAGGCAAAAGCCCAGAACCAGTCAATTATGCCTCAGGGTTGAAGGTAAGAGAGCTAAACCTCAGAGTTACTGATTAATTTCTCCACTTGGCAGTCACTGGTTAAAGTCAGTTGGGAAAGTGAACAGCTCTATTAACCTAAGGATGGTTTTTTAAGAAGAGCCTCAGGTGCTGGTGTGGGTCTTTGAAAGCACATCAAAGGTAATCTGGGCACACAGAAACAGCAAGAACTCCCAGAGGATCTGGGTGGAGCACCTACATTGTTTTTTTGTTTGTTTTGTTTCGTTTTGTTTTTTTAAACGGAGTCTCAATCTGTTGCTCAGGCTGGAGTGCAGTGGCTGGATCTTCGCTCACTGCAACCTCCGCCCCACCCCCCCCCAACCCCAGGTTCAAGCGATTCTCCTGCCTCAGCCTCCCGAGTAGCTGGGATTACAGGCGCGTGCCACCACACCCAGCTAATTTTTCTATTTTTAGTAGAGATGGGGTTTCACCACGTTGGCCAGGCTGGTCTCGAACTCCCAACCTCGTGATCCATCCACCTCAGCCTCCCAAAGTGCCAGGATTACAGGCATGAGCCACCATGCCTGTCGGATGTTTCTTGATTTGTAACCTCTGAGAGACCCATCCGCAGGCCCTGAGCATTCCACTCCTCTCAGAATTGTTTCCAAGCCCAATAACCACATTATAAATCAAACAAGATTCAGAGAATAGCCAAAGGGAATGTTTACTGAGTACCTACCCGGTCTGGCACTTTGCAATACACTTGTATATTGCTAAGACGGATAGTTCAACCGTTACATAGTTATATGATTGATAGTTATACATGCTTAACTGCTGGGGATTGGTTCCAGGACCGCCTGTGAATACCGAAATCTGCAGGCGCTCAAGTCCTACAGTTGGCCCTGCCAAACAGCAGATATGAAGTCAGCTCTTCAGATCTGTGGGTTCTGCATCCTTACAATATTTCCTTTCCTTTCCTTTTCTTTTCCTCCCTTCCTCCCTCTTTTTTCTTTTTCTTTTTTGAGATGGAGTCTTGTTGTGTCGGCCAGGTTGGAGTGCAGTGGCGCGATCTCGGCTCACTGCAACCTCCACCTCCTGGGTTCAAGCAGTTCTCCTGCCTCAGCCTCCCAAGTAGCTGGGATTACAGGCACACGCCACCACCCCTGACTGTTTTGTATTTTCAGTAGAGACGGGGTTTCACAATGTGGGCCAAGCTGGTTTTGAACTCCTGACCTCAAGTAATCCACCTGCTTCGGCCTCCCAAAGTGCTGGGATTACAGGTGTGAGCCACCGCGCCCAGTCTTTTTTTTTTTTTTTTTGAGGCAGAGTTTCACTCTTGTTGCCCAGGCTGGAGTGCAATGGCACAATCTCAGCTCACCACAACCTCTGCCTCCCAGGTTCAAGCGGTTCTCCTGCCTCAGCCTCCCGAGTAGCTGGGATTACAGGCATGCGGCCACCACGCCTGGCTAATTTTGTATTTTTAGTAGAGATGGGGTTTCTCCATGTTGGTCAGGCTGGTCTCGAACTCCCGACCTCAGGTGATCTGCCTGCCTCGGCCTCCCAAAGTGGTGGGATTACAGGAGTGAGCCACTGCGCCCAGCCTCCTTTTCTTTCCCCCCTTTTTTTTTGAGACAGGGTCTCTGTCACCCAAGCTGGAGTGCAGTGGAGGGATTATAGCTCACTCAGCCTCGACCTCCTGGGTTTAAGCGATCCCTCTGCCTCAGCCTCCTGAGTAGGTGGGACTACAGGTGCGGGCCCCGAGGCCCAGCTAATTTTTTTTTTCCCCCAAATTTTTAGTAGAAAGGAGGTCTCTATGCTGCCCAGGCTGGTCTTGAACTCCTGGCCTGAAGCGATCCTCCTGCTTGGATTCCTGAAGTGCGAGATTACAGGTGTGAGCCACCATACCTCAACACTGTATTTTCAACCCGCTCTTCGTTCAATCTCCAAAGGTGGGACATGCGGATATGGAGGGCCGATTGTGTATGGTTGGACCATACACATATAAATGGCTTTAACCTTTACTGACTCTCACAGAACCCTCAGTGCAGTGGCGTGATCTCAGCTCACTGCAAGCTCCACCTCCCGGGTTCACACCATTCTCCTGCCTCAGCCTCCCGAGTAGCTGGGACTACAGGGGCCCGCCACCACGCCCGGCTAATTGTTTTGTATTTTTTTTTAGTAGAGACGGAGTTTCATCGTGTTAGCCAGAATAGTCTCGATCTTCTGACCTCGTGATCCACCCGCCTAGGCCTCCCAAAGTGCTGGGATTACAGGCGTGAACCACCGCACCCGGCCTTTTTATTTTTTTTGAGATGGAGTCTGGCTCTTGGTCCCCAGGCTGGAGTGCAATGGCGGGATCTCGGCTCACTGCAACCTCCGCCTCCCGGGTTCAAGCGATTCTCCTGCCTCAGCCTCCCGAGTAGCTGGGACTACAGGTGCGTGCCACCACGCCCGGCTAAATTTTGTATTTTTAGTAGAGACGGAGTTTCACGGTGTTAGCCAGGATGGTCTCGATCTCCGCCCGCCTCGGCCTCTCAAAGTGCTGAGATTACAGGCGTGAGCCACCACGCCCCGCCCAACTCGTCCTTTCTTTAGACTTTATCCTGTGAGGGTGAATTATGGCCTGTCCCTGGACACACCCGTTCTGCTTTCCCCGCACCAACTGTATCCCAAATAGGGGAAGTAGTCTCTTCAACCTTCAAAAATGGGGCACTGGCTGGGCACGGTGGCTCACGCCTGTAACCCTAGCACTTTGGGAGGCCGAGGCGGGCGGATCACCTGAGGTCAGGAGTTCGAGACCAGCCTGGCCAACAGGGTGAAGCCCTCTCTCTACTAAAAATACAAAAAATAGCCGGGCGTGGTGGCGCGCGATTGTAATCCCAGCTATTCAGGAGGCTGAGGCAGGAGAATCGCTTGAACCCGGGAGGCGGAGGCTGCAGTGAGCCGAGATCGCGTCACTGCACTCCAGCCTGGGCGACAGAGCGAGACTCCATCTCAAAAAAAAAAAAGGGGGGGGGGCGGGGAGCGACATTAGGCCAGCGCGAGTGTGCGGCTCCAGGCCACCAGGGCGGCCGCTCTGGCTCTGCCCTGTTAAAGTGGGGGCAGCGCCCGCTGAAAATTGGCACATCTTGGCTTCCGCAGGTACCAGGGCCTTTAAAAAGGTTCAGCTGGCCGGGCACGGTGGCTCACGCCTATAATCCCAGCACTTTGGGAGGTTGAGGCTGGCAGATCACGAGGTCAAGAGATCAAGACTATCCTGGACAACATGGTGAAACCCCGTCTCTACTAAAAATACAAAAATTAGATGGGCGTGGTGGCGCGCGCCTGCAGTCCCAGCTACCCGGGAGGCTGAGGCAGAGGAATCGCTTGAACCCGGAGGCGGAGGTTGCAGTGAGCCGAGATCGCGCCTCTGCACTCCAGCCTGGGCGACAGAGCATGATTCCGTCTCAAAATAAATAAATAAATAAATAAATAAATAAATTAAAAAAAGGTTGAGTTGAGTCATCGCATGAGGTAAGTCTGTCTCCTCTCCTCACCCATAGGCTGCAGCCACAGGTCCGCACGGAAAACCAGGAGCTCCAAGACTGCCGCACACTCAACATCCAACTCGCGGGGCCGCGGGGACGGCCACAGAAGCCAATCGGCTCCTGCTACATCACAGACCCCGCCCTCAAACCTTGAGGAGCCCGCCCCACGCACTGCTGACCCGGAGCCAAAAGAACTGCGTGGCGTCCGATTCTGGCGTCACTTCCCTTCCCGCGATGGCGGCACAGGGAGCTGCTGCGGCGGTTGCGGCGGGGACTTCAGGGGTCGCGGGGGAGGGCGAGCCCGGGCCCGGGGAGAATGCGGCCGCTGAGGGGACCGCCCCATCCCCGGGCCGCGTCTCTCCGCCGACCCCGGCGCGCGGCGAGCCGGAAGTCACGGTGGAGATCGGAGAAACGTACCTGTGCCGGCGACCGGATAGCACCTGGCGTGAGGGCGGGGCCCAGGGCTGGGGGCGGGGCGGAGCTCAGGGCCAGGGGGTGGGGCGGGGCCTGAGGACAGGCTGTCAGTGAGGCCAAGATCCGGGGGCTGGGAGTGGAGAGGAGGAGGGGCGGGGCTTGAGGAAAGAACGCCGCGTTCCGGGCGCTGAGAAACCAGCCGGGTTGTGGGAGGCTGTTGACCTTGAATTATGCCGAGCGACGCCTACAAACCCACCGCTCAGGCCTTCACCAGGATTGTTCCCATTCCACTTCCTTGCCCAGTCTTAGGCTTCATTCCTTTTTCTTGCTAACGCTGCTTCCTCACCCTCTCTTGTCTCTGCGTCTTCTTTTTCCATTTGTCCCTGGCAGCCATCCGCAGAGAGAAGACCTTCCAGAAACAACAGGCTTCCCTTTCCTAAAGTTCTGCTGCCTTCTCTCATTTTCAAAATTAACCCCAAACTCCTTAGGGTGGCATTCATTTTTGTGACCTCTCCAGTTTCTAGCCAACACTAGGAAAGGGCATTGCCAGGCCAGAACACACTGTGCCCTCTGAAGACCACACGCCCTTTACCACCTGTGCCCTTTGCTTGGAATGCTTTTTCTTCCCTTTCTCCTTGTTTGCCTGCCTAGCTCCTACTCATCCTCTTAGCTTCATATCCTTTGTGATGTCATCCTTGATTCCCCTTCAGGCAAAGTGAGTGGTTCCCTTCTCTATGTTCCTGCAACATTTTTTTCCTACCTCAGTCATAGTTTTTGTAACATTATGTTGTAATTTTCTCTCTCTGTCTTCCTCCATCATACTGGGAACTTCTGGAGGGCAGCACTTCTTGTGATTCATCACTGTGTCCTCTGTACCCGGCAACAACACAGCATAGGGCCAGACACGTAGTGGTTGCCTTACTCATTTATTGAATGCTCTGCTAATTGTCAGGTGCGCTGCTAAAAATTTTGGAGGCATTAATTCACCTTCTAAGGTTGGTACTATTATCCCTTTTGTCTTTTTTTTTTTTTTTTTTTTTGAGACAGGATCTCGCTCTGTCACCCAGGTGGGATTGCCGTGGCACGATGACAGCTCACTGAAGCCTAGACCTTCTAGGCTCAAGTGATCCTCCCACCTCACCCTCTCAGAGTGTTGGGATTACTGGCATGAGCCACTGTGCCCAGCTGTTATCCCTTTTCACAGATGAAGAGACTGAGGCTCAGAAAGATGGAATAACTTGCTCAGTTACACATAGCTAGGAAGTAGGGAGCTGGAATTTTGTGTATTTTTTTTTGTTTGTTTGTTTGAGATGGAATCGCTCTCTGTTGCCAGGCTGGAGTGCAGTGGCGCCATCTTGGCTCACTGCGATCTCTGCCTCCCGGATTCAAGCGATTCTCCTGCCTCAACCTCCTGAGTAGCTGGGACTACAGTTGTGCGCCACCACACCCAGCTAATTTTTGTATTTTTAGTAGAGACGAAGTTTCACCATGTTGGCCAGGATGGTTTTGACCTCTTAACCTCGTGATTCACCCACCTCGGCCTCCCAAAGTGCTGGGATTACAGGCGTGAGCCACGATGCCCAGCCCTGGAATTATACATTAATGTAGGTTATCTTAATCCAGAGCCAGCACTCATGATCCCTGAACAAATGAACAACTGCGGGTATGTGGTAAAATGAGCATTGAATTTAGAGTCAGACTTAAATTCAGTTAAGTATTAGCTCTTACCACTTTTCAAATCTGTGACCCTAGGTAAGCCTCAGTTTTGTTCTGTTTTTTGGGGTTCTTTTTTTTGAGACAGAGTCTTGCTCTTGTCACCCAGGCCACAGTGCAGTGGTACAATCTCGGCTCACTGCAACCTCTGCCTCCCGGGTTCAAGCAATTCTCCTGCCTCAGCCTTGCCTCCCAGGTTCAAGCAATTTTCCTGCCTCAGCCTCCCGAGTAGTTGGGATTACAGGTGTGTGCCACCATGCCTGGCTTTTTTTTTTTTCGTCTTTTTGGTACAGATGGGGTTTTGCCATGTTGACCAGGCTGGTCTCAAACTCCTGGCCTCAAGTGATCTGCCCATCTCGGCCTCCAGAAGTACTGGGATTACAGGTGTGAGCCACACACCCAGCCAGTTATTTTCTCATTCGTAAAATGAGAATAACAGCCTCAACCTGATCCACCTCACAGTTGTGGCAGTGATTGAGTAGAATGGCAGAGGTGGACCAGTGAGGTTAGCTGATGTGTGGCCCTGAACTCTGGAAACTGCTTCTCAGTGTGCAGGATTCCTTTTGTTCCAGCCTTACCTTCCTGATGACCCTAGCCTTTTTCCATCACAGATTCTGCTGAAGTGATCCAGTCTCGAGTGAACGACCAGGAGGGCCGAGAGGAATTCTATGTACACTACGTGGGCTGTGAGTGGCTTGGCACATCTGGGCGTGGGTGCAGGGAGTTGGCTGCCCTGGCAGCACTCTTATGGCCCATACTTACAGTTAACCGGCGGCTGGACGAGTGGGTAGACAAGAACCGGCTGGCGCTGACCAAGACAGTGAAGGATGCTGTACAGAAGAACTCAGAGAAGTACCTGAGCGAGCTCGCAGAGCAGCCTGAGCGCAAGATCACTCGCAACCAAAAGCGCAAGCATGATGAGATCAACCATGTGCAGAAGGTCCGGATCCCTTCCCATCCACGGGCCCAGGAGGCCCAGCTTCTCTGCCAGTTCCCTTGGGTCTCTCGGGCCCCAGTGCCAAAACCATAGCAAATCCCATTTCTTAAGCTCCTGTAGTGTGTCAGGGACTTTACCTACTTCCTCTTACTTACTTTTCATAGGTAAGAAAACAGACAGAGGGTAAGGGCTTCGCTGCAGTCTCACAGCAAGGAAATGGCACAGCTGGGACTAGAACTCAGGCCTCCGGCACTGGTAGCCTCTTTTGTCTCCTAGTAGCTGTGTCTTAGTAGAAAAAATGACTTGAAGTTCAGTGGGAAAGACGAGAATGTTATTCGGCAGTTGCTATAGCCAAGCACCCTGCCAAGTGCTGTATATGTATAAGCTCCTCAAATCCTTCCCAACAATTCAACACACAGGAATAGTTACTTTTTTGGTAGGTGAGGAAGCAGGCTGAGAGAGATTAAGTAACATGCCCAAGGTCACACAGCCAGTAAAACGGTGGGCTGGAATTAGAATAATAATGCCAAACACTTGTTAGCCGGTGAGCAGAAGTATTCAGCTAAATGGTTTTTGTGTGTGTGTGTGTGTGTGTGTGTGTGTGTTTTGTTTTTTGTTTTTTTTTTTGAGACGGAGTCTTGCTCTGTCGCCCAGGTTGGAGTACAGTGGAATGATCTCGGCTCACTGTAAACTCCGCCACCTGGGTTCAAGCAATTTTCCTGTCTCAGCCTCCCAAGTAGCTAGGACTACAGGTACCTGCCACCACGCCCGGATAATTTTTGTATTTTTAGTAGAGACGAGGTTTCGCCATATTGGTCAGGCTGGTCTCGAACTCCTGACCTCAGGTGATCTGCCCACCTCGGCCTCCCAAAGTGCTGGGATTACAGGCGTGAGCTACTGCGCCCGGCCTAAGCTAAGTGTTTTAATACATGACCTCACTGACATTTCACAGTAGGCCTGTGAAGTAAGCATGCAGAAGAGCTACAGATAAGTTTAGGGACCCAGACAGGAATTTGATCAACCAGCTAAATTGTGCTACCTCAGAGCCAGAGGCCTTAGCAATGATTTTGGTTTTTTTCTTAAGAGACGGGAGTCTTGGTGTGTTGCTCAGGCTGGACTTGAACTCCTGGGCTCAAATGTTCTTCCTGCCTTAGCCTTCTAAGTAGCTGGGACTACAGGAGTGCATCCCTGTACCTGCCTTGGTTTTTTCTTGTATTGATACTTAATAATTGTACATATTATTGTTATTTTTTTTTTTTGAGACAGCGTCTTACTCTATCGTCTAGGCTGAGTGCAGTGGCACAATCATGGCTCACTTCAGCCTCAACCTCCTGGGCTCAAGCAATCCTCCTGCCTCAGCCTCCTGAGTAGCTGGGACCATAGGCACGTGCCACCATGCCCAGCTAATTTTTTATTTTTTTGTAGAGACGGGATCTGCTATGTTGCCCACACTAGTCTCAAACTCCTGGTCTCAAGCGATCCTCCTGCCTTAGCCTCCCAAAGTGCTGGGATTACAGGTGTGAGCCACTGCGCCCGACCAAGTCTCAGTTTCTAAATTTATAAAAATCAGGAGTGCACACCAGAGCAAGATTTGTCAAAGTCTCCAGACACCCAGACATTTGTTACTTTCAGCTATTGCAGCTTCATCCTTCTGAGTACATGAGTTAGTGGGCAAGCCCAACATTTAAATTTCTTTAAATGGAAGAAAGAAAGTGGATAAGATAGAAAAATCAGGGTGTTGCACTTTATTAAGTGTAGGTATTGTTTTGAGAAGCTTTTATTTCACACCCAATAAAAGTGTGCAGGATTCCTCTTGTTCCAGCCTTACCTTCCCGATGATCCTAGCACATACTTGTGTGTATATACAGACATGTTACAGTGCCAAGTGTACTTCCTACTGTGGTGTGATTTAAAAAATTGAAATACCCTAAACTGGAAGAACTCCTCAAGGTCTAAACTGCCGAATCGAACTTCCTATTGTAATGGAAATGTTCTATAGCTGTACTATCTAGTACCGTAGCCACTAGCCACATGTAGCTGTTGAGCACTTGAAATGTGTCTAGTGTGACGAAGAATTAAGAATTTTAGCTGGGCGCGGTGGCTTACGCCTGTAATCCCAGCACTTTGGGAGGCCAAGGTGGGTGGATCACCAGGTCAGAAGATCGAGACCATCCCGGCTAACATGGTGAAACCCCATCTCTACTGAAAAATACAAAATAATTAGCCGGGCGTGGTGGCGTGCACCTGTAGTCCCAGCTACTCGGGAGGCTGAGGTAGGAGAATGGCGTGAACCCGGGAGGTGGAGCTTGTAGTGAGCCGAGATCCTGGGCTCACTCCAGCCTGGGTGACAGAGTGAGACTCCGTCTCAAAAAAAAAAAAATTTTTAAATTATGGGTGCAGTGGCTCACGCCTGTAATCCCAACACTTTGGGAGGCGGAGGTGGGTGGATCACTTAAGGTCAGGGGATTGAGACCAGCCTGGCCAACATGGCCAAAACCCCATCTCTACTAAAAATACAAAAATTAGCCGGGCGTGGTGGTGCACACCTGTAATCCCGGCTACTTAGGAGGCTGAGGCAGGAGAATCGCTTGAGCCCAGGAGATGGAGGTTGCAGTCAGCCAAGATCATGCCACTGCACTCCATCCAGCCTGGGTGTCCGATCAAGACTGTCTCAAAAAAAAATTAATTATCATTTTTTAAAAAAATTTTATTTTTATTTTTTCGAGACAGAGTCTCACTCTGTTAACCAGGCTGGAGTGCAGTGGTGCGATCTCAGCTCACTGCAACCTCCGCCTCCCAGATTCAAGTGAGTTTCCTGCCGCAGCCTCCCAAGTAGCTGGGACTACAGGCACGCACCATCATGCCTGGCTAATTTTTGTATTTTTAGTAGAGATAGGGTTTCACTATGTTTGGCCTCAAACTCCTGACCTCAACTGATCCGCCTGCCTCGGCCTCCCAAAGTGCTGGGATTACAGGTGTGAGCCACCGTGCCCAGCCAAAATTTTCATTTTTTGAGACAGAGTCTCACTCTGTCACCTAGGCGGGAGTACAGTGGCGAGCTCTTGGGTTACTGCAACCTCCGCCTTCCTGGCTTAAGCAATTTTTGTGCCTCAGCCTCCCAAGTATCTGAGATTACAGGCGTGTGCCACCACACCCAGCTATTTTTTATTTTTTATTTTTAGTAGAGATGGGGTTTCGCCATGTTGGCCAGACTGGTCTGGAACTCCTGGCCTCAAGTGGTCCTCCCACCTCGGCCTCTCAAAGTGCTGGGATTACAGGCGTGAGCCACCACGTTTAGCTGAGTATAATTTTAAATAGCCCTATGTGACAAGTGGCTACTTTATTGGACAGTGTAGATCTAAGATTAATTCCTCAACTGTTTTGCACTCAACAAAGACATACCTCTGAGTTGGCAACCAGCAGGGTGGATAACGGGCCAGTGGTGATAAAATCAAAGAATAGGTAATGAAACAATCATCCAGTTAACAATCAGCAAGGTTCTTCAGAGCCTAATTAATGTTTAATTCTAAATAAATTGCAACAATTAAGAAAAGTAGTGTTTTTGTAGTTCTTTATTGCATTTGCAGAAGAGTACTGTATTTTGTGAGAATTGGGAAATGTGTTTTAAAGAGATGTGTGAGGAGGAAAATCTTTCTTCCTCATCTTTACAGTGGTTAGGTTCAGAATTGGACAGACCAGGGGCCCATGCCCAACTCTGCTGAGTACCAGTTCTGTGACCTTGGGCAAGTGACCTCACCTCTTTGTGCCTCAGTTTTCTCTCATACAACAGGGACAATGAGCACTCTTATTTCAAAGGCTCATTGTGAGGAACAAAATGAAATAATGTCGGCTGGGTGCAGTGGCTCATGCCTGTAATCCCAGCACTCTGGGAAGCTGAGATGATTGGATCATTTGAGGTCAGGAGTTCGAGATCAGCCTGGCCAATATGGTGAAAGCCCGTCTCTACTAAAAATACAAAAAGAGGCCAGGCGCAGGCAGACCACGAGGTCAGGAGTTGGAGGCCAGCATGGCCAACATGGTGAAACCCTGTCTTTACTAAAGATACAAAAAATTAGCTGGGTGTGATGGTGCACACCTGTAATCCCAGCTACTTGGGAGGCTGGGGCAGGAGAATCGCTTGAACCCAGGAGGCGAGGTTGCAGTGACGTGAGATTTTGCCATTGCACTCCAGCCTGGGCGACAGGGCGAGGCTCCATTTCAAAAAAAAAAAAAAAAAAAAGGCTATGGCTCATGCCTGTAATCCCAGCACTTTGAGAGGCCAAGGTGGGTGGATCATCTGAAGGTCAGAAGTTCAAGACCAGCCTGGCCAACATGGTGAAACCCCATCTCTACCAAAAATACAAAAAATTAGCCGGGCTTGCTGGTGGGCGCCTGTAATCCCAGCTGCTTGGGACACTGAGGTGGGAAGATCGCTTGAACTCAGGAGGTGGAGGTTGTAGTGAGCCAAGATTGCACCATTGCTCCAGCCTGGGCAACAAGAGCAAAATTTCATCTCAAAAAACAAAATAAATTAGCTGGGAATGGTAGCAGGCACATGTAGTCTCAGCCACTTGGGAGGCTGACGTAGGAGAATCACTTAAGCCCAGAAGGCAGAGGTTGTGGTGAGCTGAGATCTCCCCACTGCACTCCAGCCTGGGCGACAGAGTGAGAGTCTATCTCAGAAGAAAAAAAAAAAAACATGTCTGTGCCGTGCTTGCCACTTGGAATAAATGGCAGCTCACTAGTCCCCGAGGGTAAGGGACCTCACCTTGCCCTGCCTGTTTACTACTCTGTAAAATTGAAATAACGCAGCTGGGTGCAGTGGCTCACGCCTGTAATCTCAGCACTTTGGGAGTGCGAGGCTGGTTGATCACCTGAGGTCAGGAGTTTGAGAACAGCCTGGCCAACATGGCGAAACTCCATTGCTACTAAACATACAAAAATTACCTGGATGTGGCGGCATGTGCCTGTAGTCCCAGCTACTTGGGAGGCTGAGGCAGGAGAATTGCTTGAACCTGGGAGGCGGAGGTTGCAGTGAGCCGAGATGGTGCCACTGTACTCCAGCCTGAGCAACAGAGTGAGACTCCGTCTCAAAAAAAAAAAAAAAAAAAAAAGAAATAACACTCTATGTAAGGGTTACTGAAAGGATTAAATGAGGCCATATAAACATATAGGCACAGTGCTTTGTGGAGGGGGTTCTGGGTAAAGCACTGGCTCCTTCCTCCCTTCTCAGCTACAGGGCAGGGCCTTGTCTGCCCTGGTGTAGGTCATGGACCGTCTTGGGTCCCCCTTCCATTGTCAGGCTGTACTGGGTTCCTCCCACAGGGTCTGGCCTAGGAGCAGGATGTGTTGTGAGTGTGGTGTGACTCTTAGTCTCTGCTTTCTAAGGACTTGAAAAATAGAGGAACCCAGGTGGGCATACTTGGACAGTGTTGCCCTGTTGACCACTTCTCGCTGAACTTGGGAAGGAGGGAATGTTTTCTGGATGGGAAGAATCCAGTCAGGCCTCCTGGAGGGGGTGGTAAGAATCTCAAGCCTTGAAGGATGGGAAAGAGCACAATAACAACAGTGACAAAGGATAGATCACAAAGCATCATGGACTCACCTGACTCATGCTCCGTGCCAGGCTGAGGAAGTGTTTTCTGCTGGCAGTGAGAGAAGGAAGGGCATTCTCCAGGTAGAAGGAGCTGTTTGTGCAGAAGCATGAAGGCCGCTAAAAGGGGGCTGCTGATAGCAATGAGGAGGCTGGGGCTGGAGGCAGGGAGTCTGAGGCGGCCTAGTAAATTGTCCAGACCTGAGATGGGGCCATGACTACCTGGAGCAGGACAGAGAGGAGAATTCCAGAGAGGGCCCAATTCCAGAGATGTCAGAAGTAGACTCGACATCCACTGTATTAGGACTTGGCCAGGCCGAGGGAGAGAGAGTAGTCTGAGGCAAGCCTAGTTATGGGTCTTGGACACTGGGACCAAGGGTGATGTTCCCAGTAAAATGAGCAACCCAGGAGGAGGCGCAGGTTTGCAGGGAGGAGTGATGAGGTCCTTTCTGCACATCTTGAGTCCGCTGTCCCTGTGGGAGGGACCTCTGGGGCAGTCGCATGGGCAGGCAGGGTCTGGTCCTCAGGAAAGGGGTCCAGGAACATCGGGGAGGTAGTAACAGTTCTTACGCTGGGCCTGGAAGGCAAATCTGTTATTTCATTTGAGTCTCACAACTTTGGCAGAGCTGGATTGCCCCCCATCGTGCAGCTGAAGCCCCATCCTGATCCTAACCCTGTTCATCTGGCAAAAGGTCCAAACTTGGACATCAGGGATGTCTGGGATATCGGGGGTGGGGCGGGTGGGTGTGAGAGGAGTCTGGACCAGCCAGCTTCAGAACCAAGTCAGATAGGTTAGCTATTGGTGTGGTTATTATTGCCATCCAGGAATGAGGTCTGGTAGACGGCAGGGAAGCCTTGTGGGTCCTGACGGGAGGGACAGCCTGGTCACCACTTCTGTTCACCTCTGCCCACTTTTCTTTCCTGGCCCAGACTTATGCAGAGATGGACCCCACCACAGCAGCCTTGGAGAAGGAGCATGAGGCGGTAAGTGGGGCTGGGAAGCTGCCTGCAGGTCCCCCGTCTCCCCTTGCCGAGGAGCCCCTGCTGAGCCGTGCACTGTGCCTCACTCCCACCCTGCCTGCAGATCACCAAGGTGAAGTATGTGGACAAGATCCACATCGGGAACTACGAAATTGATGCCTGGTATTTCTCACCATTCCCCGAAGACTATGGGAAACAGCCCAAGCTCTGGCTCTGCGAGTACTGCCTCAAGTACATGAAATATGAGAAGAGCTACCGCTTCCACTTGGTGAGGCTGGGCCGGCCGGGCCGAGCTGGGCAGGGGCCCGGTGAGAGGCAGAGGCAGGCATGGAGACTGAGGGCGGCTGCGCCGGCAGCTCCAGGGAGGAGACAGGCCCAAAGGAGCGAGTACAGGGAAGAGCTGCTGGGGGTCAGGAGGCCTGGATTCCAGGCCTGGCTTTGCTGTTGCTGGCAGGGTGACCTTGCCAACTTCAGACCTCAGCTCCTCTTCTCTGGAATGGGGACAGTAACTCACCCCCTTCAGGTCTTTTGCCAAGGCCAGCTCCATCCCAGGAAGCACACATAGCCCCTGGCAGTGGGACCTTAAGTGTGGATGAAATTGGGGGCTGTCAGGAAGGGGCGCTCTCATCACTGACACAGTGGGCTGCTTCCCGAAGTGTGGAATCTGAAGCGAATAGGTGTGGTTTAGGGAAGCCATTGTCATGGACGGGTCCCTCCAGAGCCAGGCCCACAGAGACTCAAAACCCCACCGTGCTGTGTGATGTTTGGATCTCTGTGCCTGGGCCTTGGTCTGTAAAAGCAGGATCACTTTCCTAAGGCTGCTGGGAGGATTACTCGATGTAGGTGAAGTGTTGAGGGGGGAAACAGAGAGGCAGAGACTTGCTCCAAAGCATGCAGTGGTGGGTTGGGTGCCTCCTAGCAGAGAACATATGGGCAGCGAACCTGTTCTCTTGTCCCCGACCAGGGTCAGTGCCAGTGGCGGCAGCCCCCCGGGAAAGAGATCTACCGCAAGAGCAACATCTCCGTGTACGAAGTTGATGGCAAAGACCATAAGGTGAGTGGGTGGCCAGGGGTTGGGAGAGGCCGGGGAGGCCCTGGGCACCTCCCAGATGATCCTCATCACCACCAAAGGGGAGGGGGCAGCCTTAGCTGAGCCTCTATGGGCAGAATGCCTCTGAGGGGCCGGGCACTGCAGCTCACACCTGTAATCCTAGCACTTTTGGAGGCTGAGGTGGGCAGATTGCCTGAGCTCAGGAGTTTGAGAGCAGCCTGGGTAACATGACGAAACTCCTCGACTAAAAATACAAAAAATTAGCTGGCGTGGTGGTGCGCACCTGTAATCCCAGCTACTCGGGAGGCTGAGGCACAAGAATTGCTTGAACCTGGGAGGCAGAGGTTGCAGTGAGCTGAGATTGTGCCACTGTACTCCAGCCTGGTCGTCAGATTGAGAATCTGTCTCAAAAAAAAAAAAGAAGGCCTCTGAGGGCCTCCTAGCCTGGCACTAGGCCTGTAGTTGGTGCATAGGAAACACAGGGCCTTGTGGTGGCCCCAAGACTCTTCTGCTGGTGGGGTTAGGTTCAAACTTGGGTTGTTCTGGAACCCAGAGGAGATTTTCTTGCCTGAGGCTGCTTTTAGAAGTGCTCTCTCCTTCCGTTGGAAAGAAAGGTGTTTGTTTTTGCCTGGGAGGGGACTGCTTTGTGTGAAATTTCCTCCTGAGAGAGCTCTGTGGCTTTCAAGGTTTGAGTTCCTTGTTCCTGGCCCCGAATGACTTCAGCAGGGCAGGTTGGGGCCTTTGGGACCTGCCTAGCTGTTGTAGAGAACTTGGCCTTTGCCTTATCAGTCTGGGAGGGTCTGGCCAAGTGTACTGGTTTCCCGCAGATGGGCCATACAGCACAGGACAGAGAGGGCAGGCTTCAGGGTGGCTCATGTTGCCTTGTCACTTCCTCACTGACCACAGACAAGTTACTTAACATGGTTTGTTCCTGTTTCCTTGTCCATAAGACGGGAGTCATAATATTTAATATTTACCTAGTTGTGTTGTTAGTGGAATAAATGAGACAGCAAATGTCAAGTGTTTAGTGCAGTGCTTAGCACTAGTATGTGCTTAATAAACACGGGCCTTGTTATTATCGGTGACCTCTTGGGGCTTGATTAGCCTTGGACTCGGAGAATACGCAGGCTGAGCCCAGCCCTTGCCCCTGCTCTGCCTTCCTGAGCATGGCTGTGTGGAATAGCAGAAGGGCCCCCGCTGGAGATGTGGGGGTGCTTTCCAACTGCGCTCTGCCAGCTTTGAGGCTCTGGGCAAGCACTTCCACTCTGGGAGCTTCAGCTTCCTCCTGAGTAAGATGGGCCTGGCAGTGCTGGGCTCGCACAGCTGCCGGGTTGGATGAGAGAGTGGCTGTGGTGTCATAAACCAGGGAGCCCCTTAGTGTGTGCCGTGAAGCCAAACTCGGTCCCATTGTCCCCCTCCTGGAGTGCAGCCAAGTGGACAGACAGGGCTCGAGGTTCCTCCATTCAGCAGACGTTTACCAGGCACCCAGCTTCATACTTAGACTCGTGCTAGGCGCTGGGGACACAGCCATGAACAGGACGGTCTAAATTCCTGCCTCGGAGCCTCAGTTTCACGAGCTGAAACAGAGTTAATGTCTGTGAAGACTGAAGCAGATCCTGCATGGAAGGCACCCAGCTCGTATTTGGCACTCAGAAGGGGTGGCCGGGCTTCATCCAGCTCCACTGGCACCTCCGAAGTGCTGTTGCTCTCTCATTTCCAGTTCCCTGTTCGTCAGAGGCTGACCGAAGACTCCTTCCAGTGTGAAATCCTTCTGGCCTGGCGAGGCGCCCACTTCGCGTGGGCTGGTGCCGGCCGCTGGAACCAGCTGGGTGGGGCCTGTGCCTGCCCCCTGAGCCTGTCTCCCCCCTCCTCAACCCTAGATTTACTGTCAGAACCTGTGTCTGCTGGCCAAGCTTTTCCTGGACCATAAGACACTGTACTTTGACGTGGAGCCGTTCGTCTTTTACATCCTGACTGAGGTGGACCGGCAGGGGGCCCACATTGTTGGCTACTTCTCCAAGGTGCTGGGTCTGGAAACTCGGGGTGGGGAGGGTGGGGAGGGCGAAGGTGGGCATGAACAGAGAGTGGGGCAGAGCCTCCCCAGCGGCCCTGAGCACCTGCCTCCTGCAGGAGAAGGAGTCCCCGGATGGAAACAATGTGGCCTGCATCCTGACCTTGCCCCCCTACCAACGCCGCGGCTACGGGAAGTTCCTCATCGCTTTCAGTGAGTGGTTCCTGGCCTGTCTGGGAGGGGGAGACCTGTGGGGCAGGGGTGCCAGGGCAGGCTGGATCCTAAGTTCCTCTTTCTACTGCTGCCAGGTTATGAGCTCTCCAAGCTGGAGAGCACAGTCGGCTCCCCGGAGAAGCCACTGTCTGACCTGGGCAAGCTCAGCTACCGCAGCTACTGGTCCTGGGTGCTGCTAGAGATCCTGCGGGACTTCCGGGGCACACTGTCCATCAAGGACCTCAGGTGAGGGGGCCTCCCGGGCCCTGGGGGCAGGACTTGCCCTGAGATGGGCCACGATCCTGCTTCCTCATACCCTGTCACCATCCTGGCCAGATCCCACAAGGGCACCAGGTCTGGCATTTGCTCTCATCCCTTTTTGCAGCCAGATGACCAGTATCACCCAAAATGACATCATCAGTACCCTGCAATCCCTCAATATGGTCAAGTACTGGAAGGGCCAGCACGTGATCTGTGTCACACCCAAGCTGGTGGAGGAGCACCTCAAAAGTGCCCAGTATAAGAAACCACCCATCACAGGTGGGTGGGGGGCTGCTGTGTGTCGGGGGCGGTGGGGGAGTGTCAGTATATGGACTGGTAGGAGTCAAGGCCTCCTTATTGCTGTCACATGATCCCAAACCAGTCAGACCAGCTCCCAGGATGGAGCCCGGGGCAGGCCTCTCATTCCTGGGCTTCCCTACCCCTCCCCAGCACAGCCTGCCCTTTTGTTCTCACCTGGAGGAGGTGAAACTGGCCTGAGCCCAGAGGAGGGCAGCCAGGTGTGAGCTGGCCTGGCCCAGGCCCAGCCCTGCCTCCCGCCCCTTCTCCCCACAGTGGACTCCGTCTGCCTCAAGTGGGCACCCCCCAAGCACAAGCAAGTCAAGCTCTCCAAGAAGTGAGCAGCCTGGCCCCTGCTGTCGGACCTGAGCCTCCTGGCTCCCAGCCTGTAAATATGTATAGACCTGTTTTGTCATTTTTTTAATAAAGTCAGTTCTGGTGGCCCTGGACTTTGGAGGGGAAGGGGAGGCCAAGAGCGGATGTTCTTCATTTCACTTCACACATGCACGGCAAGTTGTGCTCAAACATTTTAATCATTTCTGCCCTGTTACTCCCACCCCAGATCCAAGCGCCAGCCCAGTTCCGGTGGGGGCTCAGTCCTCCGGAGTCCAGGAGTCAGGGCTCGGGGGCGCTCAGCGGCCAGTGGGCAAGATTGGGGCCTTTCCTGTCCTCGAAGCTGCACAAAGGTGGCCCCAGCCCAGAACACAGGGAGAGGGCAGAGAGATGTGCTCATCAGTCTGGGCAGGCGGGCCGGGAGCAGTCTTCCAGAAACAGGTGGGAGCCAGGGCTCATTTTCATAGCCAAGGGTCCCAGGAGCTCCCCAGGAGCTCGGCCAATGGGCTGGTCCATGGTGGGTGAGGGGCCAGAGGCTCTGGCCATTGCTACAGGCAGTAAAACTCCTGACTCTCAGTGATGGTCCCAAAAAGCACACCCAGAAGAATGGGCTCAAAGATCAAGATGGGGCCCCAGCCTCCCGCAGAGTCCTGAAGGAAGGAGTGGCTCAAGTCAGGCCCTGGGTCCAAAGGCCATCAGGGAAGGACCAGGCTCCTGTCCTTGAGTGTGATGCATCCATCCTGGAAGTAGGGCCAGCTCAGTGCTCGCTGAGCCATGGGGAGAGGAGGCCCAGAGCCAGGCCCAGAGGCAGGAAAAGGATGGGCCTCAGCAAGCCCTGGGCTGGGGCAGAGCTGAAGGCCAGGTGGCTGCCACAGAGGTTGCTGTCGGGCTGGGACTCCTGGGTTTGGGGCACCACACGAGGCTGGAGTTCTGTCACCTTGCTTTGGATCCAGGAGGCATAGCTGGAGGCCAGAGTGTACACACCAGGCCTGTTGCGGGCCCCACAGGCATCTCCCCAGCTCACAATGCCCGTCAGGTACCAGAGACCCTCCACAGGGCAGGAGAGTGGGCCCCCAGAGTCACCCTGAGGAGAGAAGCCACACAGCAGCCATCAGGACCGGGCCAGGCCTCCTTTCCGAAGTTGCACTGGTCATCTGCCCCCCGGGCCTGTGCTTACCTGGCAGGCGTCCTTGCCCCCCTCCACATAGCCAGCACACACCATGTCCTCTTGGACAAAGTGCGGCTCCTCAGGCTTGGCGTCGATGTTGTACAGGCAGTTACACGTCTCACGACTGATCAGAGGCACCTCGAGTTGCTGCAGTGGCTTGGGCGTCAGGAGGCTCACTGTGGGGGTAAAAGAGGCTTACCCTGGGCCCCTCCCCAAGTCAGGTGCCCCTCCACACCTCTAGGCACCCAGCGTCCCACCTCACCTGAGGGGGCCACATGACCCCAGCCAGTGACAGTGCAGTGGAGGCCGTTGGGGAAGGAGGCGTTGGCTGCAGGGAGGCAGATGGGCCGGATGTAGCGGGAGAAGGTGATGGGTCTGCTGAGTTGGAGGAGTGCAATGTCGCCCTGGGAGCCCTCCTGGAGGTAGCTGGGGTGGGGGATGATGTCCTTCAGGGTGCTGACCTTGGCGTCCTCGGAGTAGGAGTCTAGCTGGTGGGCCCCCAGCTTGACCTCATAGGCTTCCTTGTGGTGCTCGCTGCAGGCAGGGGGCAAAGGCTGAGACCCAGGAGACCTCTCCTTGTTCCCCAACCCCCACTGCCAACCCCTGATTCCGATCAGCCCCTTTTAGGTCTCAAATTGCACCTTAGTTTTATCATGTAACCTCTGACCCCTCACCTTCACTCCTAACTGGTCCTTCCAGACTTAGAACTGACACTCTCAGACCCAACCCAAGAACCCCAACCTCTGACCTGGATTGACCCATTAACTTTGACCTCCAGCCCACTTTTGACTTTCACCATTTGGTACCTGGGGAAGCAGTGAGCAGCTGACAGCACCCACTGCTCAGACACGAGAGAGCCACCACACACATGGACGCCTTCATAGGTGATGCTGACCTGCCAGGGCCACTGACCGGCGACTGCACTGCTGCCACCTGTGATGCGTGCTTGGGGGGCCACACCGCAGGGAGCTGCCCAGGGAGGAAGGGAAGGGGTCAGGTTGTTAGCCTGGCCACTCCTATGCAGCCCAGGAGCTCTGATATAGAGCTTGGGAAGTGGGTTCACAGGAGTCAACACCCCTTTGTCCCCTCCCAGGCATGGGCAGTTGTGCCCCTTCTGTCCACTACCCATTACCTAATTCAGGTCTCATGGCAGCTTCTCTCCTTGCAAGCCTTCCATCCATCCCGCCCCTTACAAGTCTGAAGATTTTCATAAACCCCCAATCTGACCAGGCCACAGCCCTGCTTAAACCCTTCTTGGCTCCACGCGGTCCTTAAGATACATTCCAGACAGACCATGGCACCGCCATCGGACCCAGCCGTCCCCTCTGGACCCTTCAGTTGTGTACATCAGGCCACACACTTGTTTACCCGGGACCTTGGCTGATCCAGGTCACTCTACCTGGTATGCCCTTCCCCATCCTTACTGTCTGGCAAACTTCCCTTTGCCTGTGGATGCTTGATTGGAACAGCAGCCCCTCCGTAGACAGGCGGGCTTCTGCTGGCTGAGTTGGGCATTGCCTCCGAGCCCAGCACCCCCCAACCTCCACCATGCTCCCCGATGCTGCCCAGTCTCACAATTGTTCCGGAGTCCACAACTGTGTCTGTTTCCACCACACCAATCTGGGCATTCCCTAGGGGCAGATTCTCATGTCTGCAGTGCCTGTGGCGTCGTGGACATATATTCAACAAACCAACAGCAGAACTGGGCTCCTGTGATGTGAATGTCTAGTTTCCAGGACAGCCCCAGCCCCACCCCCATTGAGGCCACTTTGGAGTGGAGCCCAACTGCTCTTCACAAAGTCATCTAGGAGCAGAGAAAATTGCAGACCAGATCTTTCTCTCCCTTATCATCATGACAATAGCCACTATTTAGAGAGCCTAGCGGCTGTGCCAGGCCCTGGAGGGGCTTTCGCTTCCTCATCTCCCTGCATCCTCTCCACAGCCCCAGGAGACGGACATGACCAGCTTCATTTTAGAGGTGAGGAGTCTAAGGCTTAGAGAAGTGGGGGGACTTGGCCAATGACACACAGCCAGTGCATGGGGAAGCCAGGATTGAAAGCCGGTCTGACTCAGAGCTGGGTTGGGTGCCTTCCAAGAAAGGAGACCCTTGGTTTGGTTCCCTCAAAACCACCTCCAGGATGGGAACGGTGGCTCACACCTGTAATCCCAGCACTTTGAGAGGCCAAGGCAGGAGGATCGCTTGAGCCCAGGAGTTCAAGACCTGCCCGGCCAACATAGTGAGACCCACATCTCTACCAAACAAAAACAAAAACAAAAACAAAACACAACTAGCTGGGTGTGATGGCATGCACCTGTAGTCCCAGCCACTAGGGAGGCTGAGGTGGGGAGGTGGGAGGATCACGTGAGCCCGGGAGGCTGGATCACTGAGACTGCAGTGAGCTGCGATCGGGCCACTGCACTCCAGCCTGGGTGACGACAGACCCAGACCCTGTTTCAAAAGACAAAAACCAAACCAAAAAAACCACCTCGATTGCCCCACTTTGGGAGTCAGACGTGGATCTGAATCCCAGCTGCACCTTCACTGGCAGTGTGCCCTGGGCAAGTCCCTGCTTCTCTGCCCATAAGGTGAGGGCTAAAACCCCCCACTCTGGGAGCCCTAAGAGAATCTAGTTGGAAGGCAGCCCAGCTGAAGGCCAGGCACTGGTTAAACCCCAGGGGAATCCGATCCAAGTCACCTCCCCCTCCCCTCCTCCCTCTCCGAGGAAAGTCTCACCTTCTGCCCCTTCCGCTCCTAGAAAGAAAGAGAAAGAGGAGGGGTGAGTAGGGAAGACTCGGGTTCCCTGACCCCTTAGTACCCACCACTGCTCCAGAGGGCTGGCCCCTTCCCTGACAGAGCCAAGGTGGGAAAGAGAGGCCAAGAGCTAGGGAGGCCGGGGGTTTTCTTGGGCCCCAGACAAGGGCACACCCCAGAAAATGATCACGCCGGCTCCCTCCAGTGCATTGTCCCCACCCTGCCCCCACGTCCTCACTTACCTGTCCCCGACCGGAGTAATCCAAGATAGAGCAGAATGGCCACAGCCCCCAGCTGCCCAGGCCCCAGGACCCCCTTCTGGGCCATGGCCCAGGACAAGGGCCCCTGGGGCAGACTCCAGGCACGCAAGGTAGGAAGCCTTGGGGTGGTGTCGAAGGCAGGACCCAGATGTTGGCTCAGAGGGAAGGATCCCAGAATCCGGGCTGGAAAGGGGCAGCAAGTGTCCAAGGCTGGCCTCTAAGGCAGGGAGCGGCCGCAACGGGAGACGCCTGGAGTATCCGAAGCGAGCAGTGTGGACGAGTCACCAGCACCGTCTGGCCACGCAGGGTCCTCCCAGGAGTGGCTGCACCTACCTGCCCGCCCCTCCCCTGGCCCCGCCCACTGGCTGGGCTCCGCCAGCTCCTCTTGCCACCAAAGTCATGAGTCCTTTCAGAGCTGCAGGCCCGTGTGTGTGCATGTATGTGTCCGTGTGTATGTGTGTGCACATGCATAGGCCTTTTGTGTGTGTGTCCCGGTGTGTAGTGTGTATGTGGTGTGTGTGTATGCCTGTGTAGGCTGTGTGTGTCCTCTTATGTGGTGTGGTATGTGTGTGTGTGTGCATGTACAGGCTGTATGTGCACATGTGTAGGCTGTGTGTGTCCCTGTGTGTGTAGTGTGTGTGTCTGAGTGTGCGTGCATGCACGTGCATGTGGTTTGTGTGTGTGTGCAGTCTCCCTGGAATGTGACGACTCTCCTCCGCCTCAGGTCTTTCAGGTTATCTCAGGCCAGTTATGCCCCCCAGGGCCTGGCCCCAGCTTTTATTATCTGGAGCCACAGCCACTCCTCCCTTCTTCCCTCCCTCCTTAGGCTGGTTATGGGAGCTTAAGACACTATGGTCTGTCCCCTGCCAGGCCCTTTCTGCGATGCCTGCACCTCATGGGTGGTGGCGAGCTTGTGGAGCAGCACCAATCATCCCACAGACATTTCCTAAGTGCCTATGATGTTCCCAGGTGTCCAGGACAAAACAGGCACCAGCCCCGTCCCCCTTGAGCCCTGAGCTCATGGTGAAGTAGGGGTGACACACTTCAATCAAATAATCACAAACAGGCTGGCAAGGTGGCTAGTCGGCTTTGGGAGGCTGAGGCTGGAGCATCACTTGAAGCCAGGAGTTCCAGACCAGCCTGGGGAATATAGCGAGGCCTCATCTCTACAAAGAAATATAAAAATTAGGCAGGCATTGTGGCGCATGCCTATGGTTCCAGCTATTTGGGAGGCTGAGGCAGGAGGATTGCTTGAGCCCAGGAGTTCAACGAAGCATTGAGCTATGATCACGCCACTGCACTCCAGCCTGGGCAACAGAGGGAGACCCTGTCTTAAAAAAAAAAATTGCAATTACACAATAATTTCAAGCTAGGAATAGTGATGAAAAAGAATGGCGTGAGCACACCACAGCCTGGCAAAGGCTGGCATTGTGAAAGGGTCCTCGAGGAATTGCCTTGGAAACTGAGACCGAAAGGGATTATAAAAGGTGGTAAGGCGAAGATGGGGGGATGGGGTGCAGAGGGCAGAGGCTCAGGGAAAGAAGGCTTGCCGTGTGGCTGCGGTGGGAGTGAGGCATGTATCCTCCTTGAGGGCCACTCTGGCCGTTCAAAACACCTGTTGAGGCTGGGTGTGGTGGCTCACGCCTCTAATCTCGGCACTTTGGGAGGCCAAGGCACACGAATCACGAGGTCAGGAGTTTGAGACCATCCTGAACAACATGGTGAAACCCCATTTCTACTAAAAATACAAAAATTAGCCAGGCGTGGTAGCACGCACCTGTAATTCCAGCTACTCAGGAGGCTGAGGCAGGAGAATCGCTTGAACCCAGGAGGTGGAGGTTGCAGTGAGCCGAGATATTGCGCCATTGCACTCCAGCCTGAGCGACAGAGCGAGACTCCGTCTCAAAAAACAAACAAACAAAAAAAATTGTGGAGCTTGGATGTGGTGGCTCACACCTATAATCCCAGCACTTTGTGAGGCCAAGGTGGGAGGATCATTCTCAAGATCAGGAGTTTGAGACCAGCTTGGCCAACATGGTAAAACCCCGTCTCTCCTAAAAAATACAAAGAAAATTAGCCAGGCGTGGTGGCGCATACCTGTAATCTTAGCTACTCGGGAGGCTGAGGCAGGAGAATTGCTTGAACCTGGGAAGCCAAGATTGTGCCACTGCACTCCAGCCTGGGCAACAGAGGGAGACTCCATCTCAAAATAAATAAATAAATAAAATAAATAGGCCAGATGCAGTGGCTCACGCCTGTAAATCCCAGCACTTTGGGAGGCTGAGGTGGGCGGATCATCTGAGGTCAGGAGTTCAAGACCAGCCTGGCCAACATAGAGACACCCCACCTCTACTAAAAATACAAAAATTAGTTGGGCATGGTGGTGGGCACCTGTAATCCCAGCTTCTCAGGAGGCTGAGGCAGGAGAATTGCTTGAACCTGGGAGGTGAAGGTTGTAGTGAGCCGAGATTGCGCCATTGAACTCCAGTGTGGGCGACAATAGCAAAACTCTGTCTCAAAAAATTAAAAATAAATAAGTTAAATAAAAATACAAAAATTAGTCCGGCATGGTGTCTTGAGTCTGCAATCCTAGTTACTTGAGTCTGAGGCAGGAGGATCGCTTGAACCCAGGAGGTGGAGGTTGCAGTGAGCCGAGATTGCACCACTGCACTCCAGCCTGAGCATCAGTATGAGACTCTGTCTCAAAAAAAAAAAAGTGGAGATGGGGGTCTTGCTTTGTTGCCCGGGCTGGTCTGGAATGCCTGGCCTCAAGCGATCCTCCCAAAGTGCTGGGATTACAGGCATGAGCTGCCGCACCTCGTCTCTGGTTTTGCGTTACTTTTTAATTGTAGATTCATTGGCTGGAAACCACCTTCCCTTTTTCTGTGCTCAAACATCACTGCTATGACATCTTCCCAATCCCAGCCAGGGATGTCCACATGTGTCCCCACTAGATTGGGAGGACTTTGTGGGCTTATATATCAGACCCCAATTGTGCCACGACTTAGTAGCCACCAGGGAACACGGGTTGAATGAATGCAGGGAGGTGCAGGTAAGCAGTGGGTAAGGGAGTGAGGTTCACATATAAGGGACCCAAGTTCTGGGCAGAATGTGAAAGTGGCAGACCCTTGAAGGGCCCAAGTGTTGTGTGTGTGCAGGGGATACATCGGAGCATTGTGCATTGAGGTGTGTCTATGGCGGGCAGCGAGGGCAGCGGGTCTGAGCAGGGGATGAGATGTCCAGCACGTGCCGAGGGTGCTGACTCCACTGGGCAGGTGACACACAGCCAGCTGGCCACCCGACTTCCCTGCCCTGGGACAGGAATGAAGGAATCGCTGCCAGGTTATCAGGGTACATTTCCTGAGAGCCCAAGGCCTGACTCAGAGGCCGGAGGAGGGAGGAGGGAGGGGACCTCCCCCTTGGGCTTCCCGCTTAGCCTCTGATGCCCAGCCCCTCAGCCTGCCCACGGCGATGCCACAAGGCCACACAGGTACCTGTGTTTACACCTTTATTGTCCGCTCCTCCCACCACCCCCAAGGATTCCTGGGTTCAAAATAGCCCGGGCACTGAGGCCCAATTAGCCAGAGCCGCTGCAATCTCGGTGGGTGGGGCCCTTGAGGTTCCAGCCGGCTGGGCCACATTCCAGCCCCACTGGGCGGGAAGTAGAGGGTGGAGAAGGGGGAAGTGGTGCTGGGACCCTAGCCCCTCAGCTCTGGATCAGGAGAGTCAGCAGGAGCAGGAAGTAGACTGCATGCGGGGATCCCGAGGCCTTGGCCAGTTCTGGGGGGCAGAGATTGCTGCCTCCAGTGGGCCAGTGTGGGGAGCCACTGGGGGGCAGGAAGTTGGCCTCTCCCACTGTCTGGGAGATCCAGGCCTCTTCAGGACCAATGGCAGCAAACAGCTCCCGGCTCCCTTGAACAGCCATGCCCACGAGGATCCAGGACCCTTCCGTCATCTGGCACAGGAGGGGCGGTGCTGAGGTCATCTGCAGAGTTGGAGCGAGGCCACGTGGGTCTGCTGCCCTTCCT
Organism: Homo sapiens; assembly: GCF_000001405.40. Taxonomy (NCBI): domain Eukaryota; kingdom Metazoa; phylum Chordata; class Mammalia; order Primates; family Hominidae; genus Homo; species Homo sapiens. The sequence continues at coordinate 31,139,460 of NC_000016.10, forward strand.
CTTGGTCCCCTCCCCCTTTCCCCAGGGTCTGGCCACGAAGCACTCTGGTCTGCATCCCTAGACATCCAGGTCCCTGGTTTCTCTCCCGGGTCCAGCTAGGGTCCCATTTGGGGCCAAATACCCAATAATTCCAATCCTGGCCAGGTGCAGTGGCTCACACCTCTAATCCCAACCCTTTGGGAAGCCAAGGTGGGCGGATCATTTGAGGTGAGGAGTTTGAGTCCAGCTTGGCCAACATGGTGAAACCCTGTCTCTACTAAAAATACAAAAATTAACCAGGTGTGGTGGTGCATGCTTGTAATCCCAGCTACTAGGGAGGCTGAGGCAGGAGAATCTCTTGAACCTGGGAGGTGGAGGTTGCAGTGAGCCAAGATCACACCACTGCACTCCAGCCTGGGTACCAGAGCGAGACTCAGTCTCAAAAAAAAAAAAAAAAAAAAAAAAAAATTCCTTGGCCGGGCGCAGTGGCTCACACCTCTAATCCCAGCACTTTGGGAGGCCGAGGCCGGCGGATCACGAGATCAGATCAAGACCATCCTGGCTCACACAGTGAAACCCCGTCTCTACTAAAAATACAAAAAATTAGCCGGGCGTAGTAGCGGGTGCCTGTAGTCCCAGCTACTCGGGAGGCTGAGGCAGGAGAATGGCATGAACCAGGGAGGTGGAGCTTGCAGTGAGCCGAGATCGCGCCACTGCACTCCAGCTGGGGGACAGAGTGAGACTCTGTCTCAAAAAAAAAAAAAAAAAAAAATTCCAATTCTGCTATCTCTCTAGGGTACAGTAGTCCAACACTGCCTCTCCCCTGCCTACTCCAGGACGCCCAGGCCCCTGTACCTCACACCTGTTCTCCTGCCCCTCTGCATACAGGACACAGAGGGTTCCAGGGGGCAGGATGCCCTGATAGAGGCAGTCACAGATTCGTTGTGTCAAGATGGAGACAGCAGCAGCCACAGGGACTGGGGAGAGGAGACAAAGTTGTTCCAGGGCTCTGGCCTCCAGCTACTCCTCGTTCCCGTGACCCAGGGGTCTCACCTCGGTCCTGGGGTTCTTTCCAGCCCAACACCCAGCAGCTGGCCCCCGGGGGGATACCCGCCGGGTGGAGACAGATGGGCAGGGCTGATGGGGAGGGCTCCACCCGGGAGCTCAGCTCCAGGAGGGCCAGGGGGGGCCTGAGTCCCAGGTGCTGGGGCAGCCGGATGCTGATGACCAAGCGGGATACCTGGTGGCCCTGTGGGAGGGAGCTGGCCCCTGCCCGGCCCAGATACACTTCAATGTAAGGCACTGTTGTAGAGCCTGGCCTGTTGGAACAAGGTCCAATGTCACCTTCTGCTCCTCCCATTGCTGGCAAAGTCCTTCCCAGCCCAGGGGAAGGATGACTCTCTGGGGTCATGCCACTCACTCCTTCATCATCCCTCCTTCCAAATCTCCCTTCTAGGTCAAAACATCTCCCAGTGCTGTAAGATTCTTCCCTCATGCCCCACCCCAGACAGAGTCTTGCTCTGTCGCTCCGACTGGAGTGCAGTGGCGCAATCTTGGCTCACTGCAACCTCTGCCCTCCCTGGGTTCAAGCGATTCTCCTGCCTCAGCCTCCCACGTAGCTGGGGTTACAGGCGCCTGCCACCACCCCTGGCTAATTTTTGTATTTTTAGTAGAGGGGTTTCACCATGTTGGCCAGGCTCGTCTTGAACTCCTGACCTCATGATCTGCCCGCCTCGGCCTCCCAAAGTGCTAGGATTACAGGTGTGAACCATTGCGCCCAGCTGTAAGATGCTTAAAGGAGAATATCCCACTATTTTAAGAGTCCTTTGGGTGAGGCACAGTGGCTCATGCCTGTAATCTTAGTACGTTGGCCAAGGCAGGAGGATTGCTTGAGGCTGGCCTGGGCAACACAGCAAGATCTCATTGTTAATTTTTTTTAAACAAACAAACAAACAAATAACAAAAACAAGTCTTTGGCTCTGTTCCATTCTCCCCTCCCGTCTCTCGCCTAGGAGACGAGTGAGACCCACCTGAGGACACAGTGAGTGGCTGCCAGGACCCAGCCTGGGGCCAGGAGGATCCCAGTGCAGACTCGATCACCAGCCACATGCACCTCTGCCAGCCAGGGCCACAGGACCCCCACTGGAGCAGCCTCCAGCCGCAGGCCACAGGCTAGGGAGAGGAGGTGGCCACCTCAGTTGGGGCCCCATGGCTGACCCCTGAGCCCCTGCCATGGGTCTGTGCACTCCCAGGAGCCCCTAGGGCCCAAAAGCGTCCTGCTCACCACCATGCTCTGTGTGTGGGGGACAAGTCTGTGTCTCAGTCTCCTCCCCATCAGGGCCCCAATCCCAGGCTAGCTGGTCCTCCAGGTAGGCTCCCCGAGTCACATGGCTGATCCATGGGCCATGAGTCTGCAGAGGGAAGAAGGCTCGGGGACGTAGACAGCCACTGGGAAAGTCTCTGATTCCAGCCAGAAACCAGGTCCCCTCCTCCTGGCACAAAAGGCTCCAACGCGAGTCATTCTGCAGCAACAAAGTGTGTGTGTTACTTGCCTCTGCGTGTGTGCAGAGAATATCAGAGCTCCTGGGGCTTTCCAGGACTCCAGATTTTCCCATTTGCGGAAGTATCAAGTTCCACCTTCTCCAAATCAGACTCCAAATACTAATTTGTGTAAGAATTCAGCCCTCACTTTAAGATTCTCCTTAAATCCAGAGATAGAGAGAAACCATAGCACCAGCTCAGAGCCCGCCTCAGCTCCCTCCCAAAAGTTCTCTAGGGGCAGGCCCCACCCCCAGCTCGTTCTGGCCCCGCTTCCACCCCGGCTCCGCCCCATTCCCAGTTCCGCAAGCCCCGCCCCTTCCTAGAGCCCACTCGGACCCGCCTTCCCCAGGCCCCGCTCCCTCCCTAGAGCCCACTCGGACCCGCCTTCCGCAGGCCCCGCCCTCTCCCTAGAGCCCACTTGGACTCGCCTTCCACAGGCCCCGCCCTCTTCCTAGAGCCCTCTCGGGCCCGCGTTCCGCGGGCCCCGCCCCCGCCGCTTACCCAGCAGCTGCCCACCTCCTCCTTTTCCTGGTAGGCAGGGCAGAGCGCGTGCGGCGGGTCTCCGGGCAGCGGTACTGCCGCCCCCTGGCGGCCGTACAGGCAGTGGCACCACCAGCCGCCTAACAGCTCCGCCTCCAGCAGCGCGCCTGGGCCAAGCGCGGGTTCTGGAAGGGAAAAGGCAGGGAGCCCGCGCTGCGGCCCAGACGGCCCCTGCACCGCCCGGTGCCGCCCGGCCCAGCGCCGGTCCCCAGCTCACCCCCGCGGCCCCAGCGGGCCAGGCGGCAGCGGCTCCCGGGCAGGAAGTAGTGTTCCGGGTGGGGTAGGCACACGGGCCGCGAAGCCGCGCTCAGGTTCACGGGCGTGCGCAGCTGCAGCAGCGCCAGGTCCGAGGCGTTGTCCCACGAAGCGTTCTCGTGCTGCACCAGGCGCGCCACCCGCTCCGCGCGCGGGCGCGAGGGCAGCAGCACGCGCCAGGCGTCGAGGTCGCGGGGTGGGCTGTCGGAGCTGTTCGGGCTGCGGGATGGGGGCCGAGGGACGTGGGCCGGATCCCGCACACGTGGCTGGAAACCTCACACCCCGGCTTAGACTTGCCAGGCGAGGATCCTGCATCCTGGCGGGATCCCCACGACACCCCCATTCCAACAGCTCACTCACACCCCCGCCTCCGGGATCGAACTTCTATCTACCATGCCTCTACCCACCCCTGCCAGGCCAGGACCCCTCTTTTTGTGCTGGATCCTACACCTCCGAATGGGACCCCGCCCCCCCCACACCCCCTGGGGAGGGGCTGGGGCCGAATGGATGGTATCTCAGGCTGTAGGGAGGGGCAAGGATCGGCTTGAAACGTAGATTTTCACTCACTCCAGAAAGCAGCTGGCAGGTGCCAAGACCCAGCTTTCAGACACCAGCGCCCCATGGCAGGGTCTGGATCCTGGCACCATCACCTGGGCCTCCCAGGGCCAGGCCCCTGGCCGCGGGGCCTTCCCGCACTCTGAGGGGTGAGAGGCCTGGGTCAGTGGGCCTCCTGCAACCCAATCACTCCCAGCAGTCTCCATCCCAACTCACTCTCCCATGTCCCGCTTACATCCAGGGGTGCCGCCCACTCACCAGGCAGGGCAATGGTGCAGTTCTCCTCCCTGGGCTCCTGGGGATCTGACTGGGTCTTCTGGGGCTGGGTGGGAAAGGCAGGCCCAGGCTCTGAACCCATCACCTGCTCCCGTATCCATGCCTCATAGGTAGCCACAGCAGTGAAAACTCCAGGGCGGTTTCTCCGTCCACAGCCAAAGCCAAAGCTGGTGATTCCTGCCTGGAACCAGCGGCCGCCTTCCTCACAGACCAGGGGCCCCCCAGAGTCACCCTAGTGGCAGATGACTGCATGTCAAGGGGTCAGCCCAGGGACCTACTCGAAAAGGTCCTGCACCTCCTTTTGGCCCAACATACACCACCTTCTCCCTTCTCCTAGAAACCCTCCTTGGCTAGGCCTTGTCCTCTGCATTCCCTGCGGCTCTAAACAGAAGAAATCCCTGTAAGCAGAAGGCCGATGGCAGCCAGAGCCAAGAGCACCAGGGGAGTGCATTCAAAGCCACACAAGATAATCCTGCAGTTGTCATTAGAGCCAAGTGATTCTTGTTGTTACTAGCTCAAATAATTCCCCTCCCTCCCTTCCTTCCTTCTTTCCTTCCCTTTCTTTTTCTTTCTTTCTTTTCTTTTTTGAGACGGAATCTCGCTCTGTCTCCCAGGCTGGAGTGCAGTGGTGCAACCTCAGCCCACTGCAACCTCTGCCTCCCGGGTTCAAGTGATTCTCCTGCCTCAGCTTCCCGAGTAGCTGGGACTACAGGTGTACACCACCACAGCCGGCTAATTTTTGTATTTTTGGTAGAGATGGGTTTTTGCCATGTTGGCCAGGCTGGTCTCAAACTCTCGACCTCAAGTGATCCACGTGCCTCGGTCTCCTAAAGTGCTGGGATTACAGGCGTGAGCCATTGTGCCCAGCCAGTTTGTCTCTTTTTTTGGGATGAGGTATCACTATGTTGCTCAGGCTGGTCTCAGACTCCTGGGCTCAAGTGATCCTCCCGCCTCAATTTTTCTGATTAGCTGGGATTACAGGCATGAGTCACTGCTCCTGGCTATGCTGTCTTTGGTTTTTAAATTCACTCGGCCTTGGCTGGGCATGGTGGCTCATGCCTGTAATCCCAGCTACTTGGGAGGGTGAGCCAGGAGAATTGCTTGAACCCGAGAGGTGGAGTTTGCAGTGAGCCAAGATCGTGCCATTGCACTCCAGCCTGGGCAACAAGAGCAAAACTCTGTCTCAATAAATAAATAAATAGCTGGGCATGGTGGCTCACGCCTGTAATCCCAGAACTTTGGGAGGCCGAGGCAGGCGGATCATTTGAGGTCGGGAGTTCGAGACCAGCCTGACTAACATGGAGAAACCCCATCTCTACTAAAAATACAAAATTAGCTGGCCGTGGTGGCACATGCCTGTAATCCCAGCTACTTGGGAGGCTGAAGCAGGACAATCGCTTGAACCCGGGAGGCAGAGGTTGTGGTGAGCTGAGATCGTGCCATTGTACTCTAGCCTGGGCAATAAGAGTGAAACTCCGTCTCGGCCGGGCGCGGTGGCTCACTCCTGTAATCCCAGCACTTTGGGAGGCTGAGGCGGGTGGATCACGAGGTCAGGAGATCGAGACAATCCTGGCTAACCTGGTGAAATCCCGTGTCTACTAAAAATACAAAAAAAAAATTAGCTGGGCGTCGTGGCGGGCATCTGTGGTCCTAGCTACTCGGGAGGCTGAGGCAGGAGAATTGCGTGAACCCGGGAGGCGGAGGTTGCAGTGAGCTGAGATCATGCTACTGCACTCCAGCCTGGGCGACTGAGCAAGACTCCGTCTCAAAAAAAAAAAAAAAAAAAAAGGAACTCCGTCTCAAAAAATAAATTAAATAAATAAATAAATAAATACATAAATAAATTCACTTGGCCAGGCGCAAGTGAATGCAAAATTAGCAGTCTGTGGTGGTGCATGCCTGTAATCTCAGCTACTTGGGGGGCTGAAGCACAAGAGTCGCTTGAGCGGTGGGGGTGGAGCAGGGGGAGGTTGCAGTAAGCCGAGATTGCGCCACTGCAGTCCAGCCTGGACGACAAAGTGAGGCTCTGTCTCAAAATACACAAACAAAAAACTTCACGTCAACCCCATCCCTTGGCAATCTTGCCCTCCTTTTGCAGATGAGGCTTGGAGAGATGTCCTTTATCTATTTGTCACTGGTTAGGACTCTGGCCCTGCCAGGCAGGTGCCGGGGCCTTCCCTCACCTGGCAGGTGTCCCTGCGGCCCTCTGGGTAGCCAGCACACAGCATCCCTGGCAATATCTGGAGAGTGAGGTTGAAGGGACCGGGCTGGCTGTAGAGACATTGACAGGTGGCCTCGCCCAGCAGCCTTAGCTCCACTTCCTGTAGCACCCAGGGGAGAGGCAGAGGATCTGGAGGCAGAACCAGAGAGCAGGTGCTGTGAGGCAGGTATGGCATCCCCAGTTCCCAGGGTTCAGGTTTGCCTCCTGCGGCTGCTTCTTGGACATCAGCTAGATGCCCCATGGCCTCTCAGCCCACCACATTCACCACATCTCCTCCTGCTTCTATCTGTTCTTTCTACTTTTTCATCTCAGGAATGGTCTCATCAAGCTCCTAGTGAGAGCTGCCATGCATGGTTGTGCAGGTTGTGCACTGCAACAAAGGATGCAATGTAGGGACTAAAACCATTAAGTTCTGAGCTCTCACGTGGAGTTGTGTTGGTCCAGAGACATCTTTTCACAGAGATGCCATACGGACTTGACATGGTCCTGTCCTGAGTTGCCAAGCATGGAATCTGGGTGTCATCCCTGTCTCCTCTCTCAACTCCCCTCCTCCAGTCAGTTCCCAGTTCATGAAAACCTCTCATTTGTGACGTCTTGGCATTCTAAACAACTACACTAGTTGAGGCTGCATAGCTTTGGGCCTGGATAACTGACCCAGCCTTCTGATCCACTCTTCACTTCAGCAATGAAGAGGAATGCTACTCAAGTTCAGTTCTGATCTCACCAAGAAAAATAAACGGATCACACTGTCTAAACTTGGTGCTGCAGCCCATCCTGCTTTTGACGGAAACAGCTTCAGGATCCAGAAAGGAGTAGGGGGTGGGGGGAAGTACAGACAGAACTCCTTCCCCAACTCACTCAGAATCTGAGGTCAAAGGCGCGGTGACTCACACCTGTAATTCCAGCACTTTGGGAGGCCGAGGCAGGTGGATCACCTGAGGTTAGGAGTTCAAAACTAGCCTGCCCAACATAGTGAAACCCTGTCTCTACTAAAAATACAAAAAATTAGCTGGGCGTGGTGGTGGGTGCCTATAATCCCAGCTACTTGGGAGATTGAGGCAGTAGAATCTGCTTGAAGCTGGGAGGCGGAGGTTGCAGTGAGCCTAGATCGCGCCGTTGCACTCCAGCCTGGGCAACAAGAGTGAAACTCTGTCTCAAAAAGAAAAAAAGAATTGATGAAAAAAAGAAAAGAATTTGAGGTCAGGTGATGGCTGAAGCTGTACTTGGGGCTCACCAGGGAAGTTGGGGATTGTCCTGGGCGTCCCTGGAGCTGGTGGGGTGCTCTGGCCCTCAGTCTGATCTTAAGGTCTTCATGGCCGGGCCACAGCAGCCTTTGCAGCCCAGGTGCCTGTACCCCTCTCACTCCAGCCTGGCATCCTGGCCCTTCTTCATCTAACATGACTTATCTGGGTCCACAGGGTGGCCTTCATCTCCCCCCATCTTCCTGCAATGTACCCTCTCTTCAAAAATCTCTGCAGAAATCTCCCTCTCTGGGTGCCCATTGTTAGGATGGCCTGGCCCCATTCACACAGACTTCCTGGGGCTCACAGTGACGCTTCCTCATCACCTCCTGCCCTGATGGGACCTCCACAAGCAGAGGCTGTAGCATCTTCCCCTGTAGCACCTACCCAAAGCCCCGAGGATGGGCACAGGTCTGACCACGGCTGATGTGGATATTTGTGGGGGCCCTGGGAGCATGGAAAGCTTGGGTGATGGGGATGATGGGGATGGAGATTTGGTCTATTCCCCCCCACCTTCTAACATAATGCGTGCTTATTTATTGAATTTGTTGCTTGTCTATCTCCTAGGATGTAAACTCTGAAAAGGCAGGATTTTGGCTTTTTATGTTCACTGGTGTCTCTCTAATGCCTAACACGGTGCCTGGCATGTAGAAGGTGCTCAAGAAATATCTTGAGTGAAAGAATGATTGAATGAATGATGGTGGGTAGGAAGAAGAGAGGAGGTGGGGAGTAGAGAGATGAGTGGGGGTGGATGGAATGAGAGGAAGGCGGATGGGAGGGAGGCACAGACTGGCATTTGCTGAATATCTATTATAGGCCAGCCTTATGCTGTAGTGCTTTACTATAGATTACCTGAGGTGAAATATGTAAAGTGCATTGGTTATTGCTATGCCAGGCACTGTACTATGAACTTTACATGGATTTTCTCATTTAATCCACTCAACCACCCCTTGAAGTGGGTATGGCTATTTTCCTCGTGTTACAGATGAGGAAATGTACTGGGTGAAGTGCTTTGTCTGACATGTTAGAGCTGGGATGGGAACCCTAGTCGGAGCCTAAACCCAGGAAAGAAAAAACTGGAAGGACAGGTAAGGAGGGAATGGGGTGCGTGTGGGTGATTCCGTGGTCTTAGTTTGAGAATCCTTGCAGGGAGAAGGCTACATGGAGATCGGTGTGGGATTCATCCACCGACCCGCAGAAACCTACCCTCCAACGCTCCCCGCAGGCTCCGCTCCGTGGCCCCACCTCCTGAGGCCCCGCCCTAGGAACCTCACCTCTCGAAGCCCCACCTCCCCGAGGCCCTCCCCTCTTGTCCCGTCCCACTCACCTGCCTCCTGGACGTCTCCCCAGCCGGTGGCCCAGCAGGCGGTGCCGTGCACGAAGCGGTGTGAGGCGCGGGGCAGGCAGACAGGCCACACGGCGGGGCCCAGGCTGGCGGGTGAGGCCAGGCGCAGCAGGGCCAGGTCGGCGCCCAGCTCCACTTGGCTGTAGTTGGCCGGCACCACGATGGCGGCCACTGCGCGGGTGTGCGCGCCGTCCAGGGGCCCGTCCTGGGAGTGCACGCCCAGCAGTACCGACCACTCGGCCGCGGGCTCCAGCGTCCCATTCCTGCGCTCGACCGGGGCAGTAGGAGGTTAGGTTGACCCTATGGAGGGGGCAGACCCTCGTTGGGGGCAGGGGCTCAGAGCCAGAGGGGCAGGTGCTATCCGATCCAGATTTGGTGCTGATACTCCTCAAAGGGGAAGAGCAAATCCGATTTGGAGCTGGTGGTGGGGGGGTCATTGGAAAGATGGGATTCAGACCCGGATATTGAGTGGAGTGGTGGGACCAGTCCGGCAGCCTTGCCCCACTCGGAACCATGATGCCTCGAATAGCACCTCGCTTTGGGGACAGCTTGGCTCCAAATTATCCTTGAGGACGGAAGTGGGGCGGGAGGAGGGGACCAACTGCGGGGGCGGGGGCCAGCTTTTGGCGGAGAGGGGCCAGGACCAGGGCGAATACTCACGTCATGAAACAGTGAGCAGCGGAGAGGACCCAGGAGGGGGCGATGAGGGAGCCCCCGCAGATGTGGCCACCTCCATGGTGCAGGCTCACTTGCCAAGGCCAGGTGCCCGGCTGCGCGTTTGAGCCCCCCACGATGCGGGCCGAGGGCTCAGGGCGCCCGCAGTCTGCAACGGGGAGCCGTGGAAGCCAAAGCTCCCCTCGGGTTCCCCACTCCAGAAGCCCAGGTAACTCAGGACGAAGGCCCGTCCTCCACCCACTTCAGTTTGCCCCTCTGAACAAAGAACATAGAGGACCCAGGCTTGTCTACATTTCTGGTCTTTTCCACCTCCCTCATGGCCTGACCAGCCTTAGCCTCCTTTAAGGTCTGAGGGTGCCAAGGCCTCTTCCTTACCCAGATCTTCAGGTTCTTCCTGGGTAGGACTGAGAGCTGGGAGCCAGAGGGGAAAGAGAGGAGGACACTTGTGACTTCCAGGCCTGCACCGCCCAGCCCCACTTCCTGCTCTCCAACCCCCGACCCTATCTTCCCACTTCCCTGTCCGTTCAGCAACCCCTGCCAGCACCCATGCCAGTCCTCTGGTCTTTTCTGCCTCTGCACGTGACTTTCCCCCAGTCCGGCTACCTTACCTGAGTCCTGGAAGGCTCCTGGGATGGGACTGATGACTGGAAAGACAGAGGTAGGCAGGAAGAGGCTGGCGACTCGCACTCAGTATGTGCCCTCCCTGACTCCCTCCCCCAGCCTCCTAGCCTCCGTCTCCCCAGGGCACCCAGGCCTCCCTCTCCCTCCTCTGATACATCCTCGCCTTCTGCTGCCTCACTTCCTTCTCTCTGACTTCCTGCTCCCCACACAGAAACCAGGAATCCTGCTCTCCAGCCCCCCAGATGCCAGGACCCAGGCCCTTTGCAGCCACTCTTGTCCCCTGAGGTTACCAAGCATCACAAGGGGGAGGAGCAGGTGCCGGGCCATGGCGCTAGAGTCAGCGGAGGCAGAGCCAAGTGAAGGTCTGCTCCCTGCAGGGCTCTGTCACTGCCCAGGCAGCCCGTGACTCCTGATGGTCCCAGGGGCAGCCCCACCCTCCCTGGCTGGAGCCCATCTCTGGGAATCTGAGAGGATCTGGGGCTGGAAGGGGGAAGCTGGGGAGCCTGAAGGCCCCACCCAGAGCCCTGCGCACATCTCATGTCTCTGGAGGCCCAGGGTGGGGGTGGAGGACAGGTGTCCTAGCTCCTGGACACCTGTTGGGTGGGAGAGGGAGGGATGAAAAACACTGCAGGCAAAGGTCAAAGAGGAGGACAGTGTTCTGTGTCCTTGGTGAGCAGTGGCCCTTAGGACAGGGGAAGTGGCCCCTCACGGGCATGACTCATCGGAGACCTCACCTCTGTTTGGGGTGCGGCTGCCCCAGTGGCTTGGCCTTTTCTTCTCACACAGCTCTGGTTACTGGAGCTGCTGGCCAGGTCTGGGACAGGAGCCCTAGGGAATTCAATCCCATCCCAACAAAAGGATCACAGATTCCAGCAGGTTGGGCAGGGCATAGGGACCCTGGGAGGGGGCTGGGCAGGCTGGCGAGGCTGAAAAAGCCTCCACCCTGCTCTGTGTTCCAGTGACAATGCTCTTAGCTGCCCTGTCACTTACTCTGTGTGACTTTGGGAAAGTAACCCAACCTCTTGGTGTGTATCAGTAAGAGCCAGTTTAAGGGACATATGACTTGGCCGAGCACGGTGGCTCACTCCTGTGATCCTAACACTCTGGGAGACTGAGGTGGGAGGATTGCTTGAGGCTAGGAGTTCAAGACCAGCCTGGTCAACATAGCAAGACCCCATCTCTACAAAAAATTAAAAAATACAAAAATTATGAACTGCAGGGCGTGGTGGTGCACGTCTGTATCCCAGCTACTCGGGAGATGAGGTGGGAGGATTGCTTGAGCCTGGGAGGTCGAGGTTGCAGTGAGCTATGATTGTGCCACTGCACTCCAGCCTGGGTGACAAAGCGAGACCCTGTCTCAACAACAACAACAAAAAGAAAAAAAAAAAGAAGAATAAGAAGAAGAAAGAAACATATGGCTCTTCAAAGAGGAGTTGAAGAGAGTTTAAGGAAGAAACTATTTATAGAAGTGTAGGCAGGGTCAAAGGAAACCAAAGAGGCTGGGTGGCTCACGGCTGTAATCCCAGCACTTTGGTAGGCCGAGGCGGGCAGATCACCTGAGGTCAGGAGTTCAAGACCAGCCTGGCTAACTTGGAGAAGCCCCATCTATACTAAAAATACAAAAATTAGCCGAGTGTGGTGGAACTCACCTGTAATCCCACCTATTAGGGAGGCTGAGGCAGATAAAAATGCTTGAACCCAGGACGTGGAGGTTGCAGTGAGCCAAGATAGCGCCGTTGCACTCTAGCCTGGGTGACAAGAGCGAACTCCGTCTCACAAAAAAAAAAAAAAAAAGGAAACCAAAGAGGGATGGTAACGCATCCTGGGGCCAGCAATAATAGAGAGCCCTTGCTACCTGCTGGCCTGAAGAGGCAGAGAGGGGGCAGTTACTGGAACCCAGCAAGAGCTGCAGCTATGGAAGAGATAGCTGTTAGGAGCCGTGGCCTTCAATAGAGAAATGCAGCCTTTACCAGCAGAGAGGGAGTGGGGAAAGAAAAATCCCCATCTCACTCTCATCTCATCCTCTCTATTTTTAATTAAACCAATTAAAAAATTTTAGAGACACGGTCTCACTCTGTCACCCAGGCTGGAGTGCAGTGCTGTGATTATAGCTCACTGTAACCTCGAATTCCTGGGCTTAAGCGATCCTCTGGCCTCAGCCTCCTGAGAAGCTGGGACTACAGGCACGCACCACCATACCCAGCTAATGTTTTTTATTTTTGTAGAGATGGGGTCTTATTATGTTGCCCAGGCTGGTCTCAAACTCCTGTCTCAAGCGATCTTGCTGCCTCAGTCTTCCAAAAGTGCTGGGATCCTCCCATCCTCTGATCACCCCCTGGCTCTTTTCATTGAAACCTCCCAGAGGCCAGAGTTCAAGGGAGACCATTATATGGTCCATAAAGGTCACTCTTAGGGAACAAATCAGGGTGGACAGCAGAAATGCAGGGTCAACCCAGGAATATTTACACATGTGTATCTATCTTCTTACTGATAATATCAATTAATAATAATATTGGTCTATGAGTCTAGTTGCCCTAGAAAACAGGCCTAGGCAAAGCCTGCATGCTTGTGCTTAATTGGGAGGTGCAATCCCAGGGTGGCAAGATTGAGGGAAAATGAGAAGTGAGCAGGAAGAGGGAAAATGCAAATTCAGCCACCCAGCAACGGACTGGGCTCAATTGATAAACCTGCTAGCCTTAGCCTGTCCACAGGAAACGATGGAGGTAAATTGAGTCTTAACTTCAGATTTCTTAACAATGAGAGCCTCCTCAGGCATTTGTTTAACTTGCTGCTTGGGTAGCTATTTGCCCTTCAAAGGATAAATAACCAATCATTTAACCAAAACTCAGAAAAATGAGGTAATGGGCAAAGGTAGGAAAGAAGAGAGTGCAAGTGTCATTGACGCAAAACATGCACGCCCTGGAGACCCTCACCGATACATTGCTTGCTCCAATTTAGTGGTTAATAAACATTTTGGAGCTGGGCGCGGTGGCTCATGCTGGTAATCCCAGCACTTTGGGAGGCCGAGGCAGGTGGATCATGAGGTCAGGAGTTCAAGACCAGCAGCCTGGCCAACATGGTAAAACCCTATCTCTACTCAAAATTAAAAAATTAGCTGGGCATGGTGGCATGTGCCTGTAATCCCAGCTACTCAGGAGGCTGAGACAGGAGAATGGCTTGAACCCAGGAGGCGGAGGTTGTGCTCAGCTGAAATCGCACCACTGCACTCCAGGCTGGGTGATAGAGTGAGACTCTGTCTCGAAATAAATAAATAAATAAATAAAATTTTGGGGCCAGGTGCAGTGGCTCAAGCCTGTACTAGTGCTTTGGGAGGCCAAGATGGGAGGATTGCTGGAGGCCAGGAGTTCTAGACCAACCTGGGCAGCATAACGCGATCCTGTGTGTGGTGGTGTGCACCTGTAGTCCCAGCTGCCCAGGGGTTTCTCCATGTTGGTCAGGCTGGTCTCAAACTCCTGACCTCAGGTGATCCACCTGCCTCGGCCTCCCAAAGTGCTGGGATTACAGGCATGAGCCACCGTGCCCAGCCAAGACAATGATTCTTAACCCTTTCCCCAACCCAGCAGACATGAGGAGTAGGACTTGCTCTGCTAAATAGCACAGACGTTGGCCAGGCGCGGTGGCTCACGCCTGTAATCCTAGCAGTTTGGGAGGCCGAGGCAGGTGTATCACCTCAGGTGAGGAGTTCGAGACCAGCCTGGCCAACATGGTGAAATCCCGTCTCTACTAAAAATACAAAAAATTAGCCGGGTGTGGTGGTGGATGCCTGTAATCCCAGCCACTTGGGAGGCTGAGGCAGGAGAATCGCTTGAACCCGGGAGGCAGAGGTTGCAGTGAGCTGAGATTGCACCATTACACTCCAGCCTGGGCAACAAGAGCAAAACTCCATCTCAAAAATAAATAGATAAATAAATAAATAAGTATAAAAAAATAAATAGCACAGAGGCTCGCCAAAGCAATGGATCTTATGGGAGGAAGGAGAACATTTTCTTGTAGGGAGACAGATTGGAATTTCTGGAGGAGCAAGTGCAGTTTGCAAAAGCTGCCCAGGTGATTCTTATGGTTTCACCACTCTAAGATGCCCTTGATTGCAACTAGCAGCCAAGGTAAGGAGGGAAGCTCAAGCAGGAGTCTCTCTCTTCCAGGTTCAAGGACAGAAAATAAATTTCTCCTTGGAGGAGCCAGGTGTGCCGGTGCATGCCTGTAGTCCCTGCTACTCTGGAGGCTGAGGTGGGGGGATCCCTTGGGCCCAGGAGTTCGAGTCCATTCTGGTTGGGAGATCATGTCTCTTTACTTGGGTATAATAAAATCTTTCTTAACAACATCATGTGAAAAACAGCAAATAGTTTCATGAGGTTTTTTTTTTTTTTTTTTTTTTTTTTTTGAGATGATGTTTCGCTCTTTTTGCCCAGGTTGGAGTGCAATGGCATGATCACGGCTCACTGCAACCTCCACCTCCCAGGTTTAAGTGATTCTCCTGCCTCAGCCTCCCGGGTAGCTGGGATTACAGGAGCCCACCACCATGCCCTGCTAATTTTGTATTTTTAGTGGAGACGGGTTTCCACCATGTTGGCCAGGCTGGTCTCAAATTCCTGACCTAAGGTGATCTGCGTGCCTTGGCCTCACAAAGTGCTGGGATTACAAGCATGAACCACCATGCCCAGCCTTTTTTTTTTTTTAGAGATGGAGACTCACTCTGTCACCCAGGCTGGAGTGCAGTGGCATGGTCATAGCTCACTGCAGCCTCGAGCTCCTGGGCTCAATCGATTCTCCCATGTCAGTCTCCTGAGTAGCTGGGACTCCAGGCATGTGTCACCATGCCTAAGGTTGATTTTTATAGTGCTGCTTAATTTCAGCCTATGACACCATAAACAAACCACAGTCAATAAAATAAGGATATGTGGGTGGTGCCTCTGGGTAAGAAAGGTGATACATACGCAGTTCTCTACTGGTCTGACTAGTGGAGGGGGAAATGATAGGTGAACTAGTATATTAGTTTTCCATTGCTGATGTAACAAATTCCCATATACTCAGTGGATTAAAACAATACCAACTTATTATGTTACAATTTCAAAGATTAGAAGTCTGGCACGGGGCCGGGTGTGGTGGCTCACGTCTGTAATCCATCCCAGCACTTTGGGAGGCTGAGGTGGGCAGATCACTTGAGGTCAGGAGTTCGAGACCAGCCTCGCCAACACAGTGAAACCCCGTCTCTACTAAAATTACAAAACTTAGGCACGTCTCTACTAAAAATACAAAAAATTAGCCGGGCATGGTGGCAGGCGCCTGTAATCTCAGCTACTCGGGAGGCTGAGGCAGGAGAATCGCTTGAACCTGGGAGGCGGAGGTTGCAATGAGCTGAGATCACACCACTGCACTGCAGCTTGGGCGACAGAGTGAGACTCCGTCTCAAAAAAAAAAAAAAAAAAAAAGACCAGGCGCAGTGGCTCATGCCTTGTAATCCCAGCACTTTGGGAGGCTGAGGCGAGAGCATCACTTGAGCTCAGGAGCTTGAGACCAGCCTGGAAAACATAGTGAAAACTTCATCTCTATTCCTAAAAATAAAAATTAAGAAAAGATAACTGGCAGAATAGACGAAAGCTAAACATATGCCTGTATTTTGACCCAACAATCAAGATCCTAGGTATAGACCTAAGAGAAATGAGGGTGCCATAAGGCATATGCAGAGCATGGCACTCATAGAAGGTCTAGATACAAGAGCCAAGATCCAGAACATAAATGTCCGGCCCCAGGAAAATTGATAAATTGTGGCATAGTCATACACTGAAATACTATGCAGCAATAAAAAAGAATGAATTACTGATATCTGCAACAACATGGATGAATCTTACAGATTTTTTTTTCAACAAATATGTGTCATATTGCATGATTCCAATTATATGCAATTTAGGAACAAGCATAACTAATCCCCAGTGGTAGAAGTCAGAATAGTGGCCGGACACGGTGGCTCACACCTGTAATCCCAGCACTTTGGGAGGCTGAGGCAGGCGGATCACTTGAGGTCAGGAGTTCAAGACCAGCCTAGCCAACACAGTGAAACCCTGTCTCTACTAAAACACAAAAATTAGCCGGGTGTGGTGGCACATGCCTGTAATCCCAGCTACTCAGGAAGCTGAAGCAGAAGAATCGCTTGAACCTGGGAAGCGGAGGTTGCAGTGAGCCGAGATAGCACCACTGCACTCCAGCCTGGGTGACAGAGCAAGATTCCATCTCAAAAAAAAAAAAAAAAAAAAAAAGGAATCAGAATAGTGGTTGCTTCTGGTGGAAGTATTATATTATGTGGGAAGGAGCACAGAGAAACTTGCTAGAGTGCAAGAAAGTTCTAGATCTTGATGTAGGTGTGTATATACACAGGAATATACACATGCAGAGTTTCACTGAGCCGTACCCTTAAGATCAGGACTCTCTATGAACTTAGCTAGAGATGCTGAGGTGGGAGGATCTCTTGAGCCCAGGAGTTTTGAGACTAGCTTGGGCAGCATAATGAGACCCCATCTCTAAAAAAAAAAAAAAAAAAAAAAGTTTACACCTGTATCCCAGCACTTTGTGGGGCCAAGGCGGGTATATCCCCTGAGGTTGGGAGTTCAAGACCAACCTGACCAACACAGTGAAACCCTGTCTCTACTAAAAAAAAAAAAAAAATACAAAATTAGCTGGGCATGGTGGTGCATGACTATAATCCCAGCTACCTGGGAGGCTGAAACAGGAGAATCACTTGAATCCAGGAGGCAGAGGTTGCAGTGAGCTGAGATCGTGCCATTACACTCCGGCCTGGACAACAAGAGCAAAACTCCGTCCCCAAAATAAATAAAATAAAATAAAAATTAGCCAGGCATGGTGGCATGCACCTGTAGTCCCAGCTACTCGGGCTGAGGTAGAAGGTTCACTTAAGCCCAGGAGGTCGAGGCTGCAACGAGCTATGATTGCACCACTACACTCCAGCCTGGGTGACAGAGCGAGACTCTGTCTCAAAAAAGAAAAAAAAAAAAAAAAGAAAAGAAAAGAAAGAAAGAAGGAAAGAAAAAAAAAACTATATGGTTATTCCACATGAGTAAAAAGAAATTAAAAGAGGCAAAACACACTTTGCAAATAAATGGATTCCAGAGTCAATTAAGAAAAAGCCAAACGAACTAGCTCCAGAAATGCTTTCCTGGACCAAAAACGTTGGGAAAATGTGCAGCTTTACATCCGATAACACCAGGGCATGTGTGTAATGTTGTTTCTGAAAGCTTAGCTAAAATAATGAAACCCTTCAGCATTTGGAAAAACAAGAAAAGCATGCTTAACCAAAGATGTTGATATTATGTTTCCTGATAAAAGAGATCATGTTTTTTAAAGGATTTTGGTAACAGGTTACTTTTTTTCTGAATTGGCTTTGTCACTAAAATGTCTGGTTATCACTGACCTACAAAAAAAGGCATTCTTCAGATAATCCTTGATAGTATTGTTGCTCTCACCACACTTTCCAAAGGTGCTGACCAGAGGGAGCAGAAGACTGTTTCACAGCTCAAGCACACAGCCGCACGCGCTCCACACCAGCGAAGCCCAGCAGTGCCGCATCTCATCGTGAAAAGAGGAAGCCAGAAGCTGGGAGTCACTCCACTTCTGGTCAGGGCTGTTCTGTGGAATATACTGTGGGCAGGGCCACATGTCTCCTCGAAAAATAATCTGGGCTGTCTGTCCTCATGCACACCAGAATGGGTGCCATGACAGAGAAAGCTGCATTTTATTTTCATTTTTTATTTGAGACGGAGTCTCACTCTGTTGCTCAGGCTGGGGTGCAGTGGTGCAATCTCCACTCACTGCAGCCTTTGCCTCCTGGGTTCAAGTGATTCTCCTGCCTCAGCCTCCCAAGTAGCTCGAATTACAAGTGCCCACCATCATGCCCAGCGAATTTTTGTATTTTTAGTAGAGACAGGGTTTCATCATGTTGGCCAGGCTAATCTTGAACTCCTGACCTCAAGTGATCCACCCGTCTCAGTCTCTTAAAGTGTTGGGATTACAGGCGTGAGCGCAGCCACTGCAAACATTTGGTTTGTAAAACTCTTTTTTTTTTTGAGACGGAGTTTTGCTTTTGTCCCCCAGGCTGGAGTGCAGTGTTGCGATCTCAGCTTACTGCAACCTCTGCCTCCCGGGTTCAAGTGATTCTCCTGCCTCAGCCTCCTGAGTAGCTAGGATTACAGGTGTCCACCACCATGCCCGGCTAATTTTTTTGTATTTTTAATAGCGATGGGGTTTCGCCATGTTGGGCAGGCTGGTCTCCAACTCCTGACCTCAGGTGATCTGTCCGCCTCAGCCTCCCAAAGTGCTGGGATTATAGGCGTGAGCCACCACACCCAGCTGGTGTATAAAACTCTTAAAGCACGTGTCACTCCTTTTGGAGTGCCTGCTAAAATACAGAATACTTAGCTCAGTCTGAATTTGAGATAAACGATTTTTTTTTTTTTTACTATAACTAGGTCTCAGGAAATACTTGAGTTATATTGAAAATTATTTGTCGGGCCAAGTGAAGTGGCTCACACCTGTAATCCCAGCACTTTGGGAGGCTGAGGCAGGTGGACTGCTTGAGCTCAGGAGTTTAAGATCAGCCTGGGCAATATAGTGAGACCCCATCTCTACAAAGAGTTTTTTAAAAAATTAGCTGGATGTGGGCCAGGCGTGGTGGCTCAAGCCTGTGGTCCCAGCACTTTGGGAGGCTGAGGCGGGCGGATCACGAGGTCAGGAGATTGAGACCATCCTGGCTAACACAGTGAAACCCCGTCTCTGCTAAAAAGAAAATACAAAAAAATTAGCCGGGCATGGTGGCGGGCACCTGTAGTCCCAGTTACTCGGGAGGCTGAGGCAGGAGAATGTCGCGAACCCAGGAGGCAGAGCTTGCAGTGAGCTGAGATAGCGCCCCTGCATTCCAGCCTGGGTGACAGAGCGAGACTCCGTCTCAAAAAAAAAAAAAAATAGCTGGATGTGGTGGTGTGCACTTGGGAGCTACTTGGGAGGCTGAGGTGGGAGGATGGCTTGAGCCCAGGAGGCAGAGGTTGCAGTGAGCCATGCCACTGCACTCCTGCCTGGGCAACAGAACCAGACCCTATCTCAAAAAAAAATTATTTGTGTTTCCAATAGGCACAGGGCTCACGTCTGTAATCCCAGTGGTCTGGGAGGCTGAGGCAGGAGGATCACTTGAGACCAGGAGTTCGAAACTGCAGTGAGCTATGATTGCACCATTGCATTCCAGCCTGGGTGACAGAGCAAGACCCTGTCTTAAAAAAAAATTATTTGTGTTTACCTGAAATTCAGATTTAATCGGGCACTTATTTTATTTGCTAAATCTGGTTGGGAGTGGTGGCTCATGCCTATAATCCCAGCACTTCAGGAGGCTGAGGTGTGAGGATTACTTGAGTCTAGGAGTTCGAGACCAGCCTGGGCAACGTAACATAGACCCCGTTTGTACAAAATTTTTTTGTAAAATAAAAAAGGAGTAAAATAAAATTTTTTGCTAAACCTGGCAACCCTGTTCCCTATTCCATAATATTATCTTGCTAAGTCACTATATTGTTGCATATCTGCTTGGAAGAAATAACTTTTTTTTTTTTTGAGACGGAGTTTTGCTCTTGTTGCCCAGGCTAGAGTGCAATGGCACGATCTTGGCTCACTGCAACCTCCACCTCCTGGGTTCAAGTGATTTTCCTGCCTCAGCCTCCCCAGTAGCTGGGATTACAGGTGTATACCACCACTCCCAGCTAATTTTGTATTTTTACAATTTTGTATTCTGGAGTATTTTAAATACGATAGAGTATTGTATTTTAAATACAAAATTGTATTTTACAATTTTGTATTTTAGAGACGGGGTTTCACCCTGTTGGCCAGGCTGGTCTTGAACTCCTGACCTCAGGAGATCTGCCCGCCTTGGCCTCCCAAAGTGTTGGGATTACAAACATGAGCCACTTCGCCTGGCCAGAAATAACTTGTTCTCAGAAAAAACTTGGAGTTAGAATGTTATTCTATGAGGGACCCTCTGAGTGGGAATATTTGAGAGACTTGATAAAATTGGGAACATGTTGTGTGTTGACTCCACGCTTGACTGATATGATCAAGACATCCCCTTGGTGCTCCCTCTCGTGGCAAGAAGAGTAACTGCTCCTTCAATTTCACTCCCAGACTCTGCCCCCACCTCCCCACCCACCTCTTGGTCTCCAGGGACCATGCTGGTACCCTGAGCCTGTCGGAGCCAGAGATTGCCCCAGGACTCAGCGCTTTAGCCTCAAATGAGTTGCCCTACTTCAAAGGGACCTCACTTTGTGAGATGCACTGTATAGAATTTTTTTTTTTTTTTGAGATGGAGTCTCGCTGTGTCGCCCAGGCTGGAGTGCAATGGCATGATCTCAGCTCACCGCAACCTCTGCCTCCCGGGTTCAAGTGATTCTTGCCCCAGCCTCCCGAGTAGCTGGGATTACAGGCATGTGCCACCACGCCCAGCTAATTTTGTATTTTTTAGCAGAGACAGGGGTTCTCCATGTTGGCCAGGTTGGTCTCGAACTCCCAACCTCAGGTGATCCGCCCACCTTGGCCTCCCAAAGCGCTGGGATTACAGGTGTGAGCCACCGTGCCTGGCCCTAATTTTTGTATTTTTAGTAGAGACGGGGTTTCACTATGTTGGCCAGGCTGGTCTTGAACTATTGAGCTCAGGTTATCCACCTGCCTCAGCCTCCCAAAGTGCTGGGATGACAGGCATGAGCCACCGTGCCTGGCCATTGTATGCAATTTGGAGGGTGGTTCCTGAGACACAGAGAGAACAATCCGAGTTGGAGTCTGAGGAGGTGGCAGCTCATTGCTGGGAGAGAGACGTCCTCCTGCTTCTGAGGGGAGCAGTTTTGGGGTGCTCCTGCATAAACTGTATGGGGTCCGGGAGAGCTCTTGGGGGCAAGAGAGGAGGTCAGGATGGGATGGGGGTGAGGGCGAGGTTTTTGAGTCATGGCTGGAGGCAACAAGGCTTATGGCCCTGACTTGGAGGCCTGAGCACAGCGAGCTTTCTGAACCCCTCTGGAAAACAAAGGAGGTGGGGTGTTGCAGGACCTCAGGTACTCAAGCTGAGCAGCCATTTCTCCTGCAGGTTGTTTGTATTTTCTGAATTCTGAACATCTGAAACGAGAATGCGTATGAGAGGGGAAGCTGTTTAGATAATGAAAACCCATTGAGATTAGTTTAATCAAACACACAGGGACACGGACAGGCGTGGTGGCTCACGCCTGTAATCCCAACAGTTTGGGAGGCTGAGGTGGGTGATCATCTGAGGTCAGGAGTTTGAAACCAGACTGGCCAATATGGTGAAACCCTGTCTCTACTTAAAAAAAAGTACAAAAAATTAGCAGGGAGTGGTGGCTCACGCCTGTAATCCCAGCACTTTGGGAGGCCGAGGCGGGTGGATTGCCTGAGGTCTGGAGTTCAAGAGCAGCCTGGCCAACATAGTGAAACACCATCTCTTCTAAAAATACAAAAAATTAGCTGGGAGTGGTGGCGGGCACCTGTGATCCCAGCTACTAAGGAGGCTGAGACAGGAGAATCGCTTGAACCCAGGAGGCAGAAGTTGCAGTGAGCCAAGATCGCGCCATTGCACTCCAGCCTGGGCAACAAGAGTGAAACTCCGGGCTAGATGAGGTGGCTCACGCCTGTAATCCCAGCACTTTGGGAGGCCAAGGTGGGCAAATCATGAGGTCAGGAGGTCGAGACCAGCCTGGCCAACATGGTGAAACCCCCTTTCTACTAAAAATACAAAAAATTAGCTGGGTGTTTGGTAGTGGCAGGCGCCTGTAATCCCAGGCTGAGGCAGGAGAACTGCTTGAACCTGGGAGGTGGAGGTTGCAGTGAGCTGAGATTGTGCCACTGCACTCCAGCCCTGGTAACAGAGTAAGACTCTGTCTCAGAAAAAAAAAAAAAAGAAAAGAAAAAGAAAAAAAAATTAGCCAGGTGTGGTTGCAGGCACCTGTAATCCCAGCTACTCGGGAGGCTAGGCAGGATAATCGCTTGAACCTGGGAGGCGGAGGTTGCAGGGAGCCGAGATCGCGCCACTGCACTCCAGCCTGAGCAACAAGAGTGAAACTCAATCTCAAAAAAAGAAAAAAAAGTGTTTGTCCCTGCTTAAAAGTCTCTGTGGCGGCTCTAGGCTCTTATAATAAACTCAAGCTCTCCTTGGTCGCTGCTCACTGTCCCGGTCCCCGCCTGCTCCCTGTGTTCCTTGTTGCCATGCCTCAGAAAATTGAGGAAATCAAGGTCTTTCTGCTCACAGCCCGACAAAAGGATGCCAAATCTGTCAAGATCAAGAAAAATAAGGACAATGCGCCGGGCACGGTGGATCATGCCTGTAATCCCAGCACTTTGGGAGGTCTAGGCGGGTGGATCACGAGGTCAGCAGTTCAAGACCAGCCTGACCAACATGGTGAAACCCCGTCTCTACTAAAAATACAAAAAATTAGCTGGACATGGTGGCGGGCACCTGTAATCCCAGCGACTTGGGAGGCTGAGGTAGAAGAATCGCTTGAAACTGGAAGGCGGAGGTTGCAGTGAGCCGAGATTGCACCACTGCACTCTAGCCTGGGCAATAAGAGCAAAACTCTGTCTCAAAATAAAAAAAAGAAAAAAAAGAAAAAAAAAGAAAAATAAGGACAATGTGAAGTTTAAAGTTCGATGCAGCAGATACCTTTATACCCTGGTCATCATTGACAAAGAGAAGGCAGAGAAATTGAAGCAGTCCCTGGCCACCATGCCTGGCTAATTTTGTATTTTCAGTAATTCTGTATTTTAGTAATGTAGTATTTCGTATTTTAGTAATTTTGTATTTTAGCCTCCAGAGTAGCTGGGACTACTTGGATGCCACCACGCCCAGCTAGGTTTTTACATTTTTTGTAGAGATGGGGGTCTTGCTATGTTGCTGAGGCTGGTCTTGAACTCCTGGCCTCAAGGAATCCTCCCACCTTTGCCTCCTGAAGTGTTGGGATTACAGGCGTGAGCCACTGCTTCCAGCCATTGGTAAATTTCGCACAATTTTTGTACTGGCCCAGAGAGTTTTGCATATCGTCAGCCACAGAAAAAGTAGCAAGTAACAATTATGTTACACAAACAGCCACATAATTGTCCCTGGTAGACTAAAGTAAACCATATCTGTTTCTCCAATTTTACACTCTTTCATGGTTAGGTTTTTTGGCGATCCGATAATGTGTTTCTTCTTCTGCCACCACGGAGAAAAAACACATATTCACCTAAAAATACTAAAGTCAAATTTACTAATAAAAATGTCTTCCTATTTCGATACGCATCATCAGGTTAAAAAACCCTCTGAGGCTGGGCGCAGTGGCTCACGCCTGTAATCGCAGCACTTTGGGAGGCTGAGGGGGGCGGATCACCTGAGGTCAAGAGTTTGAGACCAGCCTGACCAACATGGAGAAACCCTATCTCTACTAAAAATACAAAAGTAGCTGCGTGTGGCGGTGCATGCCTGTAATCCCAGCTACTTGGGAGGCTGAGGCAGGAGAATCGCTTGAACCCAGGAGGCAGAGTTTGCAGTGAGCCGAGATCGTGCCATTGCACTCCAGCCTGAGCAACAAGAACGAAAACTCTGTCTTAAAAAAAAAGAAAAACAGCTGGGCGCGGTGGCTCACACCTGTAATCCCAGCACTTTGGAAGGCCGAGGTGGGTGGATCACGAGGTCAGGAGTTTGAGACCAGCCTGGCCAACATGGTGAAAACCCGTCTCTACTAAAAATACAAAAATTAGCCAAGCGTGGTGGCGCATGCCTGTAATCCCAGCTACTCAGGAGGCTGAGGCAGGAGAATTGAGGCTTGAACCTGGGAGGTGGAGGTTGCTGTGAGCTGAGATCACCCCACTGCACTCCAGCCTGGGCAACAGAGGGAGACTCCGTGTCAAAAAACAAAACAAACAAAAAAAAACAACAAAACAACCTAAAAAACCCTCTGAGGCTGGGCGTGGTGTCTCATGCCTGTAATCCCAGCACTTCAGGAGGCTGATGCATGAGGATTGCTTGAGTCTGGGAGTTCCAGACCAGCCTGGGCAACACAGCAAGACCGTCTCTATAAAACAAACAAACAGACCCCTTCTCAAATGAGAAGGAAATCTTCCAGCTTTATTACATAATGTTTTCCCACAGCCTTTTTATTTTAATTATTATTTTTAAAATCGGGGGCAAGATGGTCTCACTATGTTGCCCAGGCTCATCTCCAAGTCCTGGGCTCAAGCCATCCTCCCACCTCAGCTTTCTAATTTGCTGGGATTACAGGCATGCACCACCATGCTCAGCATCTTGTTAATTTTTTTTTTTTTTTGAGATGGAGTTTCACTCATTGCCCAGGCTGGCGTGCAATGGAGCATTCTCAGCTCACTGAAACCTCTGCCTCCAGGGTTCAAGCGATTCTCCTGCCTCAGCCTCCTGAGGAGCTGGGATTACAAGCACCTGCCACCACACATGGCTAATTTTTTTGTATTTTTAGTAGAGACGGGGCTTCACCATGTTGGCCAGGTTGGTCTCGAACTCCCGACCTCAGGTGATCCGCCTGCCTCGGCCTCCCAAAGTACTGAGATTACAGGCGTTAGCCAAAGAGCCTGGCCTAATTTTTGTATTTTTAATGGAGACGGGGTTTCACCATGTTGGCCAGGCTGGTCTCGAACTTCTGACCTCAGGTGATCTGCCTACCTCGGCCTGCCAAAGTATTGGGATTACAGGTGTGAGCCACCGCGCCCGGCCTCCTTTTTAATTTTGTAGGCAAAACTTTCCAAAATAATTTCTTATGAAGTTTCCACTAAAGAAAGAAAACAGTTGCTAAATTCTATGGTTTCTAAACAGCTAATAGACAGGCGCCTTAGGGCAAAATTCTTACTTTCCTTCTTTCTTTTTTCACCATGCAAGCTGGTGCTGAGGGCAAAATTCTTATTTATTTATACTTTAAGTTCTGGGGTACATGTGCAGAACGTGCAGGTTTGTCACATAGGTATACATGTGCCCTGGTGGTTTGCTGCACGCATCAACCCGTCATCTACATTAGTTATTTCTCCTAATGCCATCCCTCCCCAAAATGCTTTTTTTTTTTCTTTGAGACAAGGTCTCTCTGTGTTGCCCAGGCTGGAGTGCAGTGGCGCGATCATGGCCCACTGCAGCCTTGACCTCCTGGGCTCAGATAATCCTCTCACCTCAGCTTCTCGAGTAGCTGGGACTAAAGGTGCACACCACTGCACCCGGCAAATTTTTGTATTTTTTGTAGAGACAGCATCTCACGATGTTGCCCATGCTGGTCTCAAACTCCTGGCCTCAAGTGCTGAGATTACAGGTGTGAGCCACCTCACCTGGCCACAATATTCTTTCACACACACATGCACGCACGCATGTACACACGCGCACACACACACACACACCAATAAACACAACAAGAAAACTGCTTAGTTGGAAACAAAAATCAATCTTGGAAATTCCAAGAGATGTCCTTCCACGGGTGTGTGTGTGTATGTGTGTGTGTGTGTGTGTGTGTCTGTGCATTCTTGGTCTAGCCTGGCCAGGATCATCTTGGCGACCCACCAGACTTTGAAGACTTAGTATGAAAAACAAGGCTGGGCATGGTGGCTCACGCCTGTAATCCCAGCACTCTGGGAGGCTGAGGCAGGTGGACTACTTGAGTCCAGGAGCTCCAGACCAGCCTGGGCAGCATAGCAAAACCCTGTCTCTACTAAAAATACAAAAAATTAGCCAGGCATGGTGGTGTGCATCTGTAATCCCAGCTACTTGGGAGGCTGAGGTGGGAGGATTTTTTGAGCCCAGGAGTTCAAGGCTGCAGTGAGCCATGATCCCACCACTGTACTCCAGCCTGGGTGACGGAGTGAGAACCTGTCTCAAAAAAAAAAAAAAAATGACGCCAGCTAGTTGACCTCTAAGGGGGCAGGGCTCTCTAAGGCCTTTGTGGGCCAGAAGAGTTCCTTCCTGGTGGACTGCAGCAAAGCCAGCTCCAACATGCTGCTGATCAGGGTACATGGGCCCACGACCGCCTGCGAGAAGGTCTCCATGAAGCATGTAGGCAACCAGCAATACAATGTCACATACGTCGTCAAGGAGAGGGGCCATTACGTGCTGGCTGTGAAGTGGGGGGAGGAACACATCCCTGGCAGCCCTTTTCATGTCACAGTGCCTTAAAACAGTTTTCTCAAAAAAAAAAAAAAAAAAAAAAATAGCTCCTAGAAAATTTAAAATTATGGCCGGGCGCGGTGGCTTATGCTTATAATCCCAGCACTTTGGGAGGCCGAGGCGGGCGGATCACAAGGTCAGGAGTTCGAAACCAGCCTGGCCAACATCGTGAAACCCCATGTCTACTAAAAATACAAAATTAGCCAGGCATGGTGGCACAGGCCTGTAGTCCCAGCTACTCGGGAAGCTGAGGTAGAAGAATCACTTGAACCTGGGAAGTGGAGGTTGCAGTGAACCGAGATTATACTACTGCACTCCAGCCTGGGCGACAGAGCAAGACTGTGTCTCAAAAAAAAAAAAAAAAAATTAAAATTACATAAGTATATCATGCTGCTCAAAATAGTTCCCTTGAGGCATCCATTTAAAACAAATCTAGGCTGGGCACGGTGGCTTATGCCTGTAATCCCAGCACTTTGGGAGGCCGAGGTGGGCGGATCACCTGAGGTCAGGAGTTCGAGACCAGCCTGATCAACTTGATGAAACTCCATCTCTACTAAAAATACAAAAATTAGCTGGGCGTGGTGGCATGTGCCTGTAACCCCAGCTACTCGGGAGGCTGAGACAGGAGAATGCTTGAACCCGGGAGGCAGAGGTTGCAGTGAGCTGAGATTGCACCATTGCACTCTAGCCTGAGCAACAAGAGTGAAACTCCATCTTAAAAAAACAAAAAATCCAAAATTTAAAAAATATGTGTAGGCCAGGTGCGGTGGCTCACGCCTGTAATCCCAGCACTTTGGGAGGGCGAGGAGGGCGGATTGCCTGAGCTCGGGAGTTCGAAACCAGCCTGGGCAACGTGGCGAAACCTTGTCTCTACTAAAATTACAAAAAATTAGCCAAGTGTGGTGACGGGCACCTGTAATCCCAGCTAGTTGGGAGGCTGAGGCAGGAGAATCGCTTGAACCCAGGAGGTGGAGGTTACAGTGAGCAGAGATCATGTCATTGCACTCCAGCGTGGCGACAGAGCGAGACTCCGTCTAAATATAAATAAAAAATAAATAAGTGTAATTTTTTTTTTGAGATGGAGTCTCTGTCACCCAGGCTAGAGTGCAGTGGCGTGATCTCAGCTCACTGCAACCTCCACCTCCCATGTTCAAGTGGTTCTCCTGCCTCAGCCTCCTGAGTAGCTGGGATTACAGGCATCCACCACCATGCCTGGCTAATTTTTGTATTTTTAGTAGAGATGGGGTTTCACCATGTTGGCCAGGCTAGTCTCGAACTCCTGACCTTGTGATCCGCCTGCCTCAGCCTCCAAAAGTGCTGGGATTACAGGTGTGAGCCACTGCGCCTGGCCAAATGTGTGTAATTTTTTTTTAGCTGTCCCACAGAGAAAGAACTCTTCTCAGTAGTTTTACATGTATCTTCCTGGAAATATTTGCAAATTAATCTGAAAAAAAGTATACATACATATTTGGCATATTAGGGTTTAAATCACCTTGCAGGGTCAAACATAAACAAGTTTCTTCTTCTTTTTTTTTTCTTTGAAACAGAGTCTCTCTCTGTCGCCCAGGCTGAAGTGGCGCAATCACGACTCACTGCAGCCTTGAACTCCTGGGCTTAAATGATCCTCCCTCCTCAGCCTCCCCAGTAGCTGGGACTACCGGCATGTACCACCATGCCTGGCTAATTTTTTTTTTTTTTTTGAGACGGAGTTTCAGTCTTATTGTCCAGGCTGGAGTGCAATGGCGCGATCTTGGCTCACCGCAACCTCTGCCTCCTGGGTTCAAGTGATTCCCCTGCCTCAGTCACCCAAGTAGCTGGGATTACAGGCATGGGCCCCCATGACTGGTAAATTTTGTATTTTTTTTAATAGAGACGGGGTTTCTCCATGTTGGTTAGGCTGGTCTCCAACTCCCGACCTCAGGTGATCCTCCCGCCTCGGCCTTCCAAAGTGATGGGATTACAGGCGTGAGCCACCACGCCCGGCCTAATTTTTTAAAGTTTTTGTAGAAACTGGGTCTGGCTATGTTGCCCAGGCTGATCTCGAACTCCTGGGCTCAAGTGATCTTCCAACCTTGGCCTCCCAGAGTGCTGGGATTACAGGTGTGAGCCACTGAGCTTGGCCTTAAGCATAAAGAAGTTTCTTCGTTCTTTTGCGTATTTGTTCAGAAGCCCCTGTACTGATACCCTCTCTCACTCTTCTCCCTTTTCCTATTTAGAGCTAGAGAATCTGTAGCCCAGAGTCCTTGAAAAAGGCAAATGATATGGAATTGTTAACAGATCCTTTTACTTTACACTTTTTTTTTTGAGACAGAATTTCACTCTTTTTGCCCAAGCTGGAGTGCAATGGCGCGATCTAGGCTCACTGCAACTTCCGCCTCCCGGGTTCAAGCGATTCTCCTGACTCAGCCCCCCGAGTAGCTGGGATCACAGGCGCCTGCCACCATGCCCAGCTAACATTTTGTATTTTTAGTAGAGACAGGATTTTGCTATGTTGGCCAGGCTGGTCTCAAACTCCTGACCTCAGGTGATCTGCTTGCCTCGGCATGCCAAAGTGCTGGGAATACAGCGTGAGCCACCATGCCCGGCCTAAGTTACACTTTTGGTTTGTTTGTTTGAGACAGTGTCTCTGTTGCCTAGGCTGGAGTGCAGTGGCGCCATCTCGGTTCACTGCAACCTCTGCCTCCCGGGTTCAAGCGATTCTCCCACCTCAGCCTCCTGAGTAGCTGGGACTACAGGCACACGCCACTACGCCCGGCTAATTTTTGTATTTTTAGTAGAGACAGGAGTTCACCATGTTAGTCAGGCTGGTCTCGAACTCCTGACCTCAGGTGATCCGCCTGCCTTGGCCTCCTAAAGTGCTGGGATTACAGGCATGAGCCACAGCGCCTGGCACACTTTTGTTTTTGTCTTTGAGAAACAGTTTTGTTCTGTGGCCCAGGTTGGAGTACAGTGGTTCAATCATAGCTCACTACAGCCTTGACCTCCTGGGCTCAAGTGATATCCCCCACCATTTCAGCCTCCCAAAGCTCTGGGATGACAGGTGTCAGCCACTGTGCCTGGCCACACTGCATTTTTGCAAACCAGGTACCAGGACGCTCAATTTGTTTCCCTGGGACCTTTAACCTGTTTGGAAATAGACCTGGCACAATGATTGGTCAATTTCCCATCTATCACTGTGACTATTGCATACCTTGCCCCAGGCCCTTTTCCTGCCTCCAGGAGGACTTTCTGCAGTTTTCCCTCAGACCCAGCACTGTGTTGCCCTTTTCATTTTTTTTTTTTTTTTTTTTTAGTGTTTAACCTCGTTTTTAAGTTCATACTAAGGTACAAATGGCTTCTTCCTTCTTTGTTTTTGCTTTTTTTTTTTTTTATTGATCATTCTTGGGTGTTTCTCACAGAGGGGGATTTGGCAGGCCGCCATCCCACCTAGGAAGTGAGGAGCGCCTCTTCCCCGCCGCCATCCCATCTAGGAAGTGAGGAGCGTCTCTGCCTGGCCGCCCATCGTCTGAGATGTGGGGAGCGCCTCTGCCCCGCCGCCCCGTCTGGGAGGTGAGGAGCGTCTCTGCCCGGCCGCCCCTTCTGAGAAGTGAGGAGACCCTCCGCCAGGCAACCGCCCCGTCTGAGAAGTGAGGAGCCCCTCCGCCCGGCTGCCACCCCGTCTGGGAAGTGAGGAGCGTCTCCGCCCGGCAGCCACCCCGTCCGGGAGGGAGGTGGGGGTCAGCCCCCCGCCCGGCCAGCCGCCCCGTCCGGGAGGGAGGTGGGGGGGGTCAGTCCCCCGCCCGGCCAGCCGCCCCGTCCGGGAGGTGAGGGGCACCTCTGCCCGGCCGCCCCTACTGGGAAGTGAGGAGCCCCTCTGCCCGGCCACCACCCCGTCTGGGAGGTGTACCCAACAGCTCGTTGAGAACGGGCCATGATGACAGTGGCGGTTTTGTGGAATAGAAAAGGGGGAAAGGTGGGGAAAAGATTGAGAAATCGGATGGTTGCTGTGTCTGTGTAGAAAGAAGTAGACATGGGAGACTTTTCATTTTGTTCTGTACTAAGAAAGATTCTTCTGCCTTGGGATCCTGTTGATCTGTGACCTTACCCCCAACCCTGTGCTCTCTGAAACATGTGCTGTGTCCACTCAGGGTTAAATGGATTAAGGGCGGTGCAAGATGTGCTTTGTTAAACAGATGCTTGAAGGCAGCATGCTCGTTAAGAGTCATCACCACTCCCTAATCTCAAGTACCCAGGGACACAAACACTCTGCCTAGGAAAACCAGAGACCTTTGTTCACTTGTTTATCTGCTGACCTTCCCTCCACTATTGTCCTGTGTTGCTCTTTTCTAGTTGGTCCAAGCAGGTCTTTTCTTAGCACAGGCCAATTATCTGCCCAGCATTTACTTTCCCAGTCTGTGTACCATGACAACCTCTCCTAGAGACACAAAATCTGAGTGGGCCCCATGCAGACAGGGGCACTTCCTGTCCTGGGCACTGCCCAAGGAGATAATAAAGCAATTATTTCTTGCTTGAAGCAGTACATCTTGAAGGACGAGTGAGAGAGAAAAGGTCATTTATTCATGCCTACTATGTTCTAGGCCCAGTTAAGGGTATTTGCAGATGGAAATGTCATTTAATATTCCCAGTAGAAGTTGCTTTTTTTGAGACAGTTCTTGCTCTGTCTCCCAGGCTGGAGTGCAGTGGTGCAATCTCCACTCATTGCAACCTCTGCCTCCAGGGCTTAAGAGATCCTCCTACCTCAGCCTCCTGAGTAGCTGGGACCACAGGCGTGTACCACCAAGCCTGGCGAATTTTTGTATTTTTTGTAGAGACTGGTTTCGCCATGTTCAAGACCAGCCTGGGGTCTTGAACTCTTGGACTCAAGAAATCCACATGCTTTTGCCTCCCAAATTGCTGTGATTAGAGGTGTGAGCAATCCCAAGCCTGTTGTTTTGAGTGATGTGAAATAGCAGGTTGTCTCATACCTCAGTGCCTCTGCTTAGGAATGTGACCGTTTCGTCCTGCATGAAATCCTCTGTTCAGAGCTGAAATGGGGCTGAGTAAAATTCAGCTCCTGCTCTCCTCCCCAAGTCTTCGGCCTTGGGGGGCAGAGTTGGGCGGGGGGTGGGTTTCTGCCTGGAGGAAGGGATGCCTTTTCCTAATTTGCACAAAGATGTGCAGCAGGCTAGAGGTGGGGCCTGGGTCTGGCCCCAGCCATCTCTCACCATCCCTCCACGCTGTTCCCCAGGCCAGAGTGCTCCTGAGGGGAGGGCCTTGCCTGCTCTTCCTCCCTTGCCCTTCTACACGCCTGCTCTTCCTCCCTTGCCCTTCTACAGGGACCCAGCTAGGGCAGTGGCACACGTCTGTGGTCCCAGCGCTTTGGGAGGCTGAGGTGGGAGAACTGCTTGAGGCCAGGAGTTCGAGGTTAGAGTGAGCTATGATTGCACCATTGCACTCAAGAAGCCTGGGCAACAGAACGAGGTCCTGTCTCTAAAATATAAATACATACAAGAACCCAGCTAAAGTGCCTGGCCAGGACAGGCTCTGGGTCAAGCTTGCTCTCTTCTGTTCGTACAGTTTTTGTACTGAGAAATGCTTCATTCGTTCAGTTGAAATGTCAACTCCTCGCTGGGCACAGTTGCTCATGCCTGTAATACCAGCACTTTGGGAGGTTGAGGCAGGAGGATTGCTTGAGCCCAGGAGTTTAAGACCAGCCTGGGCAATTGTAGGGACCAGCCCCACAGGGTCGGTGGGCTTCTCCCTGTGTGCGGTGACCAGAGAGTGTAGAAATAAAAGACACAAGACTAAGAGATAGAAGAAAAGACAGCTGGGCCCGGCGGACCACTACGACGAATGCGTGGAGACCGGTAGTGGCCCCGAATGTCTAGCTGTGCTGTTATTTATTGGATACAAAGCAAAAGGGGCAGGGTAAAGAGTGTGAGTCATCTCCAATGATAGGTAAGGTCTTGTGTCCACTGGAAAGGGGGCCCTTCCTTCCCTGCC
Organism: Homo sapiens; assembly: GCF_000001405.40. Taxonomy (NCBI): domain Eukaryota; kingdom Metazoa; phylum Chordata; class Mammalia; order Primates; family Hominidae; genus Homo; species Homo sapiens. The sequence continues at coordinate 31,171,901 of NC_000016.10, forward strand.
TGGCAGCCGAGGCAGAGAGAGAGAGAAGACAAAGAGAAAGACAGCTTACACCATTATTTCTGCATATCAGAGACTTTTAGTACTTTCACTAATTTACTACTGCTATCTAGAAGGCAGAGCCAGGTGTACAGGATGGAACATGAAGGCAGACTAGGAGCATGACCACTGAAGCACAGCATCACAGGTAGATGGTTAGGCCTCCGGATAACTGCGGGCGAGCCTGACTGATGTCAGGCCCTCCACAGGAGGTGGAGGCGCAGAGTCTTCTCTAAACTCCCCCAGAGAAAAGGAGACTCTTTTTCCCGGTCTGCTAAGCAGCGGGTGTTGTTCCTTGACACTTTTCGCTACTGCTAGACCACGGTCCACTTGGCAATGGGCGTCTTCCCAGACGCTGGGGTCACCGCTAGACCAAGGAGCCCTTCTGGTGGCCCTGTCTGGGCATAACAGAAGGCTCGCACTCTTGTCTTCTGGTCACTTCTCACTGTGTCCCCTCAGCTCCTATCTCTGTATGGCCTGGTTTCTCCTAGGTTATGATTATACAGCGAGGATTATTATAATATTGGAATAATGAGTAATTGCTACAAACTAATGATTAATGATATTCATATATAATCATATCTAAGATCTATATCTGGTATAACTATTCTTGTCTTATATTTTTTTATACTGGAACAGCTCATGTCCTCGGTCTCTTGCCTTGGCGCCTGGGTGGCTTGCCGGCCACAGGCAATGTGATGAGACCCAGTCTCTACAAAAAACAAAAATGCTGGGGCGTGGTGGTGTATGCTGCTGGGGAGGCTGAGACGGGATGATCTTTTGAACCCAAGAGATTGAGGCTGCAGTGAGCAGAGATTGTACCACTGTACTCCAGCCTGGGCGACAGGGCGAGACCCTATCTCAAAAAAAAAAAAAAATAGCTGGGTGCGGTGGGTTACGCCTGAGTCCCAGCACTTTGGGAGGCTGAGGCGGGTGGATCACAAGGTCAGGAGATCGAGACCATCCTGGCTAACACAGTGAAACCCCGTCTCTACTTAAAATACAAAAAAAAAATTAGCCGGGCATGGTGGTGGGCGCCTGTAGTCCCAGCTACTTGGGAGGCTGAGGCAGGAGAATGGCGTGAACCTGGGAGGCGGAGCTTGCAGTGAGCCGAGATTGCACTACTGCAGTCCAGCCTGGGCGACAGAGCGAGGCTCCATCTCAAAAAAAAAAAAAGTCAACTCCTCAGTGAAGGCTGACCCACCCTACTCACTGCAAAAGTAATCACTCTTCCCCTGTGGCAGGTCTTACCCTGTATAATACCCTCCTCAGCTACCATGCTGTGGTGCATTGTAGGAGTCAGTTTGCTTTTAAATTGGTCATTATATGCACATAGTGAAAAATTAAAATATAAAAGGATCTAGGAAAAGTGAATTTCCTTCAATCCTTGACCCCAAGTTCCCCAGATTCCTTCCTCAGAAATAGGCTATGACTTGTTTTTCTTCTTCCAGAGATATTTTATGCATAAGTAAACACATATATATATATATCCCTAACTGTTCTCCTTCTCTTTTTCTTTTTTCTTTTTTTTTTTTGTGACAGGGTCTCACTCTGCTGTTCAGGCTGGAGTACAGTGGCACAGTCATAGCTCACTGCAGCCTTGACCTCTTGGATAGTACCCCACCCCCCTGCCCCAGACTCAGCCTCCCAAGTAGCTGGGACCACAGTCACACACCACCAAACCCAGATCATTTTTAATTTTTTTGTAGAGACAGGGTCTCACTATGTTATTAAATGATCCTCCTGCCTCGGCCTCCCAAAGTGCTGGCATTACAGGAATGAACCACTGAGCCTGGCCCTCTTTCTTTTTTAGAAACCCAAATAGAGGCCGGGCACAGTGGCTCACGCCTGTAATCCCAGCAATTTGGGAGGCTGAGGCGGGTGGATCACGAGGTCAGGACATTGGGACCATCCTGACAAACATGGTGAAACCCTATCTCTACTAAAAATAAAAATACAAAAAAATTAGCTAAGCGTGGTGGCGGGCGCCTGTAGTCCCAGCTACTCTGGAGGCTGAGGCAGGAGAATCGCTTGAACCCGGGAGGCGTAGCTTGCAGTGAGCCGAGATCGTGCCACTGCACTCCAGCCTGGGTGATAGAGCGAGACTACGTCTCAAAAAAAAAAAAAAAACAAAAACCCAAATAGAGGCTGGGCATGGTGGTGCAGGCCTGTAGTCCCAGATGCTGGTAAGGCCAAATTTGGAGGATTGCTTGAACCCAGGAATTTGAGGCTGCAGTGAGCTTTGATTGCACCACTGCACTCCAGCCTGGGTGACAGATTGAGATCCTAACTCAAAAGAAAAAAAAAAGGAGGCCAGGCATGGTGGCTCACGCCTGTAATCCCAGCGCTTGGGAGGCCAAGGCAGGCAGATCATGAGGTCAGGAGTTCGAGATCAGCCTGGCCAACATGGTGAAACCCCATCTCTACTAAACGTACAAAAATTAGTTGGGCGTAGGGGCACGTGCCTATAATCCCAGCTACTCGGGAGCCTGAGGCAGGAGAATTGCTTGAACCTGGGAGGCGGAGGTTGCAGTGAGCCGAGATCGCGCCACTGCACTCCAGCCTGGGTGACAGAGCAAGACTCAATCTCAAAAAAAAAAAAAAAGGCCGCTGTCATCACCACCGAGACCAAGAAGGCCACGAGACTCAGCACCTTCCTCAAGATTTCCTGGGCCAAGGAGCCAGTGCTGGTCTTGTCCTCTGTCATCCGGAGCCTCACTGTAATTCTACCCCCACTTAGTCCCCACACCAAGTACTCCATCATGATCAACGAGGCAAGGCCCTACAACTACCCAGTGCCTGTCTGCAATGATGGGAACATGCCCGATGTGCCCAGCCACCCCCAGGACCCCCAAGGCCCCAGTTTGGAGTGGCTGAAGAAATTGTGAGCACCTCCACTGCCAAAGGAGGACCCTCCCATGGCTCCCACTAGAAATGTGAAAACCAACCTCTCCCTGCTCAAAAAAAAAAGAAAAGAAAAAGAAAAATTGCATTAAATATTTGATCTAGGCCAGGCGCAGTGGCTCATGCCTGTAACTGTAACTCTAGCACTTTGGGAGGCCGAGGCAGGAAGATTGCTTGAGGCCAGGGGTTCAAGACAAAACTGGCCAACAAAATGAGACCTTGTCTTTAAAAAATAAATTCTGGGGCTGGGCGCAGTGGCTCATGCTTGTAACAGCACTTTGGGAGGCCGAGGAGGGGTGGATCACGAGGTCAGGTGTTTGAGACCAGCCTGGCCAACATAGTGAAACCCCGTCTCTACTAAAAAAAAATACAAAAAATTAGCCAGGCGTGGTGGCGGGTGCCTGTAATCCCAGCTACTTGGAGGCTGAGGCAGGAGAATCGCTTGAACCTGGGAGGCAGATATTGCAGTGAGCCGAGATCGCGCCATTGCACTCCAGCCCAGGCAACAGTGCGAGACTCCATCTCAAACAAATATATATAAATATAAATAAATATATATATATATGTAACTTCCTGGCACGATGGCACAGACCTGTAATCCCAGCACTTTGGGAGGCCGAGGCGCGTGGATCAGGAGGTCAGGAATTCAAGACCAGCCTGGCCAAGATGGTGAAACCCTGTTTCTACTAAAAATACAAAAAATTAGCCAGGCGTAATGGTGGGAGCTTGTAATCCCAGATACTCGGGAGGCTGAGGCAGAGAACTGCAAACTCCGGAGGCGGAGGTTGCAGTGAGCTGAGATTGTGCCACTGCACTCCAGCCTGGGTGACAGAGGGAGACTCTGTCTCAAAAAAACAAACAAAAAAATTAAATAAATAAATTAAAACTAACTAACTAAATAAATATCTGGATATCTGAGCTGGGTGCAGTGGCTCATGCCTCTAATCCCAGCACTTGGGAAAGCAAGGCAGGCAGATCATTTGAGGTCAGGAGTTCGAGACCAGCCTGGCCAACATAGGGAAACCTCATCTCTACTAAAAAAATTAGTTGGGTGTGGTGGTGCACATCTGTAATCCCAGGTACTCAGGAGGCTGAGGCAGGAGAATTGCTGGAACCTGGGAAGTAGAGGTTGCAGTCAGCTGAGATTGCAGCACTGCTCTCCAGCCTGGGTGACAGAGTGAGACTCTGTCTCAAAAAAAAATCAATATCTGATATACGTGTTTATTTTTTTATTGAGATGGAGTCTTGCTCTGTCGCCCAGGCTGGAGTGCAATGGCACAATCTCTGCTCACCGCAACCTCTGCCTCCCTGGCTCAAGCAATTCTCCTGCCTCAACCTCCCGAGTAGCTGGGACTACAGATGCGCGCCACCATGCCCGGCCAATTTCTGTATCTCTAGTAGAGATGGGGTTTCACCAGGTCGGTCAGGCTGGTCTCGAACTCCTGACCTCATGATCTGCCCACCTCAGCCTCCCAAAGTGCTGGGATTACAGGTGTGAGCGAACGCATCTGGCCCAATATCTGATATACATGTTAATTGAAACTGGGTGTGGTGGTCACACCTTTAATCACAGCACTTTGGGAGGATTCCCTTGAGCCTAGGAGTTCAAGACCAGCCTGGGCAACATAGCAAGACCCTGTCTCAAAAAAGAAAAATTTAACATTGACTTTCCTGTCAGAGATAGGAAGTAAATAAGACATTTATGGTGAACTTAAAGCACATATGGCAGCTAAAGGTGACAGTGTCTCACTCCAGCTGACCCTTGCCCTATGGAAGTGGGCCTGGAATGGCCCACTATTTTTAGTGTTGGCAACTAGTTAAAAAAATTAAAACATTCGAGGCAGGTGGATCACTTGAGATCAGGAGTTCGAGAACAGCCTGGGCAATATGGTGAAACCCCGTCTCTACTAAAAATAGGAAAATTAGCTGGACATGGTGATGCATGCCTGTAATCTCAGCTACTCGGGAGGCTGCAGCACAAGAATTGCTTGAACCCGGGAGGCAGAGGTTGCAGTGAGCTGAGATCACGTCACTGCACTCCAGCCTGGGTGACAGAGTGAGACTCCATCTCAAAAAAAAAAAAAAAAGAAAGAAAGAAATGGCCATTTGATTTAGTCTTTCAGAGTCACATATTTTTTTTTTTTTGAGGCCGAGTCTCATCTGCCACCATGCCCAGCCCAGAGTCACAGCTGGAGCCTGAACTCTGCCTCAGTGTCTTCCCCACTTGTGCCTTTGTCTTCGCGGTTCTGCCTATTATAGCCTTTCCTCCCTTGCTGCTTGGCAAACTTCTACTTATCCAGTAAGCCTTGGCTTCAGGGTTACCATCTCTCTTTAGTGTTCTGTGGTTGTCCACCTGATGGATGACTTACTCTGCTGGCAGGGTTTCCAGTCTTTGATTCCATGTGATGGCACTTACTACACTCAAGTACACTTTGTGGTCTGTGTGTCTCACCCACATTCACCCACTGGCTGGTCCTGTGGTTTAGGAACTGAGCTTTTTTTTATCCATATCCATCCAGTCGGCCCCATGATTGGAACATACTATGCAGTGCTCAGGCAATGTTTGCTGAAGCGCAGGGGTTAAGAGCAGGCTACCTGGCTTGGGAACCCAGCTTTGCCACTTCCTGTGTAGCTTCAGCATAACTTTCCGTCTTTCTTTTTTTTTAGAGACAGAGTCTTGCTCTACTCTATCATCCAGGCTGCAGTGCAGTGGCGCGATCTCGGCTCACTGCAACCTCTGCCTCCGGGGTTCAAGCAATTCTCCTGCCTCAGCCTCCTGAGTAGCTGGGACTACAGGTGCGCGCCACTATGCCTGGCTAATGTTTGTATTTTTAGTAGAGACGGGGTTTCACCATGTTGGTCAGGCTGGTCTCGAACTCCTGACGTTGTGATCTGCCCTCCTTGGCCTCCCAAAGTGCTGGGATTACAGGCGTGAGCCACCGTGCCCGGTCAACTGCCTGTCTTTCTATGCTTATTTCCTCATCTGTAAAATGTCATCCTTAGCAGGGCGTGGTGGCTCACACCTGTAATTCCAGCAATTTGGGAGGCCAAGGCAGATGGATCATCTGAGGCCAGGAGTTCGAGACCAGCCTGGCCAACATGGTGAAACCCCGTCTCTACTAAGAATACAAACATTAGCTGGGTGTGGTGGCGCACACCTGTACTCCCAGCTACTTGGGAGGTTGAAGTTGTAGAATCACTTGAACGCGGGAGGCACATGTTGCAGTGAGCCGAGACGGCGCCCCTGCACTCCAGCCTGGGTGACAGAGTGAGACAGTGTCCCCCCAAAAAAAAAAAAGATAAAATGTCATCCTCACATCAGCCTTTTGTTGTGAAAAATAAAATCAAGAGTTTACTCAGTCAGAACAGGGCCTGACAGTAAGTCTTGTTAAAGTGTTAGCTATTACATATTATAGATGAGCACAATGTATATCATTATTAAATGTCAGCTTTATTATTATTATTTGTTTTGAGACAGTCTTGCTCTGTTGCCCAGGCTGGAGTGCAGTGGCACGTCTTGGCTCACTGCAACTTCCGCCTCCTGGGTTCAAGCGATTCTCCCATCTCAGCTTCCTGAGTAGCTGGGATTACAGATGCGCGGACGACGCCTGGCTAATTTTTGTATTTTTAGTAGAGACGGGGTTTCACCATGTTGGCCAGGCTGGTCTCGAACTCCTGACCTCGTGATCCACACGCCTCGGCCTCCCAAAGTGCTGGTATTACAGGCGTGAGCCACCGCACCCGGTCAGCTTTATTATTAAATGTTAACTTCATCTGCTTTGTACACGAATGCATACCCAGTGCCCAGAACAGTGCCTGGAACATACTAGGTGCTAAATAAATATTTGTGACTTAATGCATGAATAAGGGTGGACTTCCTTTCTTTTGCTCTCACTGGAGAGTTGAACTCTCCTTCCAAAGGCGGTGGGGTGGATATTGGCATATTCAGGGCCTTTAGGGCTGAAGTCAAGGGCTTAGTGGGGCTTAATTTGTGGGCGGGCCCAGGGCATGGCCCTCATTGTTTCTCTAGAAAGACGTGTCCAACCCTCAAAGGACCTTCTGAAATCCCGCTGAAAGGTTAAGTTGGGAAGGAAAACCTGCATGCCTATGTATCAGGAATTAACGTCTTTTGTCTTGTTTTATTCAGTAGTTTCAAATTGCCTTCTCCAGGCAAGGCTGATGAAAGTGCAAGTTGCAAGTTAATTTGAATGTTTCTTTTTGCTTTTGCTCTCACAGGAAGTGAAAAGGCGACCAAACACTCTAGCATTCATGCCACCAAAAAGAGGAGTGTTTTGCAGTTACAAGACCTGGATTCGAATCACGACTCCTCTTAGCTGCCCTGTAATCAGGCACAATTACTTGGGTCTCTGAGTCTCACTTTCCTTATCTAGAAAACGGAGGTATCTTTACTTCCTTCGTAAGACTGATGACAAGGAAATTATCTGTGCATTTTGAAACCACTTAAGCCTTGTACACGTTTTATTTCTGGGATCGCCCTGGTAGGGCTTCAGAAAAATAAAAAGGAGGTCCCTGAGAAAAGGCTGGGTACCGTACATCTGAGGTCAACCCTCTCTGGTCCCAAGGATGGCCTGGGCTGTTCCGCCCCGTGGCTCCCCAGGGGCAAAGCCATGAGGATCCGGGTGAGAGCCCAGTGCTGGACGAGCCCGGGGCCCAGGGGTCCCGGCCGAAATCCCTGCTGTCTTTCAGGTCAAACGTCATAATCCCCGAACCCCAGAAAGGCCGAAAGGCAAGGCAACCCTGAAAGACGACGAAGTCAACCTCAGGGCGCAGGAGAGGGAGGGCCAGTGTGCTGCCGACGAGGGAGGCTGGAGCCGCGGGGACGAGGCGCCCCATACAGCGGCAAGAGGGTGGAGGGCAGGAGCTCGCCATCCTGGGTGAAAGCGGGGCCCAGCGAAGGGGCCCGGCCACAGGAATCTCGGTTCCACCCCGCTACTCCCGGCTGTGACTCCAGTTTCGTCCCCAGCCGCCGGGACCGCCCCCTCGCCCCGCCCCCAGCGGGCACTCAGGCCGTACCACTGTGCCTTCATGGGGGTGGAGATAGATCGTGGGCTAGTCCTGCCGAGGAGAGAGGGGTTCTTCCTCAAAAAATATGATTATGTATAGTATTCGCATGATTCTAGTTAACTTGTTTCCCTTCTGCCTGCTCGGACCCTCTACCTGCCCTACGAAGGGGGCGGAGTGCGTTCCTGCCTCCCCCTGCTCTTCCGCGTTTGGTGCGCGCCTGCGCGGTGCGTAGGCGGCGGAGCGTACTTAAGCTTCGACGCAGGAGGCGGGGCTGCTCAGTCCTCCAGGCGTCGGTACTCAGCGGTGTTGGAACTTCGTTGCTTGCTTGCCTGTGCGCGCGTGCGCGGACATGGCCTCAAACGGTAGGTAAGGGCGCGAGGCGACGGCGGCGGCGCACCCGGCCGAGGCCTCCCAGCTGGGCTTTTCGTTTTCAGTGGGACCGGGGCGGCGATCCCGTGTGGGATTTTTTGGCGCCCCTGTGGCGGGAAGCCGCGGAGAAGAGTAACTGGAGGAGGCTGGTGTCGCCATTTTGTTTCGCTCCTCTGGCCCTCGCGCGCGGGGCGGGAAGTCTTTTCTTTGCAGTCCGTTTGCTTGGGGTGGGCGTTGGGAGGGACGCTTCTTAGGGGTTTGAAGCGTCAGGTGAGGGTGGAAAACGCCCATTCTCCGTGGCCTCGCCTCCCCCAACTCCCGGCCCCGCGCTCGAGCCCGCTTTGTCGCAGTGCTGCATCCGGGCACTCGCGGCGCGCACGCGCTCTGCGGGCCCCTCCCCCTTCGCGGCGCGGGTACCCCTTCCCCGCCTCGTGTTGGTTCAGCTTTCTGTCGCGAGACCCTTCGCGGAAGACTCGGCGGCGCGCGTCCGGTGTGAGCCTTGTCCCTCAGTGGTCCTTCGCGAATGGGCGGGATCGCTCCGTTCCCGCCTGGGTTGCCACGCGGCTGGGGGCGGAGGCTCGGGATCGGGGCCGCCCTCTAGCTTAACGGTTTGGCGGCGGTGGTCAGGGTTCGACCAACGGACTTGGGGACGGCCCGAGAGTTTTTCCCGCCTAAATTTCTTTCTTTTTTTTTTTGGAGACACGGTCTTCCTCTGTCGCCCAGGCTGGAGTGCAGTGGTGCGATCTCAGATCACTGCAACGTCCACCTCCTGGGTTCAAGTGATTCTTCTGCCTCAGCCTCCTGAGTAGTTGGGATTATAGGCGCCCGCCACCACAGCCCGGCTAATTTTTGTGTTTCTTAGTAGGGGCGGGGTTTCACCATGTTGGTCAGGCTGGTCTCGAACTGCTGACCTCAGGTGATCCGCCCGCCTGGGCCTCCCGAAGTGTCGGGATTACAGACGTAAGCCAACCACGCCTGGTCTAAATTTCTTTTTTCTGAGATAGGGACGGAGAAGAACGGCCGCCCGAGGCCACACCCTCTCCTGGTCCTCTTTCCCTTTTCCTGCGGGGGAAGCGCCGCGTTTCCTGTGCTGGGAGGATGAGTTGATCTTGTTCGTGTATCTTAAGTGGGGCTTTTCAAAAGCGCTTTTGTTGCTTTTTGTTCGCTGGGGGAAGGCAGGGTAGGTGAGAAAACGGAACCATCTGGAGTCCCAGGGCTGGGGACTCGAGTACCTGTTGACTTTCGCCTCCTAAGGCGAGCAGTTGCATGATCTCTGTCATTTGGGGTCCAAGGGCTCTTTTGATTCTCTGGCTTTGCACTAAAAAGCCCACTTCATCTCCGGGATTGGTCAAAGAGTGAAGAATGGCCTTTTTTGAGACTTTCTTATTCTGTGGGTCTGGGCTGAGAGAGCAGAGGCCACAATCTGAACACTGTTCGAATTCAAACCTGTGCCACTTTGGTAGTTCTGCGACGTTGGGAGAGTTAGTCTCTTGACTCCTGGCGATAATGGCTTTCTCATAGAGTGGATGAAACGAATGCGCGATGTTTTAGAGCAATCACTGACATGAATTGGGCTTGCAGAAAATTGTGGATGTCCACCAAGACCTTGGTTTTTCCAATGGTTAAGGCTTCTGGGACTCTGTAGAAACTTGCATTTTCTTCACTTTTTCTTTATTGTAAGAACACTTGGCTGATAACGCCAGTTTGTTCCTCTTCTCAACCAGTGTCTCATGGAGGAATTTTATGCCCTTTGTTGCAACATGGTCCTATTTTTATTTTTTTTTTTGAGATGGAGTCTTGCTCTGTTGCCAGGCTGGAGTGCAATGGCTCACTGCAACCTCTGCCTCCCGGGTTCAAGCGATTCTCCTGCTTCACCTCCCGAGTAGCTGGGATTACAGGCGTGCGCCACCATGCCCGGCTAATTTTTTGTATTTTTATTAGAGATGGGGCTTCACCATGTTGGTCAGGCCAGTCTCGAATTCCTGACCTCAAGTGATCCACCCACCTCGGCCTCCCAAACTGCTGGGATTACAGGCATGATCCACCGTGCCTGGCCTACGTGGTCCTTTTTATTCATCAGTGCTTGAGTTAAGGAATTTAGCTTTAATTCAACTCTTTCAGAGTGGCAGCTGAAGATAATGTGATTGTATTTTTCTTTTGCAGATTATACCCAACAAGCAACCCAAAGGTGAGTGCTATTTTTGGGCTTCCAGAGTTTGTAGAGGGCAAGGGTGGTCACGCCATGTTTTCTGATCACGCTGGTTTTCCTTTTATTTAGCTATGGGGCCTACCCCACCCAGCCCGGGCAGGGCTATTCCCAGCAGAGCAGTCAGCCCTACGGACAGCAGAGTTACAGTGGTTATAGCCAGTCCACGGACACTTCAGGCTATGGCCAGAGCAGCTATTCTTCTTATGGCCAGAGCCAGAACAGTGAGTCTTTCTCAGCGGGTCACCTCTTCCTACTCTTTCTGAATATTGCTTTTCTTTTTCTTGTTTTTTGGAGACGGAGTCTGGTCCTGTTGCCCAGGCTGGAGTGCAGTGGTGCTGTCTCAGCTCACTGCAACATCAGCCTACCGGGTTCAAACGATTCTCCTGCCTCAGCCTCCTGAGTAGCTGGGATTACAGGTACCTGCTACCACGCCTGGCTAATTTTGTGTTTTTAGTAGAGATGGGGTTTCACCGTGTTGGACAGGCTGGTCTGGAACTCCTGACCTCCTGCCTGCCTTGACCTGCCAAAGTGCTGGGATTACAGGCGTCAGCCACAATGCCCTGAATGTTGCTTTTCTTAAACCTGAGCAGCACTGAGATGTTGAAACTGTTCCATATTTCTTTTCCGTGAAACAGTGTATAAGTCTTAAAACTTTTTGGGATCTGAGTCCTTTACAGGGCATTGTGGCACACCTGTAGTCCCAGCTACTGAGGAGGCTGAGGCGGGAGGATCCCTTGAATTCAGGAGTTTGGGGCTGCAGTGAGCTATGATGGTGCCTGTGAACAGCCACTGCATTCCAGCCTGGGCAGTGTGTTGAGGCCCCATCTCAAAAACATAAAAAAAAAAACAAAAAACAAAAATGTTTATTGGTTTGTGATTCTGTTTCCATTTATTTTCTTTGGCTTTTAATTTTTTTGACTCTTCTTATTTTCCATCAGCATGAAAGAGAGCATATTTTCTAAAGGAAGAACCAGTTTTAGGCCAATTCTGAAATGGAGAAAATGGTTTTGTTTGAAAATGTATGAAATCATGTGATACATAAGGAGGTGGGATTTGCCCCAAGGTCCTGAAGTGTAACTAAGAAAGGTGGTTGTCCTGTAGATACTGCACGCACAGCTGCATATTACAGTGCTGTTAACAGGGATCCTTGGGCCTGGGTTTAGAGGGTGGTGCTGGAGATGGTGTTGGGATTGGCGGGGTGAAATTGGAACTGTACTAAAGAGTTGGTAGAAGTTGAAGCATTAAATTTAGGCTTTGAAAGGAGGGTAACTATCTTTGCCTATGAGTTGCAACATCACTAACAGCTTCTGAGAGGCTGGCTTTATGAGTATAGGTATTATGTTTTCTTTAACCCATTCCTTACATTTTCTCTTTCCTGGTGGCTTTTGTGACTCCCTTTTTCTTATCCTGGTAGCAGGCTATGGAACTCAGTCAACTCCCCAGGGATATGGCTCGACTGGCGGCTATGGCAGTAGCCAGAGCTCCCAATCGTCTTACGGGCAGCAGTCCTCCTACCCTGGCTATGGCCAGCAGCCAGCTCCCAGCAGCACCTCGGGAAGGTACGGTGGTGTTGATGTCGGGGAAGGCTTGAAAAGAGGGGTGAATTGATGAGGAATGATAAAGGGACCAGCAGTAGGAGCAGTTCAGAGGTGTAATTGGGGTAGGGGAGCCTGTGTTGGGTACAGAGAATGGACTCCACTAAAAGTGAAAGGAAATTGGGGGCTATGCTGGGATTGTGATTGTGTTTTTTGTTTGTTTTCCCTAGTTACGGTAGCAGTTCTCAGAGCAGCAGCTATGGGCAGCCCCAGAGTGGGAGCTACAGCCAGCAGCCTAGCTATGGTGGACAGCAGCAAAGCTATGGACAGCAGCAAAGCTATAATCCCCCTCAGGGCTATGGACAGCAGAACCAGTACAACAGCAGCAGTGGTGGTGGAGGTGGAGGTGGAGGTGGAGGTGAGATGTCTTCAGCTTTGTCTGCAGCCCATTTTCTTTTTCTTTTTTTTTTTTTTTTTGAGACGGAGTCTTGCTCTGTCTCTGTTGCTGAGGCTGGAGTGCAGTGGCACAATCTCGGCTCACTGCAAGCTCCGCCTTCCGGGTTCGCGCCAGTCTCCTGCCTCAGCCTCCCGAGTAGCTGGGACTACAGGCATCCGCCACCACGCCCGGCTAATTTTTTGTATTTTTAGTAGAGACGGGGTTTCACCATGTTAGCCAGGATGGTTTCGATCTCCTGACCTTGTGATCCGCCCGCCTTGGCCTCCCAAAGTGCTGGGATTACAGGCGTGAGCCACTGTGCCTGGTGTCTGCAGCCCATTTTCTATAAGGATTTGTATTCTCCTGTTTTAGCTTAAAAGAGGGTTCCTGTCTTGTTTCCTAGCTGTCTTTTTACTTTCTTTTGTCCTTCATTGCCTGGCACTTGTCAAACCTTTTCAAACCTTTTAGTGCTACTTTACAATCTTTTTGTTTTTTTTTTTTAATCATTCTTTCTTTTCTCACAGGTAACTATGGCCAAGATCAATCCTCCATGAGTAGTGGTGGTGGCAGTGGTGGCGGTTATGGCAATCAAGACCAGAGTGGTGGAGGTGGCAGCGGTGGCTATGGACAGCAGGACCGTGGAGGCCGCGGCAGGGGTGGCAGTGGTGGCGGCGGCGGCGGCGGCGGTGGTGGTTACAACCGCAGCAGTGGTGGCTATGAACCCAGAGGTCGTGGAGGTGGCCGTGGAGGCAGAGGTGGCATGGGGTAGGTGTCTCATGAGCCAGGGAGTATCTTTGGTGGGGAGTGTGGAGGATTGCATGAATCTCCCTGAAGCCAGTCCCTAGTGCATGGTTTAGTATTCTTGTTGTCTAGGGATCTGTGAGGGCTTTGATTTGGGGGCAGTGACTTTCTTTTTACATCCCCATTTTATTTTTGTGAGAACTTGGGAGCCTGAACTCCCATCCATACCACTGAATAGAGATTTTGAGTAATGATACTTGTTTCCAAAAAAAAAGAAACCATACATAGATACGTATGGATTGGAGTCATTAATATCCTAGGCAAGAAACATGGAAGTGAAGACTTCTTTCTCTGCAAGGGAAACCGATGATCCCACTCCTGGGAAATAGTAGGGAAACTTGGTATGTGTATTCCCATGTGTCCTCTAGGGAGTTGGTAATGGTTAACCTGACTTCAGCTTCCAGGAATTGGCTACTCTTCCCGTTTTCTATAGTCATTTGAATCCACGAGCTTGATTTGCACTAATTTGACCGACATTGATTTTGTGTGTGACTTGGTTTATGGGGCCAGCTGACTGAAGTAAGCAGACCTTTTGGGCAAAAATATGCTTTGACAGTGGTCTCCCACCTATTTGTTCCACTGTCTGCCTTCCCCTGGTTACTTAAAATTCATCAGCTTGTCCAACTGGACCTTCTTTCCTTCCTGCTGAAGTTGATTTGAAGTAAAACCTTAGATTTGATGTTAAAACAGTTGTCAAATCTGTTGGTAAATAAGATTTGAAGGACCCTACTCTGTCTCCCTTGAAAAAGGGGAGGAATGTCAGTGTTACTGTTTTTGGAAAAAGTAGATTTTTAAACCGAGTTTGGAAATGGTAAGTATGCAGAGGTGGGTGGGGGCAATCTCAAAAACGTGCAAAAATGAGGAAAACAAAAATGAGGAAATGTGTGCGTGTGTTTAATGCAAAACTTTAAAAAGAAAAACAACTGTTATGTGACTGTTAACTTGCTCTGCATTTTATGTGCCACAGGTATGAAAGGTGACATTGCAAAATACTCCGCTCTTCTCGCAGTGTAGAAGGGGTGACCCCGGGGGTTGGGGGAGATCAAAAACAGCTCAGTAGTTAGGACAGAGCTTAGCTAAGTTTGTCTTGCTTTAAGGGGAAGTTGCCTTTGGTTTTGACTTTTTATGGAATGGGGTTGGGTCTGCTTGCTGCTTTCAAAGCAAAAACCACAAAAATGTGTTCAAGGCTACCCCAGCCTGGTGTGAAATGTCTTCTGGGTAAATTGGGGTAGGGTTTTTAAACCAACTACTTGGTTGTCAACCACTTGCGACAAGAGGAAAAAAAAACATCTGCTCCATCGGAAGAACGACCAAGGAAAATGGGTTATTTTTTTTCCAGAGGAAATAGATAACGTAACCTTTTAAAGCAAAATCTTTATAAACTGTGTCTGAGAAATTGCACACGTGTGTGTGACATGCTCAAAGGTCAGACAAGGGGTGGTCAGGAAGGGATGTATTTTAGTAGCCACTTGTATCTTTTTCCAAAAACACCTACCCATGTTTGGGGAATGTTAAACAAAATCAAAAAACAACCTTTTGTAGCCGTTGGAAGCTTCATGTCCTTTCTTCTAACTTGTCTTCTCCAGCGGAAGTGACCGTGGTGGCTTCAATAAATTTGGTGGTAAGTGAACAGAGTTTCCAAAATTCCCAACTCCCAGCAATGCTTTGTCTGATTGTTCATTTGCAGATGTCTTAGCGTGTTAATTTAAATGTCAAAGGTTTTGAGGTGTCCAGAACCACCTCCAGAAAGGGGTAGGGTAGAATGCCACCTGTTGCCTGGTGTGTGCTAACCTGGAGCAGGTAGGGGTAAGACTCAATAGTCATCTTTTACCAAATGGGTTTGCCCCAGGTTAATAAGAGGGGTCTAGTAGGCCTTGGACTGGGCCGTTGCCACACCTGGCACTTAGTGACCATCATCATGAGAAACTGGAGAGTGCGTGCTGGAACACGTGGTGCCATCTTGGCTTTAGGATCCTTTTGATCGTTGTGTCCAAGGCTTGTGTGTGTGTGAGTGTGTGGGAGACAACTCCGAATGTTTAATTCTGGAAGAGGGATGTAACATTGCCCTGAGGATGGTGAAGTTGGTATACATTTATAAAGTACGGAATGGTGTCAATGAATGCAATTCTATGTATATGGACTTAACTGAGATGGGCAAATAGAAACTAGCTCTGGGAAGGAACATGTGCACTACTTCAAGAAAGATTGGAAGCATGTGTGGCTCATGGGAAATAACCAGGTCTTAAACAGCACAAACTGAATTCGTGGACCAGGAAGGTCTTAAACAGCACAAACTGAATTCATGGAAAAATGACAAATTTGAGAAGTCTCCCAGTAAGCTGGAACTTTTCTGGTTTGGTTAACAAAAGGTTTCTTGATTTGTTTCAAGATTTAAAGCCAAAGGTGTGGGTTCATGACTTAGGTGTCATTGCGTGTGGGTACAATATTTATATATGGCGAATTCAGATAAACATTGGTCAAAGATGGTCTCTGGAAAAACAAAATAGAGGCTGCATTACGGAAATAAGATTTCTGGTCTGTTCCCTGGGACATGCTTAAAAAATACAATAGCTATTATGTATGGTTTTTATTTTCATGTGGTTTCGGGGAAACAACACGGTTTTAAGGATGGTTTCTAAAGATGAAATTAAAAATTGTTCCACAAGGGTTAAGTGTCTGGTGGTAAAGTTGGGAGAAACTGGATGGATGCACATCGCATGGCTGGTGGCGAGCCCATCTCTCTTCTCTCGGGTGAGAGAACCGGGCCAAGCTGAGTTGGTTTGTTCACTTTAATGGGTCTCCGTTTCCCCTGCCACCTGTGCTGAGGACATTTCCCAGCCTGAGCTGGGGGAGGCAGCATTTGCTGAAGTGTGGAGTTGTCTCTGTGGAGACTCAAGTTACAGATCTTAAGGGGCCTGCCTAGAATTTTCTCCTCTGGGCAGGCGACCCAGGAAAGGGTTTGGAGTGAGGCTGTGAGCACTTACTTGATATTTTACAAGTTTGGATTTGGTGTTAATTTTTTTCCTTGTCCGTTTTTTCCTGTTGACTAACGGCTCATCTTTTCCTTGTTTTTGTTTTTTTTTTGTTCTTTTTTTCCATGTCACTAAAGGCCCTCGGGACCAAGGATCACGTCATGACTCCGGTGAGTTCACACGTGGTGGCATGAAAAGAGTGGCTAAAGTGGTATCAAGACTGCCTGGATGTTCTTTGAAACTATTATAAAAAGGAAACTGAAAAAAATGGGGATAGAGAAGGAAGGGAGTTAGGTGTGTCCTTAGTTAGCAGTGAGAAGTATTTGTTACGAAGTATTTCTCAGAAATACCTGGCTTGTGGGTTCCACCCCCAGTGATTTAGGTCTGAGAGGACCCTGAAAATCTACCTTTCTAACAAGTCCCCAGTGATGCTGATGCGTCTGGACCACACTCAGATGGTTTACAGCAGTGGTTCTTTCAAAATGTGGATCATGTCCAAGTTGGTGAACAAAACTAGTGAAAGACCTGACCACATGAAGTAAAGCATTGAACTCCTGTTTAGGTTGTATTGATGTTTGTGTACTAGATTTGAATGTAAAATGGGTTTCTTATTTAATTCGGGGACCTTCAACTGAAAGTTGATAAATACTGATGGACTTTTCTGTGTGGTCTTGTTGGGCATTTCACTCCTGAGCCCTGGTTTCCATACTGTATACTGGGTGTTAACATGTTTCAAAGGATAATTGTCAAACTGAATCTGAAATTTATCAGCATGGCTGGCATATAGGGACTCAAAAGGGATGTGGATTTCTTTTTAGTTGTCTTCCATAAACCAAATGATACCAGTTGCTTGATGGATACTAGGTGCTTTAGGTTTTTTCCTGTGTTTTTTATTTTACCTTTTCACATTTGCATTTTCTCTGTTCAACAAGCAGAACAGGATAATTCAGACAACAACACCATCTTTGTGCAAGGCCTGGGTGAGAATGTTACAATTGAGTCTGTGGCTGATTACTTCAAGCAGATTGGTATTATTAAGGTACTTGTGGAGAGGAGTGGGAGCTTTCTGTCAGTGTTGTAGGCTTGTGGATTTCACACATTAGTAAAAGCAAGTCTTTAATGGTTGCCAGCAGTAAAAACAAGTCTTAGTGGTTGTTGCCAGCTTAATTTGTTGAGGAAAGAGCCTTAGTTACTGTTTTCTAAAAGAGAAGTTCTATCTTAACACAAAAAGTATAACTTATCAGAGTACCCTAAACTCTTGAGATTTGTACTCTATAGTAACTTTTAGTTTTATCTTTCAATATTGGAGTGAGAGACAGTTTTCTTTAATGGAGGTTTACATGTGAGGTAGGAAGAAGTAACTGGGAAGAGGGGAGCTGAAGTTTGGGAATTATAAACCTCATGTTCTAGAGGAAGAAGATGGAAAGGGAGTACTGTAGCCTTTAAAATTGATGTTACCTCATTTTGCTTTCTTCAGACAAACAAGAAAACGGGACAGCCCATGATTAATTTGTACACAGACAGGGAAACTGGCAAGCTGAAGGGAGAGGCAACGGTCTCTTTTGATGACCCACCTTCAGCTAAAGCAGCTATTGACTGGTTTGATGGTATGTATGAGAAGGCTGGCAGAGGTGGGGCTGGGGATATAGGGCAGCAAGCCTTAGGAAACAAGCCATAGTTTGAGGGTTCTTTTGAGTCTTCCAACACTTACTTTAGCTGCGGTTTCAGGTAGTCTCATTTTTGCTTATGTGTCAGCAGATTATAAACCATTTGAGAAAGGCACGCTTCTCTTGTATTTTCGGATTAATGTGTCTTGCATTTAAAGTCTGTTGATGATTTTTTGTTTCTCTAGGTAAAGAATTCTCCGGAAATCCTATCAAGGTCTCATTTGCTACTCGCCGGGCAGACTTTAATCGGGGTGGTGGCAATGGTCGTGGAGGCCGAGGGCGAGGAGGTGAGGAGCTACCTGCTAGTGGTGCAGAGGGGTAATGGGGAGAGTGCAGAAGATGGTAAAGGCTTGCATGGAATGGGTTAGATTTACCAAACTTGGAGAGGGAGCAGACCCATACTTGGTCTATCTGCATTAGGACCCATGGGCCGTGGAGGCTATGGAGGTGGTGGCAGTGGTGGTGGTGGCCGAGGAGGATTTCCCAGTGGAGGTGGTGGCGGTGGAGGACAGCAGCGAGCTGGTGACTGGAAGTGTCCTAATCCGTGAGTGAAACTTAATTTTTTTCTTAGTTCTCTTGCATGCGTGCTCTTTGATATATTGGTACTGAGGTATGTGCGTGTTTTCCAAAGAAGTAAATGTCAAGGCCACACTGTTGGGGTCAGATTTAGCCAAAAGCTTACCTAGGTAAGGTTGATGTAATGGGAAAGGTAATGGATTGGGTTCAGTAATACTGATTTTTGTTCCTGACTCTGAGAAGCAAGCCGTTTTGTCTTTCTGAAGCTTCAGTTTCCTCACTGTATCTCTAAAGTCACCGTAGTTTCTTCCTAGTTCTAGGTCTTGCCTATTCCCCATCGCTCCAGACTGATTGTCTTCCTTTCTCCTTAGCACCTGTGAGAATATGAACTTCTCTTGGAGGAATGAATGCAACCAGTGTAAGGCCCCTAAACCAGATGGCCCAGGAGGGGGACCAGGTGGCTCTCACATGGGTAAGAAAGGCAGACCTGGTGCTAGGGAGCTGGGACCAAAGAATCCTTAATTTTTCAGCGGGGAGGCTCGGGGAACATAGGGGAATGGGAATATGATAGATCTTGTTTCTTTTGTCCTAGGGGGTAACTACGGGGATGATCGTCGTGGTGGCAGAGGAGGCTATGATCGAGGCGGCTACCGGGGCCGCGGCGGGGACCGTGGAGGCTTCCGAGGGGGCCGGGGTGGTGGGGACAGAGGTGGCTTTGGCCCTGGCAAGATGGATTCCAGGTAAGACTTTAAATCAGAATAAAAAAGTAGAGCAGTTGAACAGAGGCCATAGGATAACAGGGTTTTGTTGAGAAAGTGGTTTCATTTTGAGGGCTAGGTGGAAAGACCTGAGGTTGTAACCAGTAGTGGAGAGGGAAGGAAAATTAACTCAGGGGGAGTGAATCTGTAGACCCACTTGAGATAAGATACTCGCTGGGTTAGGTAGGAGGGGCAGATAGGATATCTAGGCTTGGAGAGGCTGGTAACTCAAATATAATGGATACTTAATTTTTTTTTTTTTTTTTGCAGGGGTGAGCACAGACAGGATCGCAGGGAGAGGCCGTATTAATTAGCCTGGCTCCCCAGGTTCTGGAACAGCTTTTTGTCCTGTACCCAGTGTTACCCTCGTTATTTTGTAACCTTCCAATTCCTGATCACCCAAGGGTTTTTTTGTGTCGGACTATGTAATTGTAACTATACCTCTGGTTCCCATTAAAAGTGACCATTTTAGTTAAATTTTGTTCCTCTTCCCCCTTTTCACTTTCCTGGAAGATCGATGTCCCGATCAGGAAGGTAGAGAGTTTTCCTGTTCAGATTACCCTGCCCAGCAGGAACTGGAATACAGTGTTCGGGGAGAAGGCCAAATGATATCCTTGAGAGCAGAGATTAAACTTTTCTGTCATGGGGAAAGTTGGTGTATAAATGAGAAATGAAGAACATGGGATGTCATGAGTGTTGGCCTAAATTTGCCCAGCTATGGGGAATTTTTCCTTTACCACATTTATTTGCATACTGGTCTTAGTTTATTTGCAGCAGTTTATCCCTTTTTAAGAACTCTTTGATCTTTTGGCCCTTTTAATGGTGAGGCTCAAACAAACTACATTTAAATGGGGCAGTATTCAGATTTGACCATGGTGGAGAGCGCTTAGCCACTCTGGGTCTTTCACAGGAAGGAGAGTAACTGAGTGCTGCAGGAGTTTGTGGAGTGGAGTCAGGATCTAGGAGGTGAGTGACTCCCTTCCTAGCTGCCCTGGTGAACAGCGCTTGGGTAGATACCTGCTATAAGGAGACTGGTCTGGCTGGGTTACTTTCACATCCTGCCTGTACTCAGAGGGCTTGAGGTCATTGACATTATGAGATTTTAGGCTTGATCCCTTTTTGATTGGAGGGTGGAAGGCCCTCCTAAGGGAATGATAAGTGATAAGAGGGGGAAGGGGTTGCAGCCAATGAGTTAAAACCTTAGAGCAGTGCTCCTCAGCCTCTTACCATGTGGTTGTAAACTTGCACGTACCTGCCAACCAGTTATTTAGCATGCTTTTTATTTTAGTTACACAGAGCGTAACATTAACCCAAGAGCAGAAAGGTTTTATTTACAGGGTTTTCGAACTTGGTTTGTAAGACAGCTGCCATCACAAGCATAGCTTACAAATGTGCTGGGGACCCCTAATTGGGAAGTGCTTTCCTCTCAAATTTTTATTTTTTATTTTTAGAGACAGAGTCTTGCTCTGTCATCCAGGCTGGAGTGCAGTGGCGTGATCTCGGCTCACTGTAGCCTCTGCCTCCTGAGTTTAAGCGATTCTCCTGCCTCAGGAGAATCCCAGCTTCTGAGTAGCTGAGACTACAGGCGTGGGCCACCATGCCCACCTAGTTTTTGCATTTTTAGTGGAGGTGTGGTTTCACTGTGTTGGCCAGGCTGGTCTCTTAACTCCTGACCTCAGGTGATCCACCTGCCTTGGCCTCCCAAAGTGCTGGAATTACAGGCATGAGCCGCTGCATCTGGCCATCCTCTCAAATTTTCAAGTGTTCCACAAGTATGTTCTCTACTGAAGAGTTGCTGCATCCTTGAATCTTGGGTGATTTGAGGCACAGAAACTATGACTTTATTTTTTGAGATGGAGTTTTGCTCTTGTTGCCCAGGCTGGAGTGCAATGGCACGTTTTTCGGCTTACCGCAACTGCCGCCTCCTGGGTTCAAGCGATAGCTGGGATTACAGGCATGCGCCACCATGCCCAGCTAATTTATTTGTATTTTTAGTAGAGACGGGGTTTCTCCATGTTGGTCAGGCTGGTCTCGAACTCCCGACCTCAGGTGATGTGCACACCTCAGCCTCCCAATAAACCATGACTTTTAAGAGGAATAGCAGGTTTACTTCCCCTGCCAGCATTGGGGTGCTCTCTAAGCAACAGTAGGCGGAGAGTGGTCTGGCGTATTAAAAACAAAGGATCGTCAAGTGGGCCTTCCCAGGCATTGCTTTGACTTAGTACATGTAGAGGATGTGGCAGTTCTCTCCGTCCCTGCCACTGCTGGTTTCTTTGTTAAATGTTTAGTTGAAATGGCCTGATACGATATTTGAGTAGTTCACTGTTGGTGCTTTGCCTAGCAGGATTCTAATCTTGCTTTGGTTGTGGTCCCCTGATGCCCTCCTGTTAGGAGTGGAGGAGGTCGAAGCTCCTTGTAAGATATGATTACTGGGACCATTAGTGTCAAGTTCCTGTGTCCTTCAAATGGCATATGTGATTGGCCTTGACCTTAAAAGGAAATAGGGTCCCAGGTGACTGTTTAGTGGGTAGGTCCAGTTTGGGGGGATCTTCCAGGAGAATGGATAGAGACACCTAGCAGCAGAGAGAACATTGGTGCCTCTCAAGCCAACCTCCCACCTCAGCCTCCCAAGTAGCTGGGACTACAGGTGCTTCCTCGCTACCACACCTGGGTAATTTTTTTTTTAATTACTTTTTTTTTTTTAAGAAACAGGGTTTCACTGGGTTGCCCAGGCTGGTCTTGAACTGGCCTCAAGTGACCTGCCTGCCTCAGCCTCCCAAAGTGCTGGGATCACAGGTGTGACCCACTGCGTTTGGCCAGAATACTCTATTCTTACTGAATGATTGAAATCTGTCTTGAAGCATTAGGTGTCCCATTTTTGTGAGTTGGAATTGGGACAGGCTAAGTAGGAAGTGAGGAGGGTGGGGAGAGCTGTGCTGTAGGTCTGTTTGTCCCTTCCTTGATGTAGCCTTCAGTTAGCCCTTTCAGCTTTTTTCCCCATCTTGTGCCGGGCCTTCCTGGGTTTCAGTACTTGGATGTAGGGCTGCAGTTATGTCAGTGGTGGGTAGATTGACCAGGAATTAAGGTCTAGGGTCCAGCCCATGTGAGACTTGACTCACTGATCTACCTTTAGGCATGTCTTCCTTCCAGTCTCATCCTTTTTAAATTTTTTTTTTTTTTTTGAGACGGTCTCACTCTCACCCAGGCTGGATTGCAGTGGTGTGATCTCGACCAACTGCAACCTCTGCCTCCCACCCGCAAGCTATCTGCCCACCTCAGCCTCTGGAGTAGCTGGGACGGGACTACAGGCACCTGCCACCATGACTGGCTAATTTTTTTTTGTATTTTTTGTGGAGATGGGGTCTTGCCATGTTGCTCAGGCTGGTCTGGTCTCAAAACTGCTCTGGGCTCAAGTGATTGTCCCACTTTGGCCTCCCAGAGTGCTGGGATTAAGGTGTGAGATACTGTGTCCGGCTATGAAAATTTTATTTTTAATTAACTTGTATATATTTATGGGGTACAATGTCCTATTTCTGTACATGTACACATTGTGGAATCAAATCAGGCTAATATATCCATCACTTCATATCATTAGCATGAATGAGAACATACAAAGCCACTCTTAGAAAATTTTGAAATTTATGTTATTTCAGCCCTTTTATGCTGGAGGTTGCAAATGTTTTGTGAATAATCAGACCAAAAATAAAAACAAAAAATGATTGACTTCAGTCATTCAGTAAGAATAGTGTGTTCTGGCCGAGTGTGGTGGGTCACACCTGTAATGGAGCACTAGGCGTAAATGGGTTGAAACGGGTCTCCCTATGTTGCTCAGGCTGGACTTGAACTCCTGGGCTTAAGTGATCTTCTTGCCCTTAGCCTCTCAGCTGGGACTATGGATGCATGCCACTGTGTCTCACGTTTTTATGAACTGTAGTCACCATGCTGTGCAGTGGCTTACCAGAACTCATTTCTTGCATCTGAAGTGTTGTACCCTTTGTCTCCCTGCTTACCCATACCTCCAAGCCTCTGGTAACCCCCATTCTACTTTCAGTTTCCGAGTTTGACTTTCTAGATTCCGTGTATAAGTTCATGCAGTCTTTCTGTGGCTTATTTTAGCATAATGTCTTCTAGATTTATCGATTCACCCATGTTACAAATAACGGTTTCCTTTTAAAAAGCTGAATAGCATTCTGTTGTGTCTACATACCACATTTAAAAATCCATCCGTTAATTGGGCACTTGGGTTGCTTGCATATCTTGGCTAGTGTGAATAACGCTGCATTGGGTGGGAGTGCAGACATCTCTGACGTACAGATTTCTTTTTTCTTTTTTGGAGACAGAGTCTTGCCCTGCCACCCAGGCTGGAGTGCAGTGGTAGGATCTTGGCTCACTGCAACCTCTGCCTTCCAGATTCAAGTGATTCTCCTGCCTTAGCCTCCCAGGTAGCTGGGATTACAGGTGTGCACCACCATGCCCAGCTAACTCTTGTATTTTTAGTAGAGATGGGGTTTCTCCATGTTGGCCAGGCTGGTCTCAGTGGGCCCCAGCGATCCTTCCGCCTCGGGCTCCTGAATGACTGGGACTACAGGTGTGCTACTGCACCTGGCTATTTTGAAATAATTTGACTTAGAAGAATATTTCTACAATTGTGTTCACCTTCTTATGCAAATACAATCTTCAGTGGCGCTGGCATATACAAGCTGAGAAAGTATTGTCAAGTGGGTTGTGCCAGCACATCTGACCAGGATTTTTTGTTGTAGAAATATTGGATCCTCACCTGAGGCCAGGAGTTTGAGACCAGCCTGGCTAACATGGTGAAACTCCGACTCTACTAAAAATACAAAAATTAGCTGGGCGTGGTGGCAGGTGCCTGCAGTCCCAGCTGCTCGGGAGGTTGAGGCAGGAGAATCGCTTGAACCCAGGAGGCGGAGGTTGCGGTGAGCCGAGATCGCGCCGCTGCACTCTAGCCTGGGCAATGAAGTGAGACTCTGTCTCAAAAAACGAAGTATTAGATCCTCAATCTCAAGGTATTCTAAGAAATTTTGGAGACCATTGAGTCTAAAATTCCCAGTATCTTTGAGGCAGGAACAGACTTGGAGAATGTAGTTTATGAGCAGGAGTTTGGAGCTGGAAGAAATACTGCTTTCTGTTGGTGGTTAATGCTGTCAGCTCCTTGGATTGTGGCTTTAGCCCTAAATATTGGGGCAGTAGAGACTCTTACCTGGAAAACAATTGAGGGCCACCCATGTTAGCGGCAAGAGGCAGAGGAAAGCTTGGATGGTTGGGCTGAAGATGGTGGATGTGCTGTCCCTGTGAGAGTGCTGATGCTGGACTCTGGAGCCAACGACAAAGTGTTTGAGCAAGCAGGGTCCAAGCAAGGGCAGTCGAGGGCCGGATGAAGTGGGCAGGAACCGAGTTTCCCAGGTGACATCCTGCCTGTGCTCATCACGCCGAGGGGTGTTGCACAATCACACCGATTCTTTGTCACTACTGAGTGCAGTGTTCTTAAGAATGGGGACCTGGCAGCTGGGTGCGATGGCTTGTGCCTGTAATCCCAACACTTTGGGAGGCTGAAGTAGGCAGATCACGAGGTCAGGAGTTTGAGACCAGCCTGGCCAACATAGTGAACCCTGTCTCTACTAAAAATACAAAAAATTAGCCAGGCCTGGTGGCAGGCACCTGTAATTCCAGCTACTCGAGAGGCTGAGGCAGGAGAATCGCTTGAAACCGGGAGGTGGAGGTTGCAGTGACCCAAGATCGTGCCATTGCCCCCTGGCCTGGGCGACAGTGCGAGACTCTCAAAAAAATAAGTAAATAAATAAAAGGAGACCTAGGCTTGTTGTGCTTGTTTTTTGGTTTTGATTTTCCAGAGTTTGAGGGAAAGTTGACCCATCCTGTTTATTGTGCCCTTGAGGAGGAAACAAGGCAAATCCCTACTCTTGTGGGCAGGGGTGCGCAAACCTGTCAGTCTGAGATGGCTAGAACCACATCCTCTATAACTTGAGGGGGATAATCTATCTATCTATCTATCTATACCTATATATATACACACACACACACAGATTAAAAAAAATATATATATATACAGAGGAATCCTCCCTTACCTATGGTTTCATCTTACACAGTTTCAGTACAGTATAATAATCTCCTGTGCTTAATTTATAAATTGAACTTTATAATTTGTCAACATATGGATTCTAGCTCAGTAGGTCCAGGTGGGGCTCAAGATACGCATTTCAGGCCAGGTGCGGTGGCTCATTCCTGTAATCCCAGCACTTTGGGAGGCCGAGGTGGGAGGATCACTTGAGCCCAGGAGTTGAGACTAACCTGGGTAACAGCAACATTTTGTCTACCAGAATTTTAAAAAATTGGGCGCGGTGGCTCACACCTGTAATCCCAGCACTTCGGGAGGCCAAGGTGGGCAGCTTGGCCAACATGGTGAAAGCCCACCTCTACTAAAAGTACAAAATTTAGGCAGGTGTGGTGGCATGCACCTGTAATCCCAGCTACTTGGGAGGCTGAGGCAGGAGAATTGCTTGAACCTGGGAGGTGGAGGTTGCAGTGAGCTGAGATCATGCAACTGCACTCAAGCCTGGGTGACAGAATGAGACTCCATCTCAAAAAAAAAAAAGTGTGGTGGCATGTACCTGTGGTCCCAGCTGGAGAGGTTGAGGCTGCAGTGAGCTGTGTTCCCACCACTGCACTCCAGCCCGCAGGCCTGGGAAACAGAACAAGACTGTCCCCCTGCCCTCCCCGCAAAGCATTTCTGACAGGCTTTCTGGTGATAATGATGCTGTTGGTTCAACACCTCTCAGAGTAACGTTCTAGAGTTTGGCAGAGTCAAATTATTTCTGAAGGGGAACTTTGTACAAAACTTTCATCTTTCTCCCTCTCTCACCCCCCTGTTTTATTTTTTTGAGACAGGGTCTTGCTCTGTGGCCCAAGCTGGAGTGCAGTAGCATGATCACAGCTCACTGCAACCTCCAATTCCTGGGCTCAAGTAATTCTCCCACCTCAGCCACGGTGGCTCGGACTACAGGCATGAACCACCATGTCCAGCTAATTTTAAAAATTATTTTGTGGAGATGAGGTCTCACTGTGTTGTTCAGGCTGGTCTTAAACTCTTGAGCTCAAGCAATCCTCTCTGCTCGGCGTCCCTAAGTGCTAGGATTATATTTCTATATAAAATGCTGGCTAGGAGCTAAGGAAAAGGAAGACAGGGCCCTGCGTGTGGGTTTTTGTAATTAGCAGAGGCCCAGTCAACACTGGCTTCTGTTCTGTTTTTTTTTTTTTAAGTCTTGTGAAGCTTAAATGGGAGGTTTGAGCAAAAAAGAGGATGCTGTCCTCTTTGTGGGATTTTTGCTGGTGTGGGGAGATCTGGACCATCATGGAGGGAGTTCTCAGCACAGGGATGGGATTTGGTTCCTGCAGGGCCTCAGAGAAGCATGGGAAAGCCCTTCAGGTGTTAGGGGAAGGTGATTTTGAGTTGTTCCTTCACTTTGTTGAATGTCTCTGAAATCCAGTTCTGGGGCTTGGCAGGAATGTTGCCGCTTGCAGTGGCTGCCGTTCAGCTTATCTGGGATGTGTCCCAAGATGCTGGAGTTGTCTGGGGCCATCCAGACTGGGGCTGGGATTTCCACACCCATGGAGCCACGACTAGGACTGGGAGTGACAGAACGAGTTTGGGGGTGCTGCCAGAGGGGCACTCTAGATTGTTCTTGGGATAGCACAGGTTCCCAGATACAGTTCTAAGCCATTGAGGGGCTAGGAGCAGAATCGTCTTAGTGGAGGTGATTGCTAACTCTGAGGTGTACTTGCCATGAGCCAGTTGCTGTTAGGGGATGAGCTGATTCCTGTCACTCCCACTTTAGAGGGGATGCTGACACAGCTAGTGAGAGGTGGGGCAGGGACTTGAACCTCTATTCTTTAGCTATAGAACTTCTGTCCTTAACCACTATGCTATGCCTAAAATCTGAGGAGACTTCTGGTAGGACTCTTTCTCCCACAGCCCAAAGGAAAAAGGAAGCCCCAAGAAATGTTTTATCTTAGGGAAACTTTCTTGGAACCACTTCCTTCCCTCAGGCCTGCACTGGTTTTTGTAGTGACTCTAAGGATGTCTGTCATGCAAGGATGTGTTACCTATGGCCCCATGTCAGGAGAATGATTAGGTTCCTGTGAAGTTTAAAAAAAATCCTGTTAGATACTAGAGATACACAGTAACTGCCATATATTACTTTCTACATGCAAGGCACTTGTACAGAGGTTGAAAAGATGTCTCCATTTAAGCGTCCATTTAAGCAGGGGAGTGGTGGAGTCTTCTGTGAAGGTAGACCAGCACATGGTTTGCATTGCCACAGAGACACTGGGAAGAGCCTCTGAAACCCAGAGGAACGCATGCGTATGGGCAGTCTGGGGCAGGTAGAAGATGTCAAGGTGTCCAGAGATAAAGGGGTCAGCATGTGCAAGGGCACCTGGTATGAGCAGATAGTGGTGGGATCGTGGGTATGTGAGGAGAGGAGAGGTTGCATGGGGTTAAGTGCCAGGTTAGGAGGAGAGTTTAGGTGTCCTGTTAAAAATGACAGTCAGCTGGGCATGGTGGTATGCACCTGTAGTCCCGGCTATTCAGGAGGCTGAGGCTGGAGGATTGCTTGAGCCCAGGGGTTTGAGGCTGCAGTGAACCATG
The DNA here is from genome assembly GCF_000001405.40 of Homo sapiens. Taxonomy (NCBI): domain Eukaryota; kingdom Metazoa; phylum Chordata; class Mammalia; order Primates; family Hominidae; genus Homo; species Homo sapiens. The sequence goes on from NC_000016.10 coordinate 31,199,812, forward strand.
ATCACACCACTGCACACCAGCCAGAGCAACAGATGAGATCCCGTCTCAAAAAAAGTGAGAGTCTGTTCCCATGATCAGTTTGGATTTCTCAGGCTCTTGGAGCTAGAGGCAGGGAGGACAAGGTAGGAGGTGTGTTGCAGATAAGATGTAATTAGAGATAAGCCTGGTGGGGCAGTGAGGTTGGAAAGTGGTTGTTTGGTGATTCCTAAGGATAGGATTCAGGGTCTCCTTGGTATCTGCCCATTGCTTTGCAAATCCTCCCTCTTCAAGGCCAGAAAGGATTGCTTGTAAAGTGTACTTAGGAAGTAGCCCTAGATTCCTGCTTTCCCAAACAGCCTCTGGAAAGACCTCAAGTTTCCTGGAGAGAGATACTCATATTTCCCTTTGTAGGCAAAAATTGCATCAAGAAGGTGGGCCCGGTGGCTCACACCTGTAATCCCAGCACTTTGGGCGGCTGAGGTGGATGGATCACTGGAGGTCAGGTGTTTGAGACCAGCCTGGGCAACGTGGCAAAATCCCGTTTCTACTAAAAATGCGAAAATTAACCGGGTGGGGTGGCAAGCACCTGTAATTCCAGTTACTTGACTGGCTGAGCCACAAGAATTGCTTGAACCTGGGAGGCAGAGGTTGCGGTGAGCTGAGATCATGCTACTGCACTCCAGCCTGGGTGACAGAGTGAGCCTCCGTCTCAAAAAAAAAAAAAGAAAAAAGTGGCCGGGTGCATTGGCTCACGCCTGTAATTCCAGCACCCCAGCACTTTGGGAGGTGGAGGCGGGTGGACCACTTGAGGTCCGAAGTTCCAGACCAGCCTGGCTGACATGGTGAAACTTTGTTTCTACTAAAAACACAAAAACTAGCCAGGTGTGGTGGCAGGGGCCTGTAATCCCAGCTATTCGGGAGGCTGAGGCACAAGAATAGCTTGAACCTGGGAGGTGGAGGTTGCAGTGAGCTGAGGTCACGCCACTGCACTCCAGTCTGGGTGACACAGCGAGATTCCATCTCAAAAAAAAAGTTTTAAATGTTCCTTTCAAATGAATGAATAAGTAATAACCCTCCAAAAAAATCGCATCAAGAAAAGAGGCAGCTACCACACACAACTCATTTCCTGAAAATCTGCTTTGGTGGTTGGCATGTTTTTTGAGCAAAGTGCAACCTATGACCCTTTCCCCCACGGGATGGGGTGGGGCAGAGGGAGCCTTTAAGCCTGTTAAGAGCCAGCACCAGAAGGAGCCCTCGAGCAATTTGGTGACTTGTGCTCTTCTGTCCTATGTTTAGATAATGCTCTAATGTGTCTCCCCCTGCAAATTTCTCTAATTCTGCATTTTTCTCCAGTGGAAAATGTGGAAGGTAGGGGAGCTATGAAGACTAGTGTGTTTCTAAATGGCTTGGACAGAGCTGCCCACCAGTTTGCGCCCTTTGGTACATGCCTCTTTTAACCTTCGGACCTGGGTCACAGGCTGTTATCTATAATGGTAAGGTTAGACCCTTTAGGGAGCACTGGAGGAGCACCACCTGGTGAATGAGGAGGGATATTCCATGGCGATACCAGGAAGGATGGGGGAAGCATTTGGGGTGCCAGAGACCCTAGGGACATGGAGCTGGAGGCTGGGTGGCCTCTGAAGCATAGCTGAGCTCTGCACATGCCAGCAGGCTAGAAGCAGGAAAACACACAAGTTCAAGCTGGCTTTTCGTATATTGTGTATAAAAAGATCAGATTCAGGATGATTTGGTGGGATTGCCAGGGGCTGACCGGAGTGTTGCTGGGAAGGAGCCTCAGCTCCGCTCCAGGTCCTCCACCAGGTAGGACTGGGACTCCCTTAGGGCCTGGAGGAGCAAGTCCTTGCAGGTCCAGTTCCAGGCTGGTGTGAAACTGAAGAGCTTCCGCATCTTGCTTGGGTTGGTGGGCTCGGCCCGCACTGCCTGGTACTGCTCATCCGTCAGGACCTTCCCGTACAGAGCATCCAGCAGCCACTCAACGTTTGTGACCCTCGCGATAAGCGCAGCCCGGTGCTGGTCTATAAAGTGCAGGCCTGGGGGTGGGAGGAGAACATGAGCCAGCAGCCAGGGTGTGGGGCCTGTCCCTGCTGAACTTGAGTTCTTCAGGAATTCCTCTGCAAGCCTAGGGGCAGGGCTCCAGGGGGCGGCCACCAGGACCCCACATGCAGTGGGATGAGGGTAATATTGTCTCCCTTCCCCCGCAGGGTGTGGGTTGGTGGGTGGGGTGCGCAGGGTTGCCAAGCCGTGCCTGCCCTGCCCTGCCCTGCCCTGGTTGCGGGAGCACAGATGCAGGCTGTGCAGGAGTGCGGTGGGGCCGGGCTGGGTGTGGAGGCCTCACCTGGCTTGGCTGCCGACTGAGGAGGGGCCTGGATCCCAGCTGGCGCGGCTCCAGAGCCTGGAAGGATATGGGCCAAGTGATCCCCTTCCCTTCCCTTCCCGCCGTGGGGCCGGGGTCCCGTTGGTCGGTAGGCCAAGCGTGGGGAGCCTCCTTTCCGGTAGAGCAGCTTTGTTTAGGGGTAGGAGGAACAGAAAGCGGAAGAGCCCGCGGGGTAAGCGCTGGTGTGGGTGGAGGGGAAAGACGGGGTGGAGGGGAACGGGGGCGGCTCACCCTGGTGCGTGGCCGCCTGCAGCTGCCCGGCCATCTCCTGCAGGCCCATGTCGCGCAGCACGTTAGCGGTGAGCTCGGCGCCGTAGGTCTCCAGGTAGAAGCTGACCAGCTTGTCGGTGAGGTCCAAGGCGTCCATGGACAGCAGCGCGCCCCGCGGGATGCGCCCGTAGCCCTCGCGCAGCGGCACCGACAGCAGCTTCAGCTTGAACTTCTTGAGCTCCTCGGCGGTCAGGTTCTCCAGCGCATCCAGGATGGCGTCGCGCGCGCGCCCCATGGCTCCAGGATCCCCGGCCGCTGCCGCCGCTCACCCCGCTGCAGCCGCCGACCAGGAGGAAGTCGGCTCCGGGGCGGAACCTGGACTCCCCGCCTTCCTCCCACTCTGGTCTCCCGACTCCCCGCCCCGGTCCGTTGCCCTCCAGCAAAAGGCGCTTCCTTACTACACCCTTGGTCCCCTCCCACCCAGGCCTCTGGATTGGGGCCCCAGGCCGTCGGGGGACGCCAGGATCGCGCCCTCCAGCTGGCCTGCGAGGTGGGACCCGGGAGGGGGCCGCAGAGGGGCTCATGGGTGGCGCCTGCTTGTCTCTGGGCTTGCACCAGCGGGTACAGACCGGAAACCTGGGCTGGCTCTCACTGGGTTTATTGGAGCACCTAGGCTTAGAACCTCGGATTTCTAGAACCCCGAAACCTCCGCGGTTCCCCGAACCTTAGGATCCTCTCCCACATGTCGTAGAATCTTGGAATCATGACAGCTAGAAGCGTGAAGCTCCCTCAATTCCACATACTGGGGAAAAATGAGTTGTACAAAAGGGCAGAGAGTGCAAATCTCTCTGAGCTTCAGTTTCATTTTCTACGACATGGGGATAACCCTCCGGTGCTTATAAATATTCCAGCATAACATGGCCAACCCGATGGCTCCCGAAACCTTGCCAGATGCTTCCTAGGGGAGCCAGAATTTGATCCCAACACTGATTAAAAAAAAGAAAAAAGAAAGAGAGACAGCCTCCAGGAGATTAAAGACCATGAACTTGAAGCCATACAGTTCTTTGTTTGAATCCTGACTCTACTTCCCAAGGGGGATATTTGGAATCCTTTATTTTTCCCTCTCATCTGGGTTGTAACAATCACTGTTCCTTGTAGTCATACGACCCTGACATATTATACGTTTATATGCTTATTGGACATTCATCCCTCTCTAAAATGTGAGGCCTATGAGCATCGGAGACCTTAACTGTCTTATTCTTTGCTGAATTCCTAGCGTCAAGAATGTACCTGGAAATAGCTGTGTGTGGTGGAGGGCGCCTGTAATCCTAGCTACTAGGGCGGCTGAGGCATGAGAATCGCTTGAACCTCGGAGGCAGAGGCTACAGTGAGCCAAGATTGCACCACTGCACTCCAGCCTGGGTGACAGAGCTAGATTCCATCTGAAAAAAAAAAATGTATCTGGAACACATTAGGTGCTGAGTAAAGATTTGCTGAGTGAAGGAATGAATGAGGCTGTGATGCCTGCAGCATGTTGTATTCAAAAGCTTCCAGCATGGCTGGGTGCAGTGGCTCATCACGCATGTCATCTCAGTGCTTTGGGAGGCTGAGGCCGGAGGGTCACTTGAGCCCAGGAGGTTGAGGGTGCAGTGAGCTATGATTGTGCCACTGCACTCTGTGCCACTCGGCAACAGACACCTTGTCTCAAAAACAAACAAGACAACCAGGATGGGCCGGGCACGGTGACTCATGCCTGTAATCCCAGCATTTTGGGAGGGCGAGGTGGGTGATCAGGAGTTTGAGACCAGCCTGGCCAACAGAGTGAAACCCCATCTCTACTAAAAATACAAAAATTAGCCGGGCGTGGTGGCAGGTGCCTGTAATCCCAGCTACTGGGGAGGCTGAGGCAGGAGAATCGCCTGAACCCGTGAGGTGGAGGTTGCAGTGAGCTGAGATCACACCATTGCACTTCAGCCTGGGCAACAAGAGCGAAACTCCATCTCAAAACAGGAACAAAAACAAACAAACAAAAACCACGATGGGGAGCAGTGCTCTGCTACCCTGCTGAAAGCCTTTTTGTTGTTGTTGTTGTTGTTGTTTGTTTTTTCTTTTGAAGACAGGACCTCACTCTGTTGCCCAGGCTGGAGTACACCGGAGGGATTGTGGCTCACTGCAGCCTTGAACTCCTGGGCTCAAGCAATTCTCTCACCTCGGCCTCCTGAGTACCTGCGACTACAGTTGTGCCACCATGCCTGGCTAGTTTTTAAAATTTTTATAGAGAATGGGTTTCCCTATGTTGTTCAGGCTGGTCTCAAAGTCCTGGGCTCAGCAGTCCTCCTGCCTTGGCCTCCCAACATGCTAGGATTACAGGTGTGAGCCACTGTGCCTGGCCTTGCTCCCCATCCTTGTAGCATGTGGGCTGGGGTAAGCTGTGTGCCAACATCCTCACCATGGGTGGCACTTGTGGTCCAACAGCCAGTGTTCCTTGGCTCATGGATGTTTATCATGCCTTCTCACTGGCCTTTATCCTTCCAGAATCTCCATTTCCTTTTGTGCACTGTGGCCAGAAGGATACATCTTCCTAACCCACACATATGATCCTGCACCTGCCTGGCTCAGAGACCCCCTCATGACTCCCCAGTGCCCTCAAACTCAAGTCCCAAGCCCTTGGCTTGGCCTTCAAGGTCCTTGCCAACCTCTTCAGCTGCCCCTTCCAGCTTGCTGATCCGTGAACCTCCGCCCCTGTGGGAGCTGCTCTCTGCTTGGCCTCTTTTTCCTCCTGGTCTACTTGGTGAGTTCCTGCCTGTCTTCTGACGTTCATCAGGCATCACTTTTTCTTTTCTGCTTTTATTTTAGAGATGAGGTCTCACTCTGTTGCCCAAGCTGGAGTGCAGTGCGCAATCATAGCTCATTGTAGCCTCGAACTCCTGGGTTCCAGCGATCCTCCCACCTCAGCTTCCTGTGTAGCTGGAACTACGGGTGCATGCCACCATGCTCAGCTAATTTTTTAATTTTTTTGTAGAGATGGGGTCTGGCTATGTTGCCCAGGCTGATCTCCAACACCTGGGCTCAGCGATCCTCCTGCCTTGGCCTCCCAAAGCACTGGGATTACAGGTGTGAGCCAACACACCCAACCTAGGAGTCACCTCTTCTAATAAATAATAGAAATAAGCCTTTAGTCTGCAGTCCTTCGCATGCCTCCTTCCTTCCTTCCCTCCTTTCCTTCTTTTGTTTTTCCCTTTCTCTCTCTCTCTGTTTTTTTTTTTTGAGATGGAGTGTTGCTCTGTTGCCAGGCTGGAGTGCAGTGGCGTGATCTCGGCTCACTGCAACCTCCACCTCCCAGGTTCAAGCGATTCTCCTGCCTCAGCCTCCCAAGTAGCTGGGACTACAGGTGCGCACCACCACACCCAGCTAATTTTTGTATTTTTAGTAGAGATGAGGTTTCACCATGCTGGCCAGGATGGTCTTGATCTCTTGACCTTGTGATCTGCTCGCCTCTGCCTCCCAAATTAGTGGGATTACAGGCATGAGCCACCACACTCGGCCTCTCTTTTCTTTCTTTCTTTCTTTCTTTCTTTCTTTCTTTCTTTCTTTCTTTCTTTCTTTTTCTTTCTTTCCTTTCTTTCTTTCTTTCCCTTTCTTCCTTCCTTCCTTCCCTCCCTTCCTCCCTCCCTCCCCTCCTCTTTCTTTCTTCTTTCTCTCTTTCTATCTCCTCTTTATTTCCTTCCTTCCTTCCTTCTTTCCTTCCTTTCTGTCTCTTTCTTTCTCTTTCTTTCCTTCCTTCCTTCTCTCCCTTCCTCCCCCCTCCTTTCCTTCTTTCCTTCCTTCCTCCCTTCCCTTTCCTTCCTTCCTCTCTTTCTTCTTTCCTCTCTTTCTTTTCTTTTCCTTCCTTTCTTCCTTCCTTCTCTCCCTCCCTCCCTCCCCCTCTCCCTCCCTTGCTCCCTCCCTCCCTCCCTTCCTTCCTCCTTCTTCTTTCTTTCTTTCTTCTTTCCTCTCTTTCTTTCCTTTCCCTCCCTCCCTCCCTTCTTCCCTTCCTTCCTTTCTTTTCTTTTTCTTTTTCTCTCTCTTTTTTTTTTTATTTTTTTGAGATACGGTCTCAGTCTGTTGCCCAGGCTGGAGAGCAATGGCATGATTATAGCTCACTACAGCCTTGACCTCCTGGGCTTAAACGATCCTCCCATGTCAGCCTCCCAAATAGCTGATACTACAGGTGTGCACCACGATGCCCAGCCAATTTTTGTAATATATATGTTTTTAGACAGAATCTTGCTCTGTCACCCAGGCTGGAGTGCAGTGGTGCAATGTCCCCTTACTGCAACCTCTGCCTCATGGGTTCAAATGATTCTTGTGCTTCAGCTTCCTGAGTAACTGGGATGACAGGCGTGAGCCATCATGCCCAGCTAACTTTTGTATTTTTAGTAGAGATGGGGTTTTGGCATGTTGCCCAGACTGGTCTCGAACCCCTTGGCTCAAGCAATCTTGCCTGCCTTGGCCCCCCCAGGTACTGGGATTACCGGCGTGAGCCACCATGCCCAGCCCACGTGCATTATTTCTAAGCCTTATAGCAATCCCTTTGAGATAGGGAATCATGGCCCCACTTTGTAAATGAGAAGATAGGTTCAGAGAGGTGGAAGGGCTTGTCCAAGGTCACATTCCAGCACAGAGCTTGGCACAGATCCAGCCTTGATAAGCTGTTGTAGAATGACACAAGAATCCTAGAATCTAGAATCATCGAAACCTGCTCTTTTCACTTTGGTAGAATTGGAAGAGCTTTGGGTGTTTGATCCATTTAAAAATGATTGCCTGATTCAATCCCTACAACGCAGAGCAGGGGTCCCCTTTGCCATGTGGCCTCCTGCCTGCATCTCCAGAGCCCTTGTTTGGATGGGGTGGCCTTTGCTTTAGGTAAAACAAATGTGATGCCTTACAACGGAAACTTTGGGGCTGCAGGAAAATGCACCTACAGGAGTGTGTGTATGTGTGTGTATATGCGTGTGTGTGAGTGAGTGATGCCTCTCTCCTCCTCACACTCAGCTTCTTGGTAGAGAGGAGGTGAGCATGTGAGTCCCCGTGGGGTGAAGCTCTCCTTACTTCTGAGCATCACCACCCAGGTCCTTCCTTTGGGGCCCAGCTTGCCCCTGGCATCTGACCCCAGTTACGTCCTACTGATACACACATTCAGATGGAGACGGGGAAGCTCCTGGCTGTGATTGTCACCTGCCGTCACCTCAGAGCAAGTGTTAGCACTTCGGTGAGATGTCACAGGGAGGCAAGGGACAAGGGACTGGGGAAATGCAGCCGTTTCTCTCGGAGAACTGGAAGCCTCCCTCCTGCAGCAGTTTCAGGTCGGAGCTCAGTGAGAACAAGTGACATCTTTTGGCAGGTGCATGTGCTCTGTGAGCAGACTGTAAATTCTTTTGTTGCTTTTGTTTTGGAGACAGGGTCAGGCTCTGTCGCCCAGCCTGGGGTGTAATGGCACCCTCCCGGCTCACTGTAGCCTCAACTTCCCAAGCCCAAGTGATCCTCCCATTTCTGCCTCCCAAGCACCTGGGACCATAGGCATGTGCCACCACGCCTGGCTAATTTTTGTATTTTTTTGTAGAGACGGGGTTTCACCACGTTGCCCAGGCTGATCTCGAACTCTTGGGCTCAAGCAATCTGCCCGCGTCGGCCTCCCAAAGTGCCAGGATTATAGGCGTGAACCACCGTGCCCGGTCTGACCCTCCCCTCTTTCTGGATGCGAGCTCCAAGAGCTGAGTTTTGACCCCTGACAGGAAAGAGCCTCCAGTTCTCAGCCCAGGCTCACCCTTGCCCCCCTGGACAGGAGCCAGAGTGGTTGGTGGAATTAGGATGCCTGCTTCCTGGGTGTGACCCCTACCCCCACAACAAAGTAACACCTTGATTGCTGGAGCCAGATTGCTTCTCCTGGGGCAAGAAGGACCACAGACTGCCAGGACGTTGGGCAAGTCATTTAGCCCTTGTGCCCCATGGCCTCCCTGTAGGAAAGTGAAAGCGTTGTTATGAGGCTGCAATGAGTTCAGAATTGTGAAGAGCTGGTGCAGTGGCTCACACCTGCAATCCCAGCACTTTGGGAGGCTGAGGCGGGCAGATCACCTGAGGTCAGGAGTTCAAGACCTGTCTGGCCAATATGGTGAAACCCTGTCTCTACTAAAAACACAAAAATTAGCTGGGCATGGTGATGGGTGCCTGTAACCCCAGCTACTCGGGAGGCTTATGCAGGAGAATTGCTTGCCTCCGGGAGGTGGTTCAAGCGCTGTACTCCAGCCTGTGAGACAAGAGTGAGACTCTGTTTCAAAACAAAATAAAAGAGCTCGGCATGGTGGCTCACACCTGTAATCCTAGCACTTTGGGAGGCCGAGGTGGGTGGATTGCCTGAGCTTGGGATTTTGAGATCAACCTGTGCAATATGGCGAAACCCCATCTCTACTAAAACACAAAAATTAGCTGGGCGTGTTGGTGTGTGCCTGTAATCCTAGCACTTTGGGAGGCTGAGGTGGAATAATCGCTTGAACTTGGGAGGCAGAGATTTCAGTGAGCTGAGATGGCCCCACTGCACTCTAGCCTGGGTGACAGAGTGACTCCATCTCAAAAAAAAAAAAAAAAAAAACAAACAAAAAACAAAACAACTTACTTGTTGCATCTTTACAGAAATACATAGTCTTGATACTAATCCTTACATGATTCTCATTTTATAGGTGAGAAAATCAGGTTAAGCGACTTGCCCAAGGTCACACAACAAGGAAATTCTAGTCAGGACTGGAACCTGGAAGTGACAGTCACTGCTTCCTAAGCCCTTGGGTGCCAGCACACTGTCCCTGTTTATGTGGCATATTTTTTTTTCTTTCTTTTTTTTTTTTTTTTTTTGAGACTGAGTTTTGTTCTTATTGCCCAGGCTGGAGTTCAATGGCTCGATCTCAGCTCACTGCAACCTCTGCCTCCTGAGTTCAAGCAATTCTCCTGCCTCAGCCCCCCAAGTAGCTGGCGTTACAGGCACCAGCCACCATGCCCAGCTAATTTTATAATTTTAGTAGAGATGGGGTTTCACCATGTTGGTCAGGCTGGTCTTGAACTCCTGACCTCAAGTGATCCCCCCACCTCGGCCTCCCAAAGAGCTGGGATTACAGGTGTGAGCCACTGCACCCGGCCTATGTGGCATATTTTTCAGTTTAATCCTCATGACAACTCTATGGGATGGTTTTTTTTTTCTTTTCTTTCTGAGACAGGGTTCAAGCAATTCTCCTGGCTCAGCCTTTGGAGTAGCTGGGACTATGGGACTACAGGCGTGAGCCACTATACTGTTTTGTTTGTTTGTTTGTTTTTGGTAGAGACGGGGGTCTCGCTGTGTTGTCCAGGTTGGTCTTGAACTTCTGGACTCAAGTGATCCTCCCACCTTGGCCTCCCAAAGTGCTGGGATTACAGGTGTGAGCCACCACACCCAGCCAGGATGGTGTTATTTATCCACATATTGTATTTGAACGTGCTGAGGCCCAGAGAGGCAGGTGATTTTCCCAGGGGTGCCCAGCATGAGCTCATGAAGTCAGCATTCAGGACTTGCTTCTGTAGCAGCCCTGACTAGGGCTTTCTGGCCTCTCTCTGCATGTACCCAATAATTAGGAGCTCTTACCTTCCAAGGCACTCATTGCTTGAGCTGTTGGGAAACTTTCCCTTAGGACAAGCTGAAATCTATCCCTAGCTCTTTAGGTCTGAGGGACCTCATAGGGCCAGCTATACCGGTTTACCACTCCCTCCTTCCCTGCACATGGCTTATTGCCTCTTCTTGTTCTCAGTCTGCTTAAGACAATCAATGTTCCTTCCGTGGATCAGAGGCCAGTCCTGGCCCATCTGCAGGGAAGGATTGAATTGACTATCACCCACCTGTCTTAGACACCCACTCCTATAGATGACAGCAGGACCTTCAGTCCCAACTTGGCAATATTGGAAACTCTGGATGAGATTTAAGTTCTGGAAGTTGAGTTTTTGAGCATGAGCAACTTGTGGTTTCAGAGACCAGCTCCAGATATACCCTCTTTCAAACCTCTTCCTATTGCTAACACAAGGCTGCGTCTGAGCCATCAAGAATGGAAGAGAAGAAATCAGGGGCTTTTAGCCAGGCATGGTGGTGAACACCTGCGGTCCCCGTTACTCAGGAGGCTGAGGTGGGAGGATCACTTTAGCCTGGGAGGTCGAGGCTGTAGTGAGCTATGATTATAACATTGCACTCCAGCCTGGGCGACACAGTGAGACCTCAGAGACTTAAGGACAAAGAAGGTGGGGACACAAAACTCCCCTGGATTTCTCAGTGTGCCGGTAAAGAGCGCCAGCTTTGGCCGGGCGCAGTGGCTCATGCCTGTAATCCCAGCACTTTGGGAGGCCGAGGCAGGCGGATCACGAGGTCAGGAGATCGAGACCATCCTGGCCAACATGGTGAAACCCTGTCTCTACTAAAAATACAAAAAATTAGCCAGGCGTGGTGGCAGGCGCCTGTAGTCCCAGCTACTCGGGAGGCTGAGGCAGGAGAATGGCGTGAACCCAGGAGGGCGGAGCTTGCAGTGAGCCGAGATCTCATCACTGCATTCCAGCCTGGGCGACAAAGCGACACTCCGTCTCAAAAAAACAAAAAAACAAAAAAACAAAAAAAAAAAAAGGAAAAGAAAAAAAAAAGAGCACCAGCTTCCTGAGACTTTTCACATCTTAATTTCAGAATTTTATCTGCAGTCATTTATACAGGTAATTGCTCTTATCCAAAAGAATAATAGAACTTTTTTTCCTCCTAAAAGAACCAAATGTTTACAGCCTGAACGAGGGCCTAGGTTAAACAAGGTGTCAGGCAGCCTGAAGTAGCTACCTTCTTAAGCAGGCCAGCAGAAGTTCATGCTGTCACCACATAACATGCAAGAAGGAATGAGCGGTCGGGTGTGGTGGCTCATGCCTGGAATCCCAGCACTTTGGGAGGCCGAGGCGGGTGGATCACCTGAGGTCAGGAGTTCGAGACCAGCCTGGACAACATGGTGAAACCCCGTCTCTACTAAAAATACAAAAATTAGCTGGGCGTGGTGGCACGTGCCTATAATCCCAGCTACTCGGGAGGCTGAGGCAGGAGAATCGCTTGAACCTGGGAAGTGGAGGTTGCAGTAAGCCGAGATTGTACCACTGCACTCCAGCCTGGGCGACAGAGCAAGACTCCATTTCAAAAAAAAAAAAAAAAAGAAAAAGAAAAAATTAAGAACCTAAGAGACAGGCAAAGGGAGAGTCCAAAGGGGAGATTAAGAGAGTGAAACAGAAACAAAAATTCATTCTGAGAGAGACAGCAGTTGAGAGAGGAAAGAGTAAAACCAGGAAAAGGTTTGAGGGAAGCTAAGAGAAAGATGGAGAGGCCAAATGAGAGGGACTGAGTTTGCGTGTTTATTCATTCACCTAGTATCTGTAGAGCGCCTAATGTGTGTCACACACTTTAGTCTAAGCTGGAGACAAGCAGTAAACACAATTTCTATTCCGTAGGAAGAGACAGACAAGAAACCAGCAAACAAGTAGAATACATTGCATGTCAGATGCTGATAAATGTTATGGAGAAAAGGAAAGCCAGGCAGTGAGATGTTGGGGAGTTAGGAGATTTAAAATCAGGGAATTGGGAGAGGTCTTGCTGGAAAGGTAATATTGAGCAAAGTCTGAGGGAGGAAAAAGAGGATGCCATGCAGTACCTGGGTTGGAGAGTGTTCCAGGCAGAGGGGACCGTAAGTGCAAAGTCCCTGATGCCGAGTGATCAATGGGGAAAGGGGTGATAAAAGAGTCAGAGTGATTAATGGGGTCATAGCAGATAGGGCTTTGTAAGCCACAGTTAGCACTTTGGTTTTTATTCTAGATGAAATTTCTTTCTTTTCTTTTTTTTAATATTTATTGTTTTTTTTGAGACGGAGTTTTGCTCTTGTTGCCCATGCTGGAGTGCAATGGCATGATCTTGGCTCACTGCAACCTCTGCTTCCCAGGTTCAAGCAATCCTCCCATCTCAGCCTCCCGAGCAGCTGGGACTACAGGTGTTCTTCACCATGCCCAGCTATTTTTTTTGAGTTGGAGTTTCGCTCTTGTCACCCAGGCTGGAGTCCAGTGGTGCGATCTCGGTTCACTGCAACCTCTGCCTCCCGGGTTCAAGCGATTCTCCTGCCTCAGCCTCCCAAGTAGCTGGGATTACAGGTACCTGCCACCACACCCGGCTGAGTTTTGTATGTTTCATAGAGACGAAGTTTAACCATGTTGGCCAGGCTGGTCTCAAACTCCTGACCTCAAGTGATCCACCCGCCTGGGCCCCCCAAAGTGCTGGGATTACAGGTGTGAGCCATTGTGCCTGGCCCTTGCCAACTTTTTAATGGGGTTGTTTTCTGCTTGTTGAAATGTTTAGTTTCTTTATATATTCTGGATAGTAGATCTTTGTTGGATGCATAGTTTGTGAATATTTTCTTCCATTCTTTTTTTTTGAGACGGAGTCTCACTCTGTACCCCAGGCTGGAGTGCAGTGGCGCGATCTCGGCTCACTGCAAGCTCCGTCTCCCGGGTTCACACCATTCTCCTGCCTCAGCCTCCTGAGTAGCTGGGATTACAGGTGCCCGCCACTGCGCCCGGCTAATTTTTTGTATTTTTAGTAGAGACGGGGTTTCACTGTGGTCTCGATCTCCTGACCTCATGATCCACCCGCCTTGGCCTCCCAAGAGTGCTGGGATTACAGGCGTGAGCCACCGCGCCTGGCCTTTCTTCCATTCTTCAGTTGTCTGTCTGTTGATAGTTGCTTTTGCTTTTGCTGTGCAGAAGCTCTTTAGTTTAATGAGGTCCCACTTAACAATTTTTGTTTTTGTTGCTTTTGAGGACTTAGTCAAGAATTCTTTACCAAGGCTGATATCCAGAATAGTATTTCTCCTGCGGTTTCTTCTATGATTTTTATGGTTTGAAGTCTTACATTTAAATCTTTAACCCATCTTGAGTTAATTTTTTTTATATGGTGAAAGGTAGGGGTCCAGTTTCATTCTCTTGCATAAGGCTAGCCAGTTATCCCAGCGCCACTTAAATGAAATTTCAGCTGAGATTTGAAAGATACACATACAGGAACCAGGGCAGAATTGAGTTCTGGGCTGCAGGCTCTGGATTCAGTTCATTCATTTGTTCAATGTCTCTCTATCATTCATTCTCCAAGCATTTAGAGAGGCCTACTTTGTCCCAGGCTTGTCCTGGGTGTACTAGAGAGACCAAAGTGGAAAAGACCCTCCCCTCAGCTCTGGAGGAAGAAAACATTTCAGGGTGGGGTGAGGTCCTGCCCTCCTGCAGGTGGGGTAATCCTGCCAGGGTGACCTTGGTCAGCCATAAACTTGGGGAATGAGTGGGTGACAGGCTGGGGAGGGGCTGCCAGCAAGGAGGAAGGAGCTGGAGAGTGTGGAGGTGGGAGTGGGGGGAGAAAGGGCAGACCCCCTTCAATTTTCTGTCTTTTCTGTGGTGTGAAAGGCCCTGGCTCCCCGCTGGCTCTGAGCTCTGACTCCAGGCAGGCCGGGGAGAGAACAGTGGATGGGCCAAGACAGGTGGCCCTGTCATGTGATGTGTGCCCAGGGACTACTCAGCCCTCACTTTTAGAACGGTTTCCGGAAGTGATGGGAGGGATTGGGCAGGGCAGCTAAATATAGTCCTGGGGCCATGGCTCAGTCTGGGAGGGTCTTCCGCTGAGCACTGTGTGCCCATCACGCGTGGTGTCCACTGCCAGCTGCCCCTGTGAGTCCCTGTCCTTGCTTGGAGCCTGCTGCTTGTCTCAGATCCTTGGACCCAGCCCTGACCCCAGTCCAGCTAAGCTCAACCCTGACCGGTCCTCCTTCGAGACTCTTTCAGCCTAAGATCTCCAACCAGACCTGTGAGTCCCGTGGGCTGGAGAGAGGGGGAGGGGAGGTCTGGGTATCTTGGTAAAGTGAGGGAGGGGAGTCTCGGAGTGGGGGCTCTGGAGAATTTGGGTCCGGGACTAAGGTCAGAGGCTGAGGCCTGGGGCTAAGGCGAGGGCAAGGACAGTGGGCTAGAATCTGGGCTTGTGTTCAGGAACTGGGGTTGACTGATAGGGCATATTTTTGGGGTTGGAGCTGAGAATTGCAGTGGAGGCTGCTTTTGGGCCTGAGACCGAGTTCCTCTTTCCCCTTGGCCGTCAGAGTCCCATCCAGTGTAGGATGTGAGGTCTTTACAGGCTGGGGCTTCTCCCTGCGGGGCGGCGGGCCCGGCCTGGGCTAGGGCTGGGCCAGGGCTGGGCCGGGAGCGCGGCGCCGCGGGGTCCCCCTAACCTACTCCTCCTCCACCCAGGCCCGCCATGTCGGCTGCGCCCGGCCTCCTGCACCAGGAGCTGTCCTGCCCGCTGTGCCTGCAGCTGTTCGACGCGCCCGTGACAGCCGAGTGCGGCCACAGTTTCTGCCGCGCCTGCCTAGGCCGCGTGGCCGGGGAGCCGGCGGCGGATGGCACCGTTCTCTGCCCCTGCTGCCAGGCCCCCACGCGGCCGCAGGCACTCAGCACCAACCTGCAGCTGGCGCGCCTGGTGGAGGGGCTGGCCCAGGTGCCGCAGGGCCACTGCGAGGAGCACCTGGACCCGCTGAGCATCTACTGCGAGCAGGACCGCGCGCTGGTGTGCGGAGTGTGCGCCTCACTCGGCTCGCACCGCGGTCATCGCCTCCTGCCTGCCGCCGAGGCCCACGCACGCCTCAAGGTGCGGGATCCGCGCGCATCGTGGTCGGAGGGGCTGTTCGGTGGCACGGGGCCGATGGGGAGGTCGCTGCAGTGATTTGGATTCTGAGTCTCTAGAGAGGCTCACGAGCTCCTGGAGTTGCGGGGGGCGGGGGCGGGGCGAAGCAGCCAGGAAAGAGGGTCTGAGGAGCTTAAGGCGGGGCTGGCAGAGGAAAGCCGCGCAGGGATGGAGCCTGGCGATAAGGGCGCTGAGCAAACGTAGGTTTCCCGGCCTTAGTCCCTAGAGGAAACTGGAGATGGGCGGGCGGAGCCCCAGGGCGGGTCTGATGGGCCGGGCGGAGCCAGGCGGAGCAGGGACTGACCAGCCCCTGCGGCCCACGCTCGCATTCCTGCACCCGGTGGGCCGTTCGGGCTGGCTCCCTGCTCGGCGCTGGCCCACTTTGGACTGGAGGCGCGGCGTTCGGGACCGAGCCAGGCGGCCGGGGCAGGGTTGTCCCCTTGTGCTCAGCGGAGGCCCACGCACCCCTGAAGCTGCGGAACTTGGGCTGGCCTGACGGTCCCCAGGCGGGGCCTCACCAGAAGGGAGACTGTAAGGGCTAGGCAGCCGGGATCTGCACTTATGTGTGCGGGCCCAGGGTGGCACCGAGAGCCCCGTCCAGGATGTTTTTCTGGGTGGAGCTGGAAGTCCCGAAAGCCTTGGGAGCCCACACGCAGTTGTGCGCGTCCCGAAGTACCCAGCAGAGACACCCAGACAGAGGCAAATAGAGACGAACGCACACTGGCTGGTGCGTGTCATCCGTGTGGCAAAAGCACACACGTATAGCTACCGGCGGGCACGTGTGCGCGCAGCCCCAGTAAAGTCTGCCATGAATATTTATTGGGCAGTGGAAGAATAAATGACAGGTGCAGGGGCTGGAGGAGGCGGGGTCTGGAGGCACGGAGGCGTCCTTGGTCCCCGAGGTGGAGACACTGCTGTTGTCTTACGCGACTGGTGCGCGCGTGGGGCTGGCTTCACAGGCGTTGCATTACTCCTTTTGCCTTGACCCGCCTCCTAGAAGGGGTAGACCACCGTCCTTTCGTTGGTATTCGAGGCCCCCAGACTTCCCAGGGACCCAGCCTCTCAGTCCTGCCTGGCCCAGTTCAGCCCAGTCCTAGCTGGTGGTCTCCTAGCTCAGGGCAGGAGCCTCCTCCCGGGACCCCTCCCATCCCAGCACACCTGTGCTTAAGACCCCAACCTCAGGGCAACCCGCTCGGATCCCCTTCCATGCTGTGGAAGCTTTGTTCTTTTGCTCTTTGCAATAAATCTTGCTGCCGCTAAAAAAAAAACAAAAAACAAACAAACAAAAAAAACCCAACCTCGCCCAACCTTGCCCGTCTTTATCTGCGAAGAAAGCACAGAACCCATGAAACGGAACAGGGCCCAGGCAGCCCAGGAGCCTGGAAGGGGGCAGTGGGGCGAGATGCAGCCCACCAGGGTTCGCGGCAGCCCAGCCCTTCGCCCCCGGGAGGGGCTGGCCGGAGGTCTGAGGGAGGACCCCAGGAGGGACCCTGAAGGAGGGGAACAGGAAGGCTCTGGGCGGGACCTGACGCGTGGGTCCTTGGCGAGGAAGCGGGGTTGGGTCCCGAGATCACGTACCAGCTCAGAGTGGCCCTCACGCAGCCCGCTGCAGCCGTGCGGCCTCCTCCAACATGCGCATGTCGCGCAGCACGGCCACGACGAGCTCGGCTGCGTAGTCCTCGTAGTAGGAGGCGACCAGCTTGTCGGTGAGGTCCACGATATCTAGCTGCCCGAGCGCGCCCCGCGGGATGCGCTCAAAGCCCTCGCGCAGCGGCACCGTCCCCAGCTTCATCTTGAACTTCTTGAGCTCCTCCGGTGTCAGGTTCTCCAGCACCTTCAGGATGGCCTCGCGCTTCGTTCCCATGGCTCAGCCCTGCGCCTCTGAGCCTCCGAGGGCCTGGAGCCATCAGGTCCTACCTTTCCTGCAGCAGGTGGAGCTGCCGCCCCCGGGGATGTCCCGGGAAGGAGACTGATCTGGCAGCTCCTATTCAACCCTGTGGCTCCTGCTGGGAGGGGACTCTGCAAACACCGCCTAGAGGGTCCCCCAGTTTCCCCTGGGAGAGTGGGGGCGCCAAATTGTTGAGGTGGGGATTGCTGTTCCCAATCTGCAGAGGAGGAAACAGGTTGCAAGTCATTGAGGCAGGAATGGAACTGATTCCATGGTCAGGCACCTCCCAGCAAAGAAGTGGCTTTGTAGCCTGGCATGGTTGCTCATGCTTGTAGTGCCAGCTACTCGGGAGGCTGAAGCAAAAGGATTGCTTGAGCCTAGGAGTTCGAGTTGTGATTCTGCCACTGCACTCCAGCCTAGGCAATCCTGTCTCCAAAAAAAAAAAAAAAAAAAAAAAAAATGGCTTTGGCAGGAGTATTGGGAGCTCTCCTATATTTGCATATTTGCATTTGAGGTCTTGGGTAAGATCTAGACCACAGAATGGTTGGTCTGTGCAGGGGACATTTTTTTTTTTTTTTTTGAAATGCAGTCTTGCTCTGTCGCCCAGGCTAGAGTGCAGTGGCACATTCTTGGCTCACTGCAACCTCCGCCTCCCTGGTTCAAGTGATTCTCCTGCCTCAGCCTCCCGAGTAGCTGGGATTACAGGCACTTGCCACAGCGCCCAGGTAATTTTTGTATTTTTAGTAGAAATGGGGTTTCACTATCTTGGTCTGGCTGGCCTTGAACTCCTGACCTCGTGATCCACCCGCCCTGGCCTCCCAAAGTGCTGGGATTACAGGTGTGAGCCACCACGCCCGGCCAGCAGGGGACATTTTAATTAAATTTCCTGCCCCCTACTCCAAGCCCATGTGTGTACAGGCAGGCTGACTTGGTGGTCAGGCTGACAGGCTGACTGAGGCTGATGTTCTGCTTTTAAGTAAGAGAGGAAGCCCAGGAGTAGGGGTAGGTTGCCTTTCTTCTTTCATATATCCTTCATGTACCCCCTGAGGTCTGTTGTGTGCCAAGCTCTGTGCCTGCCTGTCTGGTGGGAGAGACCAAACCACACTGATGTTTGTCATCCTCGCAAAGACCTGTGCTATGGGGCTGACTGCTGAGCAGAGGGGATCAGGGAAGGCAAGGCCAGGGAGGGGTCAACAAAACAGACAAGGGGCTGGGGGTGTGGCGGTTCATGCCTGTAATCCCAGCATGCTGGGAGGCTGAGGTGGGAGGATTGCTTGAGGCCAGGAGTTGGAGACCAGTCTGGGCAATATAGTGAGATTGTCTCTACAAAAATATTTTAAAAAATCATGGCCAGGAGTGGTGGCTCATGTCTAATCCCAGCACTTCGGGAGGCTGACGTGGGTGGATCACCTGAGGTCAGAAGTTTGAGACCAGCCTGGCCAACATGGTGAAACCCTGTCTCTACTAAAAATACCAAAATTAGCCAGGCGTGGTGGTGCACCAAAATTAGTCCCAGCTACTTGGGAGGCTGAGGCAGGAGAATCGCTTGAACCCAGGAGGTGGAGGTTGCAGTGAGCTGAGATTGTGCCACTGCACTGCATCCTGGGTGACAGAGCGAGACTCCAACTCAAAAAAAAAAAAATCAGAAAATTTGCTGGGCACGGTGGTGTGTGCCTATAGTTCCAGCTACTTGGGAGACTGAAGTGAGAGGGTCAATTAAGCCTGGGAAGTTGAAGCTGTAGTTAACTGTGATCATGCCACTGCTCCAGCCAGGGCAACAGTGTGAGACCCTGTCTCAAAACAAAACACCAAAATAAATAAATAAAAAACCGCACCAAAATAGACAAGGGGCAGGGGAAGCATTCGGACCTCAGGAGTAGCACTGGCTGGGGCTGGGAGGCATGTAAGTGGGTTTGGGGATGGGAAGATGGCTGGAGGAGGAGCTGGCATTGAGGTTGAGCCACAGAGGGCAGGTTTAGGATGGGAGGTGTGGGTTTTGGGTGGGTGGCATCCCCATCACTTCTCCATGCCTCGACCCCCAGACACAGCTGCCACAGCAGAAACTGCAGCTGCAGGAGGCATGCATGCGCAAGGAGAAGAGTGTGGCTGTGCTGGAGCATCAGCTGGTGGAGGTGGAGGTGAGGACTTCACAGGGCCATGTCTGAGGGCTGGGGGCCAGGCTAGGGGTCTCCAGCCAAGAGTCTTTATCCCTTCAATCACTGCCCCATCCCTGCAGGAGACAGTGCGTCAGTTCCGGGGGGCCGTGGGGGAGCAGCTGGGCAAGATGCGGGTGTTCCTGGCTGCACTGGAGGGCTCCTTGGACCGCGAGGCAGAGCGTGTACGGGGTGAGGCAGGGGTCGCCTTGCGCCGGGAGCTGGGGAGCCTGAACTCTTACCTGGAGCAGCTGCGGCAGATGGAGAAGGTCCTGGAGGAGGTGGCGGACAAGCCGCAGACTGAGTTCCTCATGGTGAGCACTGGGTGACCCCCCTCCCTGCCTCAGCCCCCTGCTCAGGGCCCAGAGACCTCATCCCATTGTCAGATAGGCCCAGAGAGGGGCAGGGATAAGCCAGCAGCACACAGCCGGGAGGGGCAGGCCTCAGGACTGCTATATGGTTGTTTAGGTTGAGCACTGCATAAGGACATTGTATTAAGTGAGCACTATTCATATCATAGACATTGTAGGTTTATATATTTATTAGGACACTCTTATTTTTATTTTTTATTTTTTGAGATGGAGTCTTACTCTGTCACCCAGGCTGGAGTGCAGTGGCAGGATCTTGGCTCACTGCAAGCTCCGCCTCCTGGGTTCATGCTATTCTCCTGCCTCAGCCTCCCGAGTAGCTGGGACTACAGGCACCCGCCACCACGCCTGGCTAATTTTTTCTATTTTTCAGTAGAGACAGGGTTTCACCGTGTTAGCCAGGATGGTCTTGATCTCCTGACCTTGTGATCCACCTGCCTTAGCCTCCCAAAGTGCTGGGATTACAGGCGTGAGCCACCGCGCCTGGTCTTTTTTTTAAAGGCAGGGTCTCACTCTGTCACCCAGGCTGGAGTGCAGTGGCATGATCATAGCTCACTGCAGCCTTGTAGGCTCAAGCAATCCTCCAATCTCAGCCTCCCATAGCTGGGACTACAGGCGCTTACCTGGCTAGTTTTTGTATTTTTAGTAGAGATGGGGGTCTCATTATGTTGCCCAGACTGGTCTCAAATGCCTGGGCTCAAACAATCTGCCTGCCTTGGCCTCCCAAAGTGCTGGGATTACAGGCATGAGTCACCGCACCCGGCCTATTAGGACAGTTTTCTAACAGGTGGAATCAGAGTTTCTTGGAGGCAAAGATACCTTTTTGTAATCCACATAAAAGTGAAGGGGTAGGGGTGGCCTTGAGTTCTAGGTCTCTTTTGCGTTTTTTTTTTTTTTTTTTTTTTTTTTTTTTGAGACAGGGCTTTGCTCTGTTGCCCAGGCTGGAGTGCAGTGGCATGACTTCGGCTCACTGAAACCTCCTTCTCCCGGGTTCAAGTGATTTTCGTGGCTCAGCCTCCCAAGTAGCTGGGATTACAGGTGCCTGCCACCATGCCCAGCTATTTTTTTTGTATTTTTAGTAGAGATGGGGTTTCACCATGTTGGCCAGGCTGGTCTCGAACTCCTGGCCTCAAGCAATCCACACACCTTGGCCTCCCAAAGTGTTGAGATTACAGGCATGAGCCACCTCGTCTGGCCTCTTTTAGCTTTTCTGATTCTTTCTGACGTTGCACTCAGCATTCCTAGTTGTCTACCCCATCCTCAAAAGTTTCCAGTGTCCCCACCATCGGCTTCACCACCATTCTCTTTTTCTCTCTCTCCAGAAATACTGCC
Organism: Homo sapiens; assembly: GCF_000001405.40. Classification (NCBI taxonomy): domain Eukaryota; kingdom Metazoa; phylum Chordata; class Mammalia; order Primates; family Hominidae; genus Homo; species Homo sapiens. The sequence continues at coordinate 31,220,906 of NC_000016.10, forward strand.
TGGTGACCAGCAGGTGAGAGCAACCTGGCCCTGTCCCTTTGCCCGACTTGTCCCAGTCTTCTAGGGACACCAGCCGGCTCACTCTCCACTCACTATTGTGCCTGCACACCCGCAATTCAGTCTGCTGCCCCACCCCTGCCTGAACACAAGGTTGTAGACAGAAATGATCTGGAAGGATCCTTTCACTCAGGGACCTCCTAGATTGGTGCCGTGAGACACATGTGGGTGGGGACACAGGCGTCACTGTGTGCTCAGTGTGGCCGTTGAGGGAAAGAGGTGGCCAGGGATGGAGTGAATGTTTGAGTTGGGGCCTGGAGGGATGAACAGGAGCTGGCTAGGCAAAGCGTTGGGAGAAGAAGGGCATTGTGAGGAGAAAGGCATTGCGGGGAGAAGGGCATTGCTGAGAGAAGAAGGGTATTGCTGGGAGAAGAACATTGCTGGGAAAAGAAGGGCATTGCTGGGAGAAGGGCATTATGGGGAGAAGGGCATTGCGGGGAGAAGGGCACTGCTGGGAGAAGGGCATTGCTGGGAGAAGGGCATTTCTGGGAGAAGAAGGACATTGCTGGGAGAAGAAGGGCATTGCTGGGAGAAGGGCATTATGGGGAGAAGGGCATTGCAGGGAGAAGGGCATTGTGGGGAGAAGGGCATTGTGGGGAGAAGGGCACTGCGGGGAGAAGGGCATTGCTGGGGAGAAGGGCATTGGGAGAAGGGCATTGCTGGGAGAAGGGCATTGCTGGGAGAAGAAGGGCATTGCTAGGAGAAGGGCATTGCTGGGAGAAGAAGGGCATTGTGGGGAGAAGGGCATTGCGGGGAGAAAGGCATTGCTGGGAGAAGAAGCGCACTGTGGGGAGAAGGGCATTGCTGGGAGAAGGGCATTGCTGGGAGAAGGGCATTGCGGGGAGAAGGGTATTGCTGGGAGAAGAAGGGCATTGCAGAGAGAAGGGCATTGTGGGGAGAAGGGCATTGCAGGGAAAAGGGCGTTGCTGGGAGAAGGGTGTTGCTGGCAGAAGGGTGTTGCTGGGAGAAGGGCATTGCTGGGAGAAGGGTGTTGCTGGGAGAATGGCATTGCTGGGAGAGGGGACAGCCAGCGAGAGGGCTGGCGAGTGGGAGGGAAGAGGAAGCTGCGGTAGTAGGTGTGTGCACACTGGCGAAGCTGAGAGGCTTGGACCTTATCCCAACAGAAGGATTAAAAGAAAATGTAGTTGGGCCGGGTGCAGTGGCTCACGCCTGTCATCCAAGCACTTTGGGAGGCTGAGGCGGGCAGATCACCTGAGGTCAGCAGTTCGAGACTAGCCTGGCCAACATGGCAAAACCTCACCTCTACTAAAAACACAAAAATTAGCCAGGCATGGTGGTAGGCGCCTATAATCCCAGCTACTTGGTTGGCTGAGGCAGGAGAATTGCTTGAACTGGGGAGGCAGAGGCTGCAGTGAGCCAAGATCATGCCACTACACCCCAGCCTGGGTGATAGAGCCAGACTCAATCTCAAAAAAAAAAAAAAAAGACCAAAACCAAATAAACAGTGGTAAAATAATACATGTAACATAAAATTGACAATTTTCAGCTTCTTCTTCTTCTTTTTTTTTTTTTTTTAGACAGGATCTTGCTATGTTGCCCAGACTGGACTCAAATTTCTGAGCTCCAGTGAGCCTCCTGAGTCAGCCTCCCTGAGCAGCTGGGACTACACTCTACCTCGCTCATTTTAAGCATTTTTAAGTGTGCATTTAAATTCAGTGGTGCTAAGTACATTCACATTGTACAACCATCACCAGTGTTTATCTCCAGAATTTTCTCATCTTCCCAAACCAAAACTCCAAAGGAAGAGTTTTAAGCAGGGGTGCGATGTGGGGAGATCCTGGAATCCCCCCAGCCCTTGTCCTCCCCCCTCACACATGCCTCCCCTTCCCCTCCCCACCCCCAGGCTGCAGAAGATCCTGGCAGAGTCTCCCCCACCCGCCCGTCTGGACATCCAGCTGCCAATTATCTCAGATGACTTCAAATTCCAGGTGTGGAGGAAGATGTTCCGGGCTCTGATGCCAGGTACCGGGAGGGACTGGCTCAGGTTTGTGTGTGACCAGGCAGTTGATGGGAGGCCCTAGCCACCCTGGAGAGGCCTCCCAGTCCCAACTGGGGAGGCCACTGAAGGAGGTACCCATTGCCCCTTTGCCTCTGGACTGCCGCTGCAGTCCTCTAACCTGTGTTGGGAGGAGGGCCTTTGAGAGCATGGGGTTTGCAGTGGGTGACTGACATGAAAATGCTGCTGCTGTTGGTGGCACGGGACGCTGGGGCCTAGGTCTGAGCCACTGACTTGCTGTGTGATCCTTGGTCAGTCTCTGCCCCTCTCTGGACGGTGGAGATGATAAATCCTGCCAATTGGGGACTGAGGCTCTGCAGAGCTCCTGGAACCCTGGGGACTGGCCTGGGTCAGAGAGTGACTCTGGCGGCCTGTGGCTGGGGAGGCCCAAGGGCTCAGTTCCTCCCCCCAAGAGCTGGATGATGCAGGTTACAGAGCTCTGGGACATACACATTGCTGGGGCAGCCCTTCCTGCCTCAGCGCAGGTGGGAATGCAGACAGCCTCATTTTATTCAAGATAAAACTAAGGCTCAGAGACTGGGTCTAGGCTGATGTGAAGATCAGGCTCCTTGACCTTGGGCCTTGGGCCTTGTCTGGGCCTCAGATGGTGAGTCCCATGCCTTGTATCAATTTAGTCCTGTTGGCCAGGCTCGGTGGCTCACGCTTGTAATCCCAGAACTTTGGGAGGCCGAGGTGGGAGGATCACTTGAGCCCAGGAGTTGGAGACCAGCCTGGGCAACATAGTGAGAACACCTGTCTCTACAAAAACTTAAAAAAATTAGCCAGGTGTGGTGGCACGTGGCTGTAGTCCCAGCTACTTGGGAGATGGGAGATGGGAGGATTGCTTGAGCCTGGGAGTTGGAAGTTGCAGTGAGCCTAGGTTGCACCTGCGCTCCAGCCTGGGCGACAGAGTGAGACCCCGCCTCAAAAAAACAAAAAACAAAAACAAAAAACAACAACAATAACAACAACAAAAACAAAAAGAAAATGCAGGCCTGCCTGCAACCCTGGAGGGAAGCAATCATGGCCTCATCTCACAGCTGGGCAAACTGAAGTTGAGCCAGGTGTGATCTTGTGGCCCAAGCCCAGTGAGCAGAGATGCCAAGAGGATTAGGGGAGAGAAAGCTGGCCTGCAATTGGTTGGGAGAAGACCCCAGCGAGGCAGAAACCTAGGGTTTTCTGACCGTGTTCTCTCTGGCAGCGCTGGAGGAGCTGACCTTTGACCCGAGCTCTGCGCACCCGAGCCTGGTGGTGTCTTCCTCTGGCCGCCGCGTGGAGTGCTCGGAGCAGAAGGCGCCGCCGGCCGGGGAGGACCCGCGCCAGTTCGACAAGGCGGTGGCGGTGGTGGCGCACCAGCAGCTCTCCGAGGGCGAGCACTACTGGGAGGTGGATGTTGGCGACAAGCCGCGCTGGGCGCTGGGCGTGATCGCGGCCGAGGCCCCCCGCCGCGGGCGCCTGCACGCGGTGCCCTCGCAGGGCCTGTGGCTGCTGGGGCTGCGCGAGGGCAAGATCCTGGAGGCACACGTGGAGGCCAAGGAGCCGCGCGCTCTGCGCAGCCCCGAGAGGCGGCCCACGCGCATTGGCCTTTACCTGAGCTTCGGCGACGGCGTCCTCTCCTTCTACGATGCCAGCGACGCCGACGCGCTCGTGCCGCTTTTTGCCTTCCACGAGCGCCTGCCCAGGCCCGTGTACCCCTTCTTCGACGTGTGCTGGCACGACAAGGGCAAGAATGCCCAGCCGCTGCTGCTCGTGGGTCCCGAAGGCGCCGAGGCCTGAGCCGCCGGACGGGTAGTGGAGGGGCGCGGGGGCCTGGGTTGAAGCTTAGGTCTCCTTGGTCGGGTCTGACGGGAGAAGGGTGGGGAGCGGGTTGCCAGGGCCCAGGGGGCTGGGAACTGGGGGATCTCCCAGAATACTGACAAGCGTGGGGTAGGACTGGCTTGGTGGCTCATGCCTGTAATCCCAGCACTTTGGGAGACGGAGGCGGGTGGATCACCTGAGGTCAGGAGTTCAAGACCAGCCTGGCCAACATGGTGAAACTCCTCTCTACTGAAAATACAAAAATGAGCTGGGCGCGGTGGCATACGCCTGTAATCCCAGCTAGTTGGGAGGCTGAGGCAGGATAATTGCTTGAACCCAGGAGGTGGAGGTTGCAGTGAGCAGACATTGCGGCACTGCACTCTAGCCTGGGTGACAAGAGTGAGACTCTGTCTCAAAAAAAAAAAAAAGTGTGGGGGTTGGCATGGCCTGGGGACTGCTGGTGAGGGGTTGGAGTGACGCTGGGGACAAGACCCAGTGGGGTAGGGAGATCTGGAGTCAGGTCAGTGGGGAAATCAGAATTTGGGAACCAGGAGGCCTGAGAATTCCAGGAAGAAACTAAGGTTGAGCGAGGGAGGGACAGGGCCAGGTTGGGGGATTGATGGGAGGAGCTTGAGAACCTGTAGATAAGGGGCTCCTTTTGCCTCACACTCCCCTCCTCCTTAGGCCTTGGGTCCCCCGCTCCAGATTCACCTTACCCAAAAGCCTTCTCCTTAGTTCTCCACCTTAGGCATGCATTAAAATCACCTTTTTAAAGCCCTTAGCCATGACTTGTTAAAGCATAGGGTGCTAAGTTTCTGATTTAGTAGGTTGGACAGGTCAAAAATGCTCATTTCTTTTTTTTATTTCTTTTTTTTTTTTTTTTTTTTTTTTTTGAGACAGAGTCTTGCTCTGTCACTCAAGGCTAGAGTGCAGTGGTGCCATCTCGGCTCACTGCAACCTCTGCCTCCAGGGTTCAAGCAATTCTCATGCCTCAGCCTCCCAAGTAGCTGGGACTACAGACGCCCGCCACCACACCTGGCTATTTATTTTTATTTTTAGTAGGGGTTTCACTATGTTGGCCAAGCTGGTCTCGAACTCCTGACCTCAAGTGATTCACCCGCCTTGGCCTCCCATAGTGCTGGGATTACAGACATGAGCCACTGCACCTGGCTGAAAATGCTCATTTTTTTTTTTTTAATTTAGTTTTTGTAGAAATGGTGTCTCGTTACATTGCCCAGGCTGATCTTGAACTCTTGGCCTCAGGTGATCCTCCTGCCTTGGCCTTCCAAGTGCTGGGATTACAGGTGTGAGCCACCACGCCCTGCCAAAAATGTGCATTTCTAGCAGGTTCCCAGGTGACGCTGCTGGCCACAGGGGCTGACGCTGCGGGAAGCCCTGACCTAGTGCACAACCCATTGGGCTCTTCACTGTCAGTGTAGAGGCATAGGTCCAAAATATGTTTCCCCAGTCAAAAACATGTAAGGTTTGCACCAGGAGTGGAAGGAAACAAACAAACATAAACCAAAGCAAAGACACTTAAGGGCTGGGTACTCATGCCTGTAAACCCAACACTTTGGGAGTTTGAGGCAGGAGGCTCATTTGAGGCCAGGAGTTTGAGACCAGCCTGGGGAACATAGTGAGACCCTGTTGCAACAAAAACCAGAAAAACAACAAAAAGAAGACATTGGAAAATGGCTGGAGCTGATTCTAGGTGAATAAACAACCCTCGACTTAACTTGCTTTGCCTCTGGGATATGTTTATCGAGCGTCTTGAACGTTGAGGAAGCCAGCCAAGAGAAAGAGCCTGATGCCAAGGTCACACTGGTCCCTGCTGCTCATGGGGAAGAGAAGGCCCCCAACTAGATGTCCCAGAACTGGCCGCTCCCCACTTACTTGCTGGTTCACACCTTCTTTGGTTTTAGCGCACAGGGCATTTCTTGGGCTCTGGAGTAACCACTGAGGCCAGAGTGAGAGTCCCTCTTCCCTGGAGGGAGAGGCCTTTGGGGATCCAGACAGGCTTCTCTCCTGAGGGAAGACGCTGGCCTGGGGTCACTCATTTTCACGGGGAGGGTGTGCTGGCGGGATGGGTGGAAGGGCCTGGGGCCCCGGCAGCCCATTGCGGAGGTTTTCTCGGGAGATGGTGGGTATGGGACTAAGGGTGAAAGGGAAGTTGTGAGTTGGGTAAGAAAGGCCTGAGGATCTGGCAGGGGAAGGCGGCACACCTGGGTGTGTCTCCCAGAGGAAGGCCTGTGGAGCCCTGGCTTCAGGAGACAGAAGAGAGGATTAACGGTAGAAGCTCTTTCATGTTAGAAAATAAAACAATATAGCTAAGGGATTATTTGGTTGTAAAATCCAACACCATTAATAAAACTGTTATATTCTGACTCCTTCCTCATTAAATCCACATGAAAAGACATGTGACCTACTGCAAGGCCTCCTAATTGCCCTCCAGCCTTTAATCCTGACTTGGTAATGTTTCCAAAAATGCAAATGTGGTCACGGGACTCAGTTGCTCAAAACTTTCAACAACTCCCTCTTGCCTACAGGATAAAGCCCCCAGTCTTTGGCTTAGCATTTGAGCTGTTCTGCCATTTTTTTTGTTGGTTGGTTTGTTTGTTTTGTTTGAGACAGAGTCTCGCTCTGTCGCCCAGGCTGGAGTGCAGTGGTGTGATCACCGTAACCTCCGCCTCCTAGGTTCAAGGGATTCTCCTGCCTCAGCCTCCCGAGTAGCTGGGATTACAGGTGCCCGCCAGGCTGGTCTCGAACTCCTGACCTCAGGTGATCCACCCATTTTGGCCTCCCAAAGTGCTGGGATTACAGGCTGGCCTTCCAGCTTCATCTGTTTTTAGTTAAAAAACAATTTTTTTTTTTGAGACAAGGTCTTGCTCTGTCGCACAGGCTGGAGTGCAATGGTGTGATTGTGGCTCACTGCAGCCTTGACCTCCTGGGCTCACATGATCCTCCCACTCCAGCCTCCTGAGTAGATAGGATGGCAGGCACCCATCACCATGCCTGACTATTTTTTATTTTTTGTATTTTGGTAGAGATGAGGTCTCACTATGTTGCTCATGCTGGTCTCGAGCTCCTGGCCTCAAGCGATCCTCCCATCTTGGCTTCCCAAAGTGTTGGGATTACAGGTGTGAGCCACTGAGCCCAGCCCAGCTTCATCTTTTATTTTATTATTATTTTTTGAGATGGAGTCTCACCGTGTCACCCAGGTTAGAGTGCAGTGGTGTGATCTTGGCTCACTGCAACCTCTGCCTCCCAGGTTCAAGTGATCCTCCTGCCTCAGCCTCCCGAGTAGCTGGGACTATAGGCAGGTGACACTACGCCTAGCTGATTTTTGTATTTCTAGTGGGGACAGGGGCTTCACTATGTTGGCCAGCCTGGTCTCGAACTCCTGACCTCAGGGGATCCCCCAACTCGGCCTCCCAAAGTACTAGGATTACAGGCTTGAACCGCCGCGCCCAGCCCCAGCTTCATCTTAAAAAGAAAAGTTCTCTGTTTTAATATCTAACAGGGCAAATATTGAAAGATAAAACCACATAACAAAAGCTCTTTGGGATCCTAGTGTTGGGGAAAGGCTGCTGTCCATTGACTGTCACTGAACTCTCTGTCATTGCTCAGGCTAAGGACTGGCCACAGTGAGGGAGGGACCTGTGGTCTCCTGTGTTGCTCCTCACCCTGTAGACTGTGGGCTGTGGGCTGTGTCCAGCCTCACCTTGGATCACCGCCCTGTGCATGTCTACACTCTGGCTATGCTGAACTGAACTGCTGGGGTCTCTGCACCTCCTTTTTTTTTTTTTTTTTTTTGAGATGCAGTCTTGCTCTGTCGCCCAGGCTGGAGTGCAATGGTGCTATCTCAGCTCACTGCAACCTCTGCCTCCCAGGTTCAAGTGATTCTCCTGCCTCAGCCTCCGCAGTAGCTAGGATTACAGGCACCCACCACCACGCCAGGTTAGTTTTTTCATTTTTATTTGTATTTTTAGTAGAGGCGGGGTTTTGCCATGTTGGCCAGGCTGATCTCGAACTCCTGACCTCAAATGATCTGCCCGCCTCAGCCTCCCAAAGTGCTGGGATTACAGGCATGAGCTGTCGGGCCTGGCCCCTGCACTTCTTTTTTAGGAATGTCAGTTCCCTCCCACTTATCCTTCATGGCTCTCCCAAAACACCACCATTTCCTGTCCTCTCTTGACCTTCTAGGCCTCCAGGAAGAATCAGTTACTCTCCTCTCTGGATCGCCCAGCAGCTCCTCCACCATGTGTAGCCCACGGCATTGAATTGTCTACACACAGGCCATGGTGTCTGGAGGGATGGTGGTATCTGAGACCCAAAGCCTCCTTCTGAGGAAATGGGTACTCTGAGAAGCAGATGCCAAGATAGGATTAAATGGGCAGAGATTTTAGGAGGGAAGATGCCCATGTGAGGGAAGATGGGGAGGGCCATCAGACCGTGTCGCAAGTCTGCTGTTCGTGTGGGAGGGAGGGAGGGAAGGCTCTTGTGGCGTCTCCGGCAGCCAGAGCCACCGTCCAAACACTCCTGTGCCTTCCGGGACCCGGGCTGGCTTTAGTCTCCCTGCAGAGCTGAGTAATGTATGCTGCCTTTTGTTGGAATTATATCAGGAAACTTTCTTTCGAAGCTGCCACAGGTTCTTTCTGCGTATAGTTGCCCCAGCTTGAGCTGCATGCATTGAAGGAAATGGCCCATGGCTGACTGAGTGAGGTGGGCTTTGTGGGAAAAGCTGCGTAATCCAGGTGGTCCTTGTCGGGTGGGGCTGCCTGACCCAGGCAGGGTCTCCCTGGGGATGTAGGAAGGTGAAATGTGAACAGAGAAAGGAGTTCCTCCAGCACATGTGTTCTAAAGCACCAGCGTCCCCTCCGTGAGTCCCTCCTCTCCACGGGAACGCTGGAAACCCCCAGAAACTGGCTGCCAAGACATTTCCTGTGTTTCCTGACATCTTTAGGTAGCATAATAGCAAACTTGAACCTGCCAAGGCCATGATAAAACTGCAAGCAAGAACATTTATCGTGGCCAGGTGCAGTGGCTCACGCCTGTAATCCCAGCACTTTTGGAGGTTGAGGCGGGTGAATCACCTGAGGTCAGGAGTTCGAGACCAGTCTGGTCAACATGGTGAAACCCCATCTTTACTAAAAATACAAAAATTAGCCAGGCATGGTGGTGCATGCCTGCAATCCCAGCTACTCAGGAGGCTGAGGCAGGAGAATCACTTGAACCTGGGAGGCAGAGGTTCCGATGAGCTGAGATCGGGCCACTGCATTCCAGTCTGGGTGAGAGAGTTAAAACAGGAATTAAAAGAAATTAAAGAATGTGTAAGCAAAAACTCAGTTGTATGTAAGAAAACCCCATTCACCCTGAGGAAGAGAAAGAGCTAAAGTCCTTTAAAAATTAACTGCCTGTTTTTCTGTGGATAGTGAGCCTTATCTCTCTCCCTTTCCCAGGCATTGTGAAGACCCTGTTTCTCTAGCTGTGCAGCTGCAAGGTCACTAGGCAGATAAACTCAAGTCATAAAACATGTTTTTCCTTGAAAAGTAAAAAATGATGTAATGCATGTCTCAACTGAATAACTGTCTTTGTTTCTTGCTTCTGTAATATGCTTCCCCCTGCACAGATCTCCCCCTGCCCCACAAAATGCTTAAAAGGTAACCGGAGCCGGGCGTGGTGGCTCACGCCTGTAATCCCAGCACTTTGGGAGGCTGAGGCAGGCGGATCATGAGGTCAGGAGATCGAGACCGTCCTGGTTAACATGTTGAAACCCCGTCTCTACTAAAAATACAAAAAATTAGCCGGGCGTGGTGGCAGGCACCTGTAGTCCCAGCTACTTGGGAGGCTGAGGCAGGAGAATGGCCTGAACCCGGGAGGCGGAGCTTGCAGTGAGCCGAGATGGCGCCACTACACTCCAGCCTGGGTGACAGAGCGAGACTCCGCCTCAAAAAAAAAAAAAAAAAAAGGTAACCGGACTCTTTGTTCAGGGCTCAGTCTTTTTGGATGTTAATCTGACCGGGCCAGTGCACCTAACTAAATAATAAATAATAAGTATCCTCCTCAACCTCTTGGTCTCTCTGATTCCTAAATTATCCCACTGCAGAATGAGACTCTGTCTCAAAGGAAAAAAAAGAAAATTTATTGAGACCTTATTATGCGTCAATAGCTCTCTATTCAGAATCTCACTGATCTTCGCAACCCTGGATCTCACAACAACGAGAGCCCCACTAGGTTGCCTCTTTTGTTTTGTTTTGTTTTTTTTTTGAGATGGAGTCTCACTGTCTCCCAGGCTGGAGTGCAGTGGCGTGATCTCGGCTCACTGCAACCTCCGCCCTCTGGGTTCACGCCATTCTCCTGCCTCAGCCTCCCAAGTAGCTGGGACTACAGGCGCCCGCCACCATGCCTGGTTAATTTTTTTGTATTTTTAGTAGAGACGGGGTTTCACCATGTTTGCCAGGATGGTCTCCATCTCCTGACCTCGTGATCCGCCCGCCTCGGCCTCCCAAAGTGCTGGGATTACAGGCGTGAGCCACCGCGTCCGGCTTAGGTTGCCTCTTATACTGGGTTCACGCATCCCCTGGGTGCATGACAGTCTGACCACAAAGGACCCCGGTCCACAGAAGCATGATGCATCTTGGAGTATCGACTTTATGCCAATATTCTTCTTCTTGATACTGGTGGTGGTGAGAAAGTTGGGTAATTTAACCAAAAGTAAAAATCAAGATGTCACGTTCCCATTAAAACAAACATAGAGTACAGAATCTGTGTGAATTTTCAAGCTAAAACAAGAGATGTCGCTCTCCCTCTCCCTCTCCCTCTCCCTCTCCCCATGGTCTCCCTCTCCCTCTCTTTCCACGGTCTCCCTCTGATGCCGAGCGGAAGCTGGACGGTACTGCTGCCATCTCGGTTCACTGCAACCTCCCTGGCCTGATTCTCCTGCCTCAGCCTGCCGAGTGCCTGCGATTGCAGGCGCGCGCCGCCTCGCCTGACTGGTTTTCGTAGTTTTTTGGTGGAGACGGGGTTTCGCTGTGTTGGCCGGGCTGGTCTCCAGCTCCTAACCGCGAGTGATCCGCCAGCCTCGGCCTCCCGAGGTGCCGGGATTGCAGACGGAGTCTCGTTCACTCAGTGCTCAATGGTGCCCAGGCTGGAGTGCAGTGGCGTGATCTCGGCTCGCTACAACCTCCACCTCCCAGCCGCCTGCCTTGGCCTCCCAAAGTGCCAAGATTGCAGCCTCTGCCCGGCCGCCACCCCGTCTGGGAAGTGAGGAGCGTCTCCGCCTGGCCGCCCATCGTCTGGGATGTGAGGAGCCCCTCTGCCTGGCTGCCCAGTCTGGAAAGTGAGGAGCGTCTCTGCCCGGCCGCCATCCCATCTAGGAAGTGAGGAGCGCCTCTGCCCGGCCGCCCATCGTCTGAGATGTGGGGAGCACCTCTGCCCCGCCGCCCCGTCTGGGATGTGAGGAGCATCTCTGCCCGGCCGCCCCGTCTGAGAAGTGAGGAGACCCTCTGCCTGGCAACCGCCCCGTCTGAGAAGTGAGGAGCCCCTCCGCCCAGCAGCCATCCCGTCTGGGAAGTGAGGAGCGTCTCCGCCCGGCAGCCACCTCGTCCGGGAGGGAGGTGGGGGGGTCAGCCCCCCGCCTGGCCAGCCGCCCCGTCCGGGAGGGAGTTGGGGGGGTCAGCCCCCCATCCGGCCAGCCGCCCCGTCCGGGAGGGAGGTGGGGGGGTCAGCCCCCCGCCCGGCCAGCCGCCCCGTCCGGGAGGTGAGGGGCGCCTCTGCCCGGCCGCCCCTACTGGGAAGTGAGGAGCCCCTCTGCCCCGCCAGCCGCCCCGTCCGGGAGGGAGGTGGGGGGGTCAGCCCCCCCGCCCGGCCAGCTGCCCCGTCCGGGAGGGAGGTGGGGGGTCAGCCCCCCGCCCGGCCAGCCGCCCCGTCCGGGAGGTGAGGGGCGCCTCTGCCCGGCCGCCCCTACTGGGAAGTGAGGAGCCCCTCTGCCCCGCCAGCCGCCCCGTCCGGGAGGGAGGTGGGAGGGTCAGCCCCCCGCCTGGCCAGCCGCCCCGTCCGGGAGGTGAGGGGCGCCTCTGCCCGGCCGCCCCTACTGGGAAGTGAGGAGCCCCTCTGCCCGGCCACCACTCCGTCTGGGAGGTGTACCCAATAGCTCATTGAGAACGGGCCATGATGACAGTGGCGGTTTTGTGGAATAGAAAGGGGGGAAAAGTGGGGAAAAGATTGAGAAATCGGATGGTTGCCGTGTCTGTGTAGAAAGAGGTAGACATGGGAGACTTTTCATTTTGTTCTGTACTAAGAAAAATTCTTCTGCCTTGGGAAAAAAAAAAAAAAAAAAAAAGAGATGTCCACAAAATTTTGCATTGGTGCTGGCCATTTGTATAGGCCTTCAGACTCTCAAAAATGTGAGTTCTTAAAATTATTATTATTTATTTTTGAGACAGGGTTTCACTCCATCACCCAGGCTAGAGTACAGTGGTGTGATTTCTGCAGCCTCGACCTCCCAGTTTCAGGTGATCCTCCCACCTCATCCTCCCAAGTAGCTGGAATTACAGGCACACGCCACCATGACTGGCTAATTTTTTTAAGTTTAGTAGAGATGGGATTTCACCGTGTTGCCCAGTCTGGTCTCAAATGCCTGGGCGCAAGTCATTCACCTGCCTCAGCCTCCCAAAGTGTTGGGATTACAGGTGTGAGCCACTCCGCCTGGCCTAAAAATACTTTATTGCTAAAAATGCTAAGGATCATCTGAGCCTTCAGTGAGTCATAGTCTTTTTGCTGGTGGAGGGTCTTGCCTCAATGTCGATGGCTACTGACTGATAAGGATGGTGACTGCTGAAGGTGGGGGTGGCGGTGGCAATTTCTTAAAAGAATTTCTTAGGCCAGGTGCTGTGGTTCACGCCTGTAATCCCAGCACTCTGGGAGGCCGAGGTATGTGGATCACCTGAGGTCAGGAGTTCAAGACCAGCCTGGCCAACATGGCAAAACCCCATGTCTACTAAAAATACAAAAGCTAGCTGGGCGTTGTGGTGGGCATCTGTAATCCCAGCTACTCGGGAGGCTGAGGCAGGAGAATCACTTGAATCCAGGAGGCGGAGGTTGCAGTGAGCTGAGATCATGCCATTACACTCCAGCCTGGGTGACAAAGTGAGACTCTATCTCAAAAAAAAAAGAATTTCTTAAAAGAAGACAATAATGAGGCTGGGCACGGTTGAGTCATGCCTGTAATCCCAGCACATTGGGAGGCCAAGGCAGGTGGATCACCTGAGCTCAGGAGTTCAAGACCAGCCTGGCCAACATGGTGAAACCCCGTCTCTACTAAAGATACAAAAATTAGCTGGGCATGGTGGCTGGTGCCTCTAATCCCAGCTACTCAGGAGGCTGAGGGAAAAGAATTGCTTGAACCCAGGAGGCGGTTCGGTGAGCCGAGATTCTACCATTGCATGCCAGCCTGGGCTACAAGAACAAAAGTCCATCTCAAAAAAAAAAAAAAAAAAGACTTGAAAGGCAAAATGACTCTTTGATCCATGCACTGCAGAAGAGATGTTGTGTTAGCAGCTGTATTAGTCCATTCTCACACTGCTGTGAAGACATACTTGAGACTGGGTAATTTACAAAGGAAAGAGATTTAATCAGCTCATGGTTCTGTGGGCTGTACAGGCTTCTGCTTCTGGGAAGGCCTCAGGAAACTTATAATCATGGTGGAAGGTGAAGGGCAAGAAGGCACATCTTCACATGGCTGGCGGGAGGTGAGAGAGGTGCTACATGCTTTAAAACAAGCAGCACTAGGGGGACGATGCTAAACCATTAGAAACTGCCCCCATGATCCGATCACCTCCCACCAGGCCCCTCCTCCAACACTGAAGATCACAACCTGACGTGAGATTTGGGTGGGAACACAGAGCCAAACCATATCAGCAGGCATGAAAACAACATTTATCTCTTGGTACATCTCCATCAGAGCTCTTGGGTAACCAGGTGCATTGTCAATTAGCAGTAATATTTTGAAAGGAGTCTTTTTGAGAAGATGTGGTGGCTTGTGTCTGTAATCTCAGCACTTCAGGAGGCTGAGGAGGGAGGATCACGTGAGCCCAGGAGTTTGAGACCAGCCTGGGTAATATAGCAAGACCCTGTCTCTACAAAAAATAAAAAAAATTAGTCAGGCATGGTGGCACAAACCTGTAGTTCCAGTTACTTGGGAGGCTGAAGCAGGAGGATTGCTTGAGCCTAGGAGGTTGAGGCTTCAATGAGCTATGATCATGCCACTGCACTCTGCCTGGGCAATGGAGAAAGAAAGAAAGAAAAAAAGAAAGAAATTTCCTTTTGAGCAGTAGTTCTCAACAGTGGGCTTAAAATATTCAGTCAACTGTGCTATAAACAGATATGTTGTCATCCAGGCTTTGTTGTTTCATTTATAGAGACAGGCATAGTACATTTAACATAATTATTAAGGGGTCTAGGATTTTTGGAATGGTAAATGAGCATTAGCTACAACTTAAAGTCACCAGCAGCATTAGTCCCTAACAAGAGAGTCAGCCTGTCCTTTAAAGCTTTGAAGCCAGGCATTGACTTCTCCTCTCTAGCTATGAAAGTCCTTGATGGCATCTTCTTCCAATAGAAGGCTGTTTTGTCTACATTGGAAATCTGTTGTAAGGTGTAGCCACCTTCATCAATGATCTTAGCTAGATTTTCTGAATAACTTGCAAGTTATCCAGAAAAGGTTTTTAATTGACTTTGCCTAGATCCATCAGAGGAATCACTATCTATGGCAGCTATAGCCTTATGAAATGCATTTCTTTCTTTTTTTCTTTCTTTCTTTTTTTTTTTTGAGACAGAGTCTTGCTCTGTCACCCAGACTGGAGTGCAGTGGCGTGATCCCAGCTCACTGCAACCTCGGCCTCCCAGGTTCAAGCAATTCTGCTTCAGCCTCCCAAGTAGCTGGGATTACAGGCGCCCACCACCACTCTTGGCTAATTTTTTGTATTTTTAATAGAGATGGGGTTTCACCATGTTGGCCAGGCTGGTCTCGAACGCCTTATCTCAGGTGATCCACCTGCCTTGGCCTCCCAAAGTGCTGGGATTACAGGCTTGAGCCACCACGCCCGGCCATGAAATGTATTTCTGAAGTAATAAGACTTGAAAGTCGAAATTACTGCTTGGTCCATGGACTGCAGAATGCGTGTTGTGTTTGCAGGCATGGAAACAACACTAATCTCCTTGGACATCTCCATCAGAGCTCTTGGGTGACCAGATGGATTGTTAATGAGCAGCAAACTTTGGAAATAAATCTATTTTTCTGAGCAGCAGGTCTCCAGAGTGGGCTTAAAACACTCAGTCTTTGGCCGGGCACGGTGGCTCACGCCTGTAATCCCAGCATTTTTGGAGGCCAAGGCGGGTGGATCACCTGAGGGCAGGAGATTGAAACCAGACTGGCCAACATGGTGAAACCCCGTCTCTACCAAAAATAAAAAAACTAGCCAGGCATGGTGGCGCATGCCTCTAATCCCAGCTACTAGGGGGCTGAGGCAGGAGGATCACTTGTATCTGGGAGGCGGAGGTTGCAGTGAGCCAAGATCGCGCCACTGTACTCCAGCATGGAATAGAGCGAGACTCCGTCTCAAAAAAACAAAAAAAAACCAAAATAAAACAAGAAAAACCACTTAGTCAACCATGCTGTAAACAGATGTGCTGTCACCCCAGCTTTGTTCCATTTCTAGAGTACAAGAAGGGTGGATTTAGCATCATTCTTCAGGGCCCTGGGATTTTCCAAATGGTAAATGACCACTGGCTACACCTTGAAGCCCTACCAGCTGCATTAGCCTCTAATAAGAGAGTCAGCCTGTCCTTTGAAGCTTTGAAGCCAGGCATTGACTTCTCTGAAAGTCCTAGATGCCATCTTCTTCCATCAAAGACCATCTCATCTACATTGAAAACCTGTTGTTGAGTGTAGCCACCTTCATCAGAGATCTTCTGGAGAACTTGCTGCGCCTTCTCCATCTGTACTTGCTGCTTCACCTTGTACTTTTATGTTGTGGAGATTGCTTCTTTCCTTAAACCTCATGAACCCTGCTGACTTCCACCTCTGCTGACTTCCAAATTTTCTTCCGCAGCTTCCTCACCTCTCTCAGCCTTCATAGGACTGAAGAGCATTTGGACCTTGCTCTGGATTTGGCTTCGGCTTAAGGGGATGTTGTGCTGGTTTGATCTTCTATCCAGATCACTCAAACTTCCTTCGTATCAGCAATTAGGCTGTTTCACTTTCTTATTATTCACGTTCACTGGAGTAGCACTTTTTTTTTTGAGACAAGATTTCTTTCTGTTGTCCAGGCTGGAGTGTAGTGGTGCAATCACGGCTCATTGCAGCCTGGACCTCCTGGGCTCAAATGATCCTCCCACCTCAGCCTCCTGAGTACTGGGACTGCAGGTGTGAACTACCATGCTGGCTAATTTTTAAATTTTTAAAATATTTTTTAGAGACAGGGTCTCGCTATGTTGTTTAGGCTGGTCTCAAACTCCTGGGCTCAAGTGATACTCCCACCTTGGCCTCCCAAAGTATTGAAATTATTAGCTGAGCCACTGTGCCAGGCCTTGGAGTAGCACTTTAAACTTCCTTCAATAACTTTTCCTTTGCATTCACTATTTGGCTAACTGGTGCAAAAGGCCTAGCCTTCAGCCTATCTCTCAGCCTTTTTTTTTTGAGACAGAGTCTTGGTCTGTCACCCAGGCTGGAGTGCAGTGGTATGATCTTGGCTCACTGCAACCTCCGCCTCCCGGGTTCGAGTGATACTCCTGCTTCAGCCTCCTGAGTAGCTGGGATTACAGGCGCCCACCACCACACCCTGCTAATTTTTGTATTTTTAGTAAAGAGAGGGTTTCACCATGTTGGCCAGGCTGGTCTTAAACTTCTGATCTCAGGTGATCCACCCGATTCGGCCTGCCAAAGTGCTACGATTACAGTCGTGAGCCACTGCGCCCAGCCTCTGTCTCAGCTTTTGAAACGCCTTCCTCGCTAAGCTTAATAATTTGATTTAACATGACGCTTCCTTTGATTTAACATGACCCTTCCTTTCACTTGAACACTTAGAGGACACTAGGGTTACTCATTGTACTAATTTCAATATTGTTGTGTCTAAGAGAATAAAGAGGCACAAGGACTGGGAGAGAGAGGGGAACCACTGACTGGTGGAGCAGTCAGAATGCACACATTTATCCATTATGTTCACCATCTTTTATGGTTGAGGTTTGTGGTACCCCAAAACAATTACAATAGTAACTTCAAAGATCACTGATCACAGATCACCATCACAGATAGAAGAATGATGAAAAGCTTGAAATATTGTGAGAATTACCAAAATCTGACAAAGAGAGGTGCAGTGAGCACGTGCTGTTGAAAAAATGGCACCAATAGATTTGCTTGACGCAGGGTTGCCACAGACCTTCAGTTTGCAGAAAATGCGGTATCCATGAAAAGCAATAAAGTGAACTACAATAAAACAACGCATGTCTGTACTTAATTATATCTTACAGATAAGGGGAAGGTTTCCTTTGACCACACCCCCAGTGCTGATTATTTCTTTTTCCTCCTCATCAGAAGTAATATTGTCAAGTTTAGTGAGTAGTTTTGTTTTATGTTTTGAGACAGAGTCTTGCTCTGTCACCCAGGCTGGAGTGCAGTGGTGTGATGTCAGCTCACTGCAACCTCTGCCTTCCAGGTTCAAGTGATTCTCCTGCCTCAGCCTCCCGCGTAGCTGGGACTACAGGCGCCCACCACCTCGCCCGGCTAATTTTTTGTATTTTTAGTAGAGATGGGGTTTCAGGATGGTCTCGATCTCCTGACCTCGTGATCAACCTGCCTCGGACTCCCAAAGTGCTGGGATTACAGGCGTGAGCCACCGCGCCCGGCCTATTTTTAAAATTTAATTAAAAAAAATTTTTTTGGCCAGGCATGATGAGTCATGCCTGTAATCCCAGCACTTTGGGAGGCCGAGGCAGGCGGATCACCCAAGGTGAGGATTTCGAGACCAGCCTGGTCAACATGGTGAAACCCCGTCTCTACTAAAAATACAATTAGCTGGGTGCAGTGGTGGGCACCTGTAATCCCAGCTACTCGGGAGGCTGAGGCAGGAGAATCACTTGAACCAGGAGACAGAGGCTGCAGTGAGCAGAGATTGTGTCACTGCACTCCAGCCTGGGTGACAGAGCAAGACTCTATCTCAAAAAAGAATTAGCCAGGCATGGTGGTTCATGCCTGTAGTCTCAGCTACTTGGGAGGCTGAGGTGGGAGGATAGCTTTGCACTTTGGGAGTCTCATTTTCAGATATGAAAAAAAAGCCCAGCACGGTTCCAAAGTTAATATCACATCCAATTTAAAGAGACCTGGTGAGGCGCGGTGGCTCACGCCTATAATACCAGCACTTTGGGAGGTCGAGGTGGGAGAAGCATTTGAGTCCAGGGGTTTGTGACCAGTCATAGTGAGACCCCATCTCTCCAGAAAAAAAAAAAAAGGCTGGATATGGTGATGCTCGCCTGGGGTCCCAGCTACTCAGGAGGCTGAGGCAGGAGGATTGCTTGAGTCCAGTAGTTGGAGGCTGCAGTGAGCTATGATTGGGCCACTACGTGTCAGCCTGGGCAATTAGAAGGAGACCCAGTATTTTTTTTTTTAATGTAAATATAAATAAGGTGACCTAAAGTGGTGAAGGAACCCTCCCCACTCCTCTCTGCTGGCTCCTTCAAGGTCAAGGTTAATCAGAGGAAAAGGGGCTGGGTGACACATGATTGGTGTGTCTATGATCTGTGACACCTGTCATGTGCTCTCCTGGGAGGTGTTGGCTTCTTCTGAGGTGGTATAGGCAGACGCTTTCTGGCTGGCCTCTTATGACAACCCCTCAGTCCTTCCTCCCTGCCCCTGCCCCAGGGGATTCCACTCCCGGCAGCCTCTCACTGCCCGTCCCTTTGCCAGGGTAGGCAGCTGTTTAGGGCAGGGGCCGCCACAACACTAGAGCCCGCTCATTTTGTTGGCATTCACCAGGCCTAGGGGTCTCATTTATTCTCACCTATCCAAAAGGACGTGCCCTCCTCTCTCTCCCTGTCTGGCCCCTTCGGGCTGCTCCGGACCTTCTCGTTCCTCCTCCAGAATCCTCTGGGTTGGATGACAGCACTGGTGGATGCCACACTCAGGGGCCTGCATCAGGTTCTCCTAAGAACCTCTTGTCAGCCTTCATCTGAGCCTTCCGGTTCCTGCAGCCCAGGAGAGCCGCCTCCAATCTCCACAAGGGCTTCTTCTTCTTCTTTTTTAATTGTTGTTGTATTGTTTGTTTGTTTGTTTTTGAGACAAGGTCTCTGTCACTCAGGCTGGAGTTCAGAGGTGCAATCACAGCTCACTGCAGCCTCCAACTCCTGGGCTCAAGCGATCCTCCCGCCTCAGCCTTCCAAGTAGCTGGGACTATAGGTGTGCGCCACCCTGCCTGGCTAATTTTCACTTTTTAATTTTAGTAGAAATGGGGTCTCAGTATGTTGCCCAGGCTGGTCAGGGCTTCTTTTGGAGCAACCTCCTCACTTGCTTTGAGGTGTGGGACGTCCCTGTGGGGGCAGGTGAGGAACCACCACAGCTGTCTCATTGAGGTGGGTGATGAGGGTGGAAATTAGCAAGATGGACCTGCTCTCTCACTAGGAATCCTAAAGGGTGTGTCTGCGGCTCGGTTTAGAATGTGGGGCTTTGTATTAATCAGTTTTGTCCTCAGCTTTGGGGCTGTAAACAAAAATTCTATCAATTTGCATTCCAAACAGCACCGTACGAGAATATAGTTTCTCCAAATCTTCTCCAGCACTCTTTTTTTTTTTTTTTTTGAGCCAGAATCTCATTCTGTCGCCCAGGCTGCCAGGCTGGAGTGCAGTGGTGCAATCTTGGCCCACTGCAACCTCCGACTCCTGGGTTCAAGGGATTTTCCTGTCTCAGCCTCCCGAGTAGCTGGGATTTCAGGCTAATTTTTGCCTGGCTAAAATTATCATGCCTGGCTAATTTTTGTAGTTTTAGTAGAGACAGGGTTTCACCATGTTGGCCATGCTGGAGCACTCAATATTATCAAGCTCAAATTCTTATTTCTTTTTGCCAACATGATGGGAAATAAATAAATAGTATCACATGGCTTTTTAAAAGTTTAATTTATATTTTTCTCATTGTATGCATTTATTGACCAGTTATAATTCCTCTTCTAAAAATGGTCTGTTCCTATGCCTTGGCTTTTTTTTTTTTTTGAAACGGAGTCTCGCTCTGTCACCCAGACTGGAGTGCAGTGGCACGATCTTGGGTCACGGCAACCTCTGCCTCCCAGGATCAAACAATTCTCCTACCTCAGCCTCTTGAGTAGCTGGGATTACAGGCGCGCACCACCACGCCCGGCTTTTTGTATTTTTAGTAGAGAAGGGGTTTCACCATGTTGGCCAAGCTGGTCACGAATTCCTGACCTCAAGTGACCCACCTTCCGCAGCCTCCTTAAGTGCTGGGATTACAGTCACGAGCCACCGTGCGCCCGGCTGCTTATTTTCCTTCATGAGTTATTGTGGTTCTTTATATATCTGCATACTTTTTTTTTTTTCTGCTACATACATGTGTGGCAAGTGTTTTCTCCTAATCTGACAGCTTGTCCTTCAACTCTGTTTATGGAGTTCTTCTCCTTGTGTTACAGAGGAAATGTTTGGACAGCTTTGGCTTAAGTGTCATCTGCACAGGGCATTTTTTTTGTGCCTTCACAGTGCCTGAGTGATGGCAACACACTCTCTTGGCACTGCAAGCTCCTTCCATCAGGGTGGGACCTGGGTCCTGAGCATGGATTCTTTGGGTCAACATCCCTGCTGCTCTACCTGGTGGGAAAATCCCTTGTCCCTAAAAGATTTATTTTATTTATTTGTTTTTTTTTTGAAATGGAGTCTCGCTCTGTCTCCCAGGCTGGAGTGCAGTGGTGCAATCTTGCTCACTACAACCTCCGCCTCTTGGGTTCAAGTGATTCTCCTGTCTCAGCCTCCCGAGTAGCTGGGATTACAGGCTCACGCCACCACTCCGGGCTATTTTTTGTATTTTTAGTAGAGATGGGGTTTCACTCATGTTGGCCAGGCTGGTCTTGAACTCCTGACCTCAGGTGATCTGCCTGCCTTGGCCTCCCAAACTGCTGGGAATACAGGCGTGAGCCATCATGCCCAGCCTCAGTCCCTAAAAGATTTCTAACTGGTGCTTGAAACCTGAACCCTAACTCATAACATCCCAATTCAGATGCAATCACATGGGTAGCACTTTCAGATTTTACAAAGTGCTTTCATATCCATGATCTTAATTGACCCTCTTAGGGAATGAAGGGAGGGTTGGAATCAGGTCTCCAGTTCATTGGAGAAAACAGTCTCTCAGCAGTTCCCAACAGCAATAGTGATGGTGTTGGCCCAGGAGCCTGATCTATCTCTCAATCTTGGCTTCTCTTCCCCATGCGGTTATTAGTTAATCCCCATCCTGAAAGAATTCTGAAGCGTTTGCCTGGGGGTGGGGATGGGGGTAGAATGTGACTCTAATATCCTCAGAAGGGAGGCTTGTATTAGTAAAGTTGAAAGTAGTCATGGCCAATCTAAACTGCTGCTACTGTTTTTCTGGCTTTTGTCCCGGAGTTGAGACAGAGCAGAGAATTTAGCAAGGTTCGGGTGTAGCTGGGTGTTTCAGGAAAGGACTCAAGAACCAGGAAATGCCCACTGTTCAGTTGCCCAAGGCCTGGATGAATGGATAGAAATGGCTTTCGCTGTGTGAATGAACGCTTTTCCTTCACCCTTAAACCATCTTTTGCAACTTTGCGAAACCATGATTCGCAACTTTGCGAATCAAATAGTGTGAGATCTAATATCAAAGAGTTTTTTAATGAAATAAGCAATACTCATAAGAGACAACAATCACATCAAACAATAAATCCACTATGGTTGCAATTATGAGAAACAAATTCTCTCAAAGAAAAAAAGACAAGCGAGGCCAGGTGTGAAGGCTCATGCCTGTAATCCCAGAACTTTGGGAAGCTGAAGAGGGAGGAATGCTTGAGGCCAAGAGTTTGAGACCAGCCTAGGCAACACAGTGAGGCCCCGTTTCTACGAGAAATAAAAAAAATTAACCAGGTGTAGTGGTGTGTGCCTGTAATCCCAGCTACTTGGGAGTCTGAGGCACGAGAATCATTTGAGCCCAGGAGATGGAGGTTGCAGTGAGCCAAGATCGCACCACAGCACTCCAGCTTGGGTGACAGAGCGAGACTCTGCCTTGGAAAAAAAAAAGAAAGAAAGAAAAATTTGTGTTTGGGCCAGTCACTGTGGCTCACGCCTGTAATCCCAGCACTCTCAGAGGCTAAGTCACTTAAGGCCAGGAGTTCAAGACTAGCCTGAGCAACATAGTGAGACCCACCTCTACCAAAAAGAAAAGAAAAGAAAGAAAGAAAGAAAGAAAGAAAGAAAGAAAGAAAGAAAGAAAGAAAGAAAGAAAAGCTCTGTGAGGGAAGGGACCTTGTGTGTTTTGCTTATTTGTAGGTCCCTGATGCCTGGTACATAGTTGTTTCTCTCTCACTTTCTCTCTCTCTCTATATATATACACACATACACATTATATATACGTACACATTATATATATGTACACATTATATATATATATATATACACACACACACGTTATCTCTATATATCTGGATATATATGTATAGGTATACATATACCTATACATATAGAGAGAGAGAGAGAGAAAGAGAGATAGAGCAAGCTGGGCATGGTGGTTCATGCCTGTAATCCCAGCATTTTGGGAGGCTGAGGTGGGCAGATCACTTGAGGTCAGGAGTTCAAGACCAGCTTGGCCAACATGGTGAAATCCTGTCTCTACTAAAAAAACAAAAATTAGCTGGGCATGGTGACAGGTGCCTGTAATCCCAGCTACTTGGGAGGCTGAGGCAGGAGAATTGCTTGAACCTGGGAGGCAGCAGTTGCAGTGAGCTGAGACCTCGCCATTGCACTCCAGGCTGGGCAACAAGAGCGAAATTCCATCTCAAAAAAAAAAAAAAAAAAAAAAGAGAGAGAGAGATACT
The DNA here is from genome assembly GCF_000001405.40 of Homo sapiens. Lineage (NCBI taxonomy): Eukaryota > Metazoa > Chordata > Mammalia > Primates > Hominidae > Homo > Homo sapiens. The sequence continues at coordinate 31,243,865 of NC_000016.10, forward strand.
TTTTTTTTTTTTTTAAAGAGATAGAGTCTTACCCTGTTACCCAGGTTGGAGTGCAGTAGCACGATCATAGCTCACTGCAGCCTTGAACTCCTGGGCTCAAGAGATCCTCTTGCCTCAGTCTCTCGAGTTTATCTTGAGTTTATATATTTTAATGAGTAAATGAATAAGTGAGGAATTCATTGCTTCATTTCTAAGAGTCCAGCAGGAAGCCCAATAAATTGTAGTTGTAGATACCGGGGAAGTGAAACACATTAGGTAAGGGAGGCCCACTCCTCAATGGGAAAAGGGGAAGTGAGGAGAAACTTCAGAATAGCAAAGAGGAACCTGACAACAATTCAGTTCAGCCTTGTGGAATCCAGTGATGTGAGATAAAATCACTCGGTGTTTAACAGACACTGCTGAGCTTCCGATTACCCTGCCCTGGAGCTCCTGTCTGGCCTCTTTCTGTGATAGGATTCATGGGCTATTGTTTAAGTTGTGATCTCTGTTATTTGTAGCTCAAAGCATCCCAACAGACATAATCTCTGTTGTAAATACTTGGCATATAATCACATAACTTTTTTTTTTTTTGGGACAGGGTCTCACTCTGTTGCCCAGGCTGGAGTGCAGTCACATGACTGTGGCTCGTTGCAGCCTTGACCTCCTGGGCTCAAGTGATCCTTCTGCCTCAGCCTCCTGAGTAGCTGAAACTACAGGTGTGTACCACCCTAGACAACTAAAAATGCTTAATGGTTTTTGTGAAATGTGTTTTAGTGTTTAAAAAGCTATATTCTCTTCCTCCTTTTTTTTTTTGAGATGGAGTTTCGCTCTTGTTGCCCAGACTGGAGTGCAATGGTGCGATCTCGGCTCACCACAAACTCTGCCTCCCAGGTTCAAGGGATTCCCCTGCCTCAGCCTCCCGAATAGCTGGGATTACAGGCATGCGCCACCACGCCGGCTAATTTTGTATTTTTAGTAGAGATGGGGTTTCTCCATGTTGGTCAGGCTGGTCTCAAACTCCCGACCTCAGGTGATCCGCCTGCCTTGGCCTCCCAAAGTGCTGGGGTTACAGGCGTGAGCCACCACGCCTGGCCTTGTTTGTTGAGATGGAGTTTCACTCTTGTTGCCCAGGCTGGAGTGCCATGGTGTGATCTCAGCTCACCGCAACCTCCACCTCCCAGGTTCAAGTGATTCTCCTGCCTCAGCCTCAGCCTCCTGAGTAGCTGGGATTACAGGCATGTGCCACCATGCCCGGCTAAAAAGTATTTTTAGTAGAGATGGGGTTTCTCCATGTTGGTCAGGCTGGTCTTGAACTCCCGACGTCAGGTGATCTGCTCGCCTTGGCCTCCCAAAGTGCTAGGATTACAGGCGTGAGCCACTGTGCCTGGCTTTTTTTTTTTTTTTTTTTTTTTGGACAGAGTTTTGTTCTGTTGCCCAGGCTGGAATGCAGTGGTGTGAATTTTAAATTTTTCTGTAGAGATGAGTATTGAGGGAAATTCAGCCAGATATCGGGTGAAATTCACCCCTGATATTTCACATAGAATATTCTTTTCTATTTTCCCTAAGTGTCAGCTGGTCTGAGAAATAAAGGGACAGAGTACAAAAGAGAGAAATTTTAAAGCTGGGTGTCCAGGGGAGACATCACATGTCAGCAGGTTCTGTGATGCCCCCTGAGCCGTAAAACCAGCAAGTTTTTATTAGTGATTTTCAAAAGGGGAGGGAGTGTACGAATAGGATGTGGGTCACAGAGATCACATGCTTCACAAGGTAATAAGATATCACAAGGCAAATGGAGGCAGGGCGAGATCACAGGACCACAGGACTGGGGTGAAATTAAAATTGCTAATGAAGTTTCAGGAACGCATTGTCATTGATAACATCTTACCAGGAGCCAGGGTTTGAGAGCAGACAACCGGTCTGATCAAAATTTATTAGGTGGGAATTTCCTCGTCCTAATAAACCTGGAAGCGCTATGGGAGAGTGGGGCTTATTTCATCCCTACAGCTTTGACCATAAATGACGGCTGCCCCCCGAAGCGGCCATTTCAGAGGCCTCCCCTCAGGGATGCATCCTCTTTCTCAGGGATGTTCCTTGCTGAGAAAAAGAATTCAGTGATATTTCTCCCATTTGCTTTTGAAAGAAGAGAAATATGGCTCTGTTCCGCCTGGCTCACCGGCAGTCAGAATTTAAGGTTGTCTGTCTTATTCCCTGAACATTGCTGTTATCCTGTTCTTTTTTCAAGGTGCCCAGATTTCATATTGTTCAAACACACATGCTCTACAAACAATTTGTGCAGTTAACACAATCATCACCGGGTCCTGAGGTGACATGCATCCTCCTCGGTTTACGAGATGACGGGATTAAGAGATTAAAGTAAAGACAGGCATAGGAAATCACAAGGGTATTGATTGGGGAAGTGATATGTGTCCATGAAATCTTCACAATTTATGTTCAGAGATTGCAGTAAAGACAGGCATAAGAAATTATGAAAGTATTAATTTGGGAAACTAATAAATGTCCATGAAATCTTCACAATTTATGTTCTTCTGCCATGGCTTCAGCTGGTCCCTCCATTAGGGGTTCCGGGCTTCCCACAACAGAAGAGGTCTTGCTATATTATCGGTCTTGAACTCCTAGCTTCAAGTGATCCTCCCACCTCAGCCCCGCAAAGTCCCAGTGTGAGCCACTGCACCCAGCCTGGTTACATAACTTCCATGTGCCTCAGTTTCTTCATCTGCAAAATGGGGCTAGAATACCTTCTTCATAGGATTTCTATGAAGGGTCAGTGAGTGAACACATGCTAATCACTTAGAACCATGTCTGGCACAGAGTAAATTCTCAATCAGTGTCAGTTTTTATTATGTATTATTATTATTATTGTAAAATACAGTATGTCATTATAGTATGTATTGACTATTTGTTCTACATTTTCAATTTTCAAGAATTAGGCACTTTTAGTTATATTTTCAGTATTTTCTGTTTTTACCTTAATCTATCATTTCTGATTTTACCTTAATCAGGGATGTGGTATGTATCATTTCTGCCTTTCTGTGGCATGAAATTGGAATGGTATTTGTGAAATGAGTTTTAGTGCTTAAAAAGCTTTATTTATTTATTTTTTTGAGACAGAGTGTTGCTCTGTCGCCCAGGCTGGAGTGCAGTGGTGCGATCTCGGCTCACAGAAACCTCTGCCTCCCAGGCTCAAGCGATTCTAATGCCTCAGCCTCCCAAGTAGCTGGGATTACTTAAAGGCATGTGCTACTATGCCTGGCTAATTTTTGTATTTTTAGTGGAGATGGGGTTTTGCCATGTTGGCCAGGCTGGTCTCAAACTCCTGGCCTCAAGTGATCCATCCTCCCTGGCCTCCCAAAGTGCTGGGATTACAGGCGTGAGCCACCACACACCCACACACAGCCTATTCATCTTTTTTTTTAAAGACAGGATCTTGCTCTGTTGCCCAGGCTGGAGTGCAGGAGTGCAGTACATCATAGCTCACTGCAGCCTTGAACTCCTAAGCTCAAGCCATCCTCCTGCCCTTGACCCTCCAAGTAGCTGGCACTACAGGCATGACATACATCTATTAATGCTACCTTATTAGCTGTGTCGTTCACATCAACCAGTTAATTTGCATGTCTATAACTACATCTGAATTTGTGCGCGCTCTCTCTCTTTTTTTTTTTTTTTTTTTACGGAGTCTTGCTTTGTCCCCCAGGCTGGAGTGCAGTGACATGATCTCAGCTCACTGCAACCTCCGCCTTCTGGGTTCAAGTGATTCTCCTGCCTCAGCCTCCCGAGTAGCTGGGACTACAGGTGCTCGCCACCATGCCCGGCTAATTTTTGTATTTTTTAGTAGAGATGGGGTTTCACCATGTTGGCCAGGATGGTCTTGATCTCTTGATCTTGTGATCCGCCCGCCTTGGCGTCCCAAAGTGCTGGGATTACAGGCGTGAGCCACCGCACCCCGCCAGCATTCTTTGTCTTGTCCACAGCTGAAGTTTCCATTATTTATTTATTCAACCAAACTTCATCAAACTCCTTTTTAATGTAGCACATACCATGCTCAGTCTTAGGCGTATGCATTTGGATAATTCAAAATTGTTGCCTTCAAAAAGCTATAGTGAGAGAAATAACCTCATAAACAATAAGATCACAGTGTGAGGACTGCTAATAGAGCTGTGTGTAACAGAGCTTGGGGTTAAGCAGGAAAATTAGGGCAGGCTTCTCAGAAGAGGTGACAACTTGAGTTGGCCCTTGGAGAGCAAGTAGGAGTTTCTAAGGAAAACAAAAAGAAGCAGAAGGATGGTATTCCAGACACACCCAATAGTCAATTGTACTATTAGTTTGATGCAAACGTAATTGCGGTTTTGGCCATGACTTTAATTACTTTAGTTACATTTGCACCCACCTAATAATTATCTGAAACTGCATGACAAATGACCCTAAGCTTAGAGGCTTAAAACAACAGTAATCATTTCTTATCTCCCTTGATTTCTTTTCTTAAATTTAAAAAAATTTTTGGCCGGGTGCAGTGGCTCACATCTGTAATCCCAGCACCACAGTAGCAAAAATAGCTGCAGTGGTTCCAGGTTTTACATCACACTAGGAGGAGAAAAAACATCTTTGTCCTGAGATCCACTTTGATTAGACACATGCCCACACTTGAACCAACGACTTATGTCAGAGCGATAGAATAGTTGGATTGTCTTAGTGTAGTTCACATGCTCCACCCTCAGACCTGGGGCAAAGTCAGTTCTTCCCAAACCACGTAGTCCTCCAAGTGGAAATTGAGAGTCGCTGGGAAGGGGGAAACTGGATGCTGGGGAGATAACCACAAGTGTCCACACAAACTCAATTGTGATGTGGTTCATCTAAGCAACACTCAGTGAGCCCCAGCCAGATAAGGTGCTGGGTCCTGGGATAAAGCCATGAGCAGGACATAGTCACTGCTCTCAAGGCAGCCATTGTTTATCACCCCCCAAGAACGTAAGCTCCTTAAAGGTAGGGAGGTTTCCTCTCTCGTTCACATCCATTTCCCTGAGCCTGGAGCAGCACCTGGCACATAGTTAATACCTGTTGAATGAAGAGTCTAGTGGAAAGATGGGCATAATCTCCAAGTCATCACACCATATACAGTTTAATGCTAGCTCTAGGGACTTTGAGGGGCCAGGGTGTGTGATCCACCCTTTTACTTCTCCTCCTTTTTCTCTTCCTTCTGTTTGTGGCTCCCCCAGGGTGAGAGATTGAGAGGAAAGAATTGAAGGGATGGCAGGGGTTCCACATGACTGGTACCCATATGTGGTTGGAAATGCCCTGACTCTCTCTAGACTCCAAGCTGGGTCCATCTCTTGCTTGTGGTCCCCAGTAGCTGAAGTACAGCTGAGGTGTTCCTGGGGTTGCTATTTAGCTTAACCATGGCTCTCTCCTCTGCTGAGGAGCCCCTTGGAGTGAGAGATGCCTGCCTCCCCTCAGGGCTTTGCCTCCACCCTTTCTCCAACCTCTGTATTCCTTCATGTGGAACCAGGAAGCCCCCCTCTCCCTCAATTTCCCACTTTATTTAAGGCACATAAAACTTTTCTGGAGGAAAGCTCTTGTTGAATCTGCAGCCTCTCCCCAAACCCCAAGGCCTGTAAAGCTCTGAATAGAGAGGCCCTGAGCTGAATGTGACAGTAATGATACTTATATCAGGTCAAGGATGCCTAAGGACCATAGTTACTTTGTCAAATTGTACAAGATGTTTCATCCAGAGCGTGCTTAGAGTAATGATAATGATATGTGGCAGAGAGAGCTAGTTGCCCCCATGTGCTTTCCTCTTCTTCCTTTAGTAATGCAACCCCATTAATTAGCACACAGATACTTAGGATAACATCACATTTTCCAGTCACCACTGCAGTTGTGTGTGGCCATGTGACTAAGTCCTGGCCAATGAGATGTGAAGGAAATGATGTGTGCAACATTTGGTCTCACCTTTAAAGGAAAGGGGCCTTCCCACCATTTTTTTTCTTTGTTATGAGACAGAGTCTCACTCTGTCACCCAGGCTGGAGTGCAGTGGCATGCTCTTGGCTCACTGCAACCTCCACCTTCCAGGTTCAAGCGATTCTCCTGCCTCAGCCTCCCAAGGAGCTGGGACTATAAGCGCCCGCCACAATGGCTGGCTAATTTTTGTATTTTTAGTAAAGGCGGGGTTTCACCATGTTTGCCAGGCTGGTCTCGAACTCCTGACCTCATGTGAACCCACTTCGGCCTCCCAAAATGCTGGGATTACAGGTGTGAGCCACTGTGCCTGGCTTTTTTTTTTTTTGATACAGATTCTTGCTCTGTTACCCAGGCTGGAGTAAAGTGGTGCAATCTTGACTCACTGCAGCCTTGACCTCCCAGGCTCAGGTGATCCTCCCACCTAAGCCTCCCAAGTAGCAGGGACCACAGGCACATGCTACCATGCCCAGCTAATTTTTTTTTGTAATTTTTATAGAGACAAGGTTGTGTCATGTTGCTGCGCTGGTCTTGAACTCGTGGGCTCAAGTGATCTGCCTGCCTCGGCCTTCTAAAGTGCTGGGATTACAGACATAAGCCAACGTGCCTGGCCTCAATTTTTTTTTTTTTTTTTTTGAGACAAAGTCTCACTCTATTGCCCAGGATGGAGTACAGTGGCTTGAGCTCGGCTCACTGCAACCTCTGCCTCCTGAGTTCAAGCGATTCTCCTGCCTCAGTCTCCCAAGTTGCTGGGATTGCAGGCATGTGCCACCACACCCAGCTAATTTTTGTATTTTTAGTAGAGATGGGGTTTCACCATGTTGGTTAGGCTGGTCTTGAACTCCTGACCTCAGGTGATCCGCCTGCCTCGGCCTCCCAAAGTGCTGGGATTACAGGCGTGAGCCACCACTCCCTGCCAGGCACCACTTCTTTTTATCCTTCCTGTCAGCCCGAGGGTGGACTTGGCGCTGGGCCGTCTTTGACCAGGCGGATGAAGACAAAACCCTCAGGATGGCAGAGCAACCTGCTGGAGGGAGCCTGGATCTCCAACACCATGGAGCCTCCGTAACCCCCAAATGCTGATGCTGGGGCCATCACAGGACTGTCTGGGCTAAGCCTCTGTGATTTTGGGTCTTATTACAACAGTTGAACCTTAGTCTCCACCAATACAAATAATCATCTTTGCCGGTGGGGGCGCATCTTACATGCCAGGCACTGTGCTAAGCTTTTCACATGCATTATTTAATTTAACCCTTACAAAAACTCTGTTAAGTCACACATCAGTTAGGGCCTTTTGGGGAAAAACAACAGAACAAGTAGAACATGAGATTTACTGAGTACCAAGTAGCCTATTCCAGGAATTAGTAGTTTTGTTTCCTGCCCTGCTCAGGTTAGGCCCTGAGCAACTCCTCCTTTCAAGGTTGGGAGGCAAGAACTTAGAGATGGTGAAATGGCTGTCGCTGCCCTGCAAGTCACCTGTGGCCAACCATGCTCTTTGTGTGACCTTGGTCGAAACACCTGGGACTCACAAAGCCTGTGGTAGAACAATTTCCTTGGCCTGCCAGACATTTGGCCTGCTGCATGGACAACTGAGGTGGCAAGGGAAGCATCCAGAATGCTTCCCACTGAGCGACAGGCAGCTTTCAGCCACCTACCTCTGTGTGTCATCGAGGGTGCGCTGGCCAGGTCATCCATCAACCCAACACAGTTGGTAGAATGATTACAGCGAATGTTGACTACATGCACTTTGACATCTATTATTATCTCATTTAACTATCACAATCACCCCAAGATGTTAGTACAATTATTGCCCCCATTTTCCAGATGAGGACAGTGAGGTCCAGAGAGTAAGTTGTTCAAGGGCATACTTATAGACCTAGGATATTTTTATTCTTTTTTTTTTTTTTTCTGAGATGAGATCTTGCTCTGTTGCCCAGGCTGGAGGGCAGTGGTGTGATCTTGGCTCATTGCAATCTCCGCCTCCTGGGTTCAAGTGATTTTCTTGCCTCAGCCTCCTGAGTAGCTGGGATTACAGGCATGTGCCACCATTCCCGGCTAATTTTTGTATTTTTGGTAGAGACAGGGTTTCGCTATATTGTCCAGGCTGGTTTCAAACTTCTGACTTCAGGTGATCCACCTGCCTCAGCCTCCCAAAGTGCTGGGATTACAGGTGTGAGCCACCACACCCGGCGTAGACCTAGGATTTTAGTGCCCTTAGTCTGATTCCAGACCCAAAGGCTTAACCAGATGGCTGAGGATGACACTCAGGTGGAACTTTTTTTTCTTACTTTTTTTTTTTTTTAAGACAGGGTCTCGCTGTGTTGCCCAAGCTGGAGTGCGGTGGTGCAATCAGCTCACTGCAGCCTCAATCTCCTGGGCTCAAGTGATTCTCCCACCTCAGCCTCCTGGGTAGCTGGGGTTGTCTCACGTGTCCATGTGAAGAGACCACCAAACGGGCTTCGTGTGAGCAACAAGGCTGTTTATTTCACCTGGGTGCAGGCGGGCTGAGTCCGAAAAGAGAGTCAGCAAAGGGTGGTGGATTATCATTAGTTCCTACAGGTTTTGGGATAGGGGGTGAAAAGCCATGTTTTGCGGGCAGGGGTGGATCTCACAAAGTACATTCTCAAGGGTGGGGAGAATTACAAAGAACCTTCTTAAGGGTCGGGGAGATTACAAAGTACCTTCTTAAGGGTGGGGGAGATTACAAAGTACATTGATCAGTTAGGGTGGGACAGAAACAAATCACAATGGTGGAATGTCATCAGTTAAGGCTATTTTCACTTCTTTTGTGGATCTTCAGTTGCTTCAAGCCATCTGGATGTATACATGCAGGTCACAGGGGATATGATGGCTTAGCTTGGGCTCAGAGGCCTGACAGGATCACAGGAACTTTTCTTGACAATCCAGTGCAATGGAAAAACAGTATTTTATTCTTGTTCTTCCCACAACTTTCTCAGGAGGGCGGATCCTGTAGCAAGTTTCTTCGAGTGTGGTGAGCGAAGCAAATTGGAGGAGCTCAGACGGAGATAATTTGTCTGTGTAGACAAGGAAGGAAATTTGGAGAGGTGGGACTGGGAGATTTTGTTGGGAAGAGAGAAGCCGTGACCCTGGGTGCTGTGCAGGAAAAGGGACGATGAAGACCTGATACCTTCATTCCCCTGAGAGCAAAACTGGAAAATGTTGAGGAATGTGGCAAAGAAGGTTTGCGAAGTTGAGTATAGAGAGTCATGTGATGCAAAACCCACTTGTTTGAAGGAGGTGGGCCAGTGAGCCTGCCGATCCCTGGGGGAAGATTGGTTCCATCAGAGGGAACAGCCAGTGCCATGGCCTTCAGGTGGTGGTGTGCCTGGCAGGTTTGAGGAATGGCAAGGAGGCCAGGGTGGCTGCTGTCCCAGAAAATGAGGTAAGCTCAGAGAGGTAAGGGCTGGGGTTGGGATGACAGGTCATGCAGGTCCTTGTAGGTTGTAGAAAGGACTGGCTTTTACTATCAGTAACGTGGGAGCCTTTGCAAGGTTTTGAGCAGAGGAGTGGCATGATATGTCTTGTGTTTTGAAACAATCCCTCTGACTGCTGTACTGAAAATTGACTTCGGCTGGGCACGGTGGCTCACGCATGTAATGCCAGCACTTTGGGAGGCTGAGGTGGGAGGATGGCTTGAGGCTAGGAGTTTGAGACCAGCCTAGGCAACTTAGTGAGACCCCGTCTCTACAAAAAGATTGAAAAATTACCTGGACATGGGGGCGCATGCCTGTAGTACCAGCTATTTAGGAGGCTGAGGTGGGAGGATCATTTGAACCCAGGAGTTGGAAAAAAGAAAAAAGGCAGTCAAAGGACTGAGCTCTGAGATCCTTCTGAAGAGGTTGGGAGAAGAGGAGAATCAGCAAGAGAAACTGAGAAGGAGGGTCATGGGCGGTAGGCGGGAAGCAGGAGAGTGTGGGGTCAGAGGACAGATGTAGAAATCAGTTCCAGGAAGCGAGGGCCGAGTGTCAGAAGCTGCTGCTGAGTCACTCAAGATGAAGACAGAACTCATCACTGGAGTCACTCAGGCAGCCTTGGTGACCTTGATAAAAATAGTTTAGGTGGAGTAGGTGCCGGGTTGGAGCACAGGCTTGGTTGGAATGGGGTTAAGGGAGGATGTGAGCAGTAGAACAGGGTGCAGCCAACACAGACAACTACTTTGGAGAAGTTTTGCAAAAGGGAAGTAAAAAATGGGCAGTGGTTGATGAGGGGAGTGGAATCAAAGAAAGTCTTGTTTGCTTTTTCAGTAGGAGAAATGTATTGTTTCTGATGGGAACACCAGATTTCTACATACGTATTTTGTATTCTTTCCGAGGGTCTTATATACTTATTCCAGAGCCAACACTGTACTTTTACCTACTGTGGCTTTAGAATATTGCTTTGATAGGGTACTTGTTATGGAATAACATGACATTGTAAGGTATGTCCCATTGCTTTATAGGCTATTGCTGTGTGTTTTCTAGTCCAGTCAATTTTTGAATCAGCACGTCAAATTCTAGAAAAATTCTGCTGGGTGAGATTATAATGAATTTGAGTAATTAAATGGAGAACCGACATCTGTACTGACATCTGTAGTCTTGTAGTCTTGTCATCCATGAAGATGACATATCTCTCTATTCTTTTTTTTTTTTTTTTTTTTTTTTTTTTTGAGATGGAGTGTTGCTCTGTTGCCCAGGCTGGAGTGTGGTGGCACAATCTCAGTTCACTGAAACCTCTGCCTCCCGGGTACAAGCAATTCTCATGCCTCAGCCTCCCGAGCAGCTGGGATTACAGGCATGCACCATGATGCCCAGCTAATTTTTGTATTTTTTGTAGAGATGGGATTTCACCATGTTGGCCAGGCTGGTCTCAAACTCCTGGCCTCAAGTGATCCACCCACTTCAGCCTCCCAAAGTGCTAGGATTACAGGCGTGAGCCACTGCACCAGGTCAATAATCTTTTTTTTTTTTTTTTTTTTTTTTTTTTTTGAGGATGAAGTCTTGCTCTGTTGCCCAGGCTGGAGTGCAGTGGCATGATCTCGGCTCACTGCAACCTCCACCTCCCGGGTTCCTAGCATTCTCCTGTCTCAGCCACCCGAGTAGCTGGGACTACAGGCGCATGCCACCATGTCTGGCTAATTTTTGTATTTTTAGCAGAGACGGGTTTTGCCATGTTGGCCAGGCTGGTCTCGAACTCCTGATCTCAGGTGATCCACCCACATCAGCCTCCCAAAGTGCTGGGATTACAAACGTGAGCCATCATGCCCGGCCAGTAATTTGTTTAATTACATATCTTTTATAAGCTCTTTCTTTCTTCCTTCTTTTTTTTTTTGAGACAAGGTCTCACTCTGTTGCCCAGGCTGGAGTGCAGTAGTGTGATCATGGCTCACTGCAGCCTCCAACACTTGGGCTCAAAATGTCCAAGGGACATTTTGCGAAGTGCGTTTTCAGGGAGATAGTTTGATTTCCCACACCTGTTTGATACATATTAATGTTTAATTAATTAATTATTTATTTAATTAAAAAAATTTAAGAGACGGGGTCTTATTATGTTGCCCAGGCTAGAGTACAGTGTATGGTGGCATGATCATAGCTCACTGCAACCTCGACCCCTTGGGTGCAAGTGATCCTCCTGCCTCAGCTTCCTGAGTAGCTGGGACTACATGTGCATACCACCACACTAGATAATTAAAAAAAAATTTTTTTTAAGAGACAGAATCTTCCTATGTTGCCCAGGTTGGTCTTGAACTCCTGGGCTCAAGCGATCCTCCCACTCTGGACTCCCAAAGTGCTGGTATTACAGGCAGTGAGCCATTGTGCCTGGCATTAGCTCCTTCTTTTCCTCACTTTCCCACCAGTGTTTCCGGAATCACCTTCCAGATAAATTACTTACACTTGAAGCCTTGTCTCAGAGTCCACTTATAGGGGAAATCAAGCTAAGATTTTATCAAGAGTGGGGATGGGGGACAGGTAGGAGGGAACAGCCAACAGCTTATAGATATGTCCCCACCCACGGTCACCAGGTCAGGTGCACACTTGGTGGTGGCTCATTGAGAAAGCCTCTGCAGGTTGGACAGCCAGTCTGAGATCTTGCCTATGTTTTTACAGAGAGTGGACCCTTGGCCACTGTTCAGGGCAAGGAGGGGCCTCCACGTCTGAGTTCGAGCAGCCCCCATAGTGGCCAGAGTGTGAAAACTTTTCCCAAAGCAAACCCAGCTGATCTACTAAACTCCTCCCCGGGCACCCTGGTTGGTATCTTCTCATCTTGGGCTCATGACTTCGTTCGTCCTTTCCTCAGCTTCTTTACCTGCTAACAAATACAGGTAACCTGTTGTTTTAAATTATCTATTGGTATTTTTTATGATTATGAGTCTTTTTTTTGTATAAAGGTCTTTTTTTTTTTTCTCTTTGAGACATGGTCTTGCTCTGTTGCCCAGGCTGGAGTGCAGTGTTGAGGTCATAGCTCACTGTAGCCTCAAACTCCTGGGCTCAAGTGATCCTCTTGCCTTGGCCTCCCACAGCATTGGGATCACAGGCATGAGCCACTGCACCCAGCCTATATAAATATTTTAAGTACAAATGATATAGAAAAGAATATTAAAGTCATCTTGTAGCAGATTGAATACAACCACAAATTCCTCCCATTGGGAGGTGGGATCTGTGTCCCCTTTGCTTGAATGTGGATGAGCTCTGTGACTGCCTGATCAATGGAATGTGGTGCAGATGACTTGGCGCCAGTTTCCAGATCAAGACCTTAGTAGCCTGGAAATTTCTGCTTCCTGTCTGTTGGAACACTTGCTCTTGAAGTCCAGCCACCATGCTGCGAGAAGCCCAAGCCACATGGAGAGGGCACGTGGGGGTGCCCAGGTGACAGCCCCAACTGAGCTCCTAGCCCACGGCCAACTGCCAGCTGTGGGAGTGACCCATTTTGGGAGCCCAGCCCAACTGAGCTTTGGATTACTCTAGCCCTGGTTGTGATCCGACTGCAATCATGTGAGAGACCCCGCTGAGAACTGCTGAGGCCAGGAGATTCACAGATACGCGAGAGATTATAATATGCTGCTGTTTTTAACTATGAAGTTTTGGAGTAGCTCGCTCTGCAGCAATAGATACTGGAACATACCTGTAATCCTCCTATCTTGGAGATAACGACTATTAACATTTGGTTTTCCTGCATATATATATATATATATATATATATATATATATATATATATATATGATTTATTTTTGTATGTATGTACTTATTTATTTAATTTTAATTTTTTATTTTTTGAAACTGAGTCAAGCTCTATTGCCCAGGCTGGAGTGCAATGGTGCAATCTCAGCTCACTGCAACCTCCACCTCCCAGGTTCAAGTGATTCTCCTGCCTCAGCCTCCCAAGTAACTAGGATTACAGGTGCCTGCCACCACGCCTGGCTAATTGTTGTATTTTTAGTAGAGATGGGGTTTCACCATGTTGGCCAGGCTGGTCTTGAACTCCTAATCTCAGGTGATCCTCCCACCTCAGCCTCCCGAAGTGCTGGGATTACAGGCGTGCCTGTATATATTACATGCCCTGCCTATATATATTTTAGAGACAGGGTCTGGCTCTGTTTTCCAGGCTGGAGTGCAGTGGTGCAATCATATCTCACTGCAGCCTCAACCTCCTTGGCTCAAGCGATCCTCCCACCTCAGCCTGTTGAGTAGCTGGGACCACAGGTGTGCATCACTATGCCCAGCTAATTTTTAAACATTTTTTTGTAGAGTCAGGGTCTTGCTGTGTTGCCCAGGCTGGTCTTGAGTTCCTGAGCTCAAATGATCCCTCTGCCTTGGCCTCCCAATGTGCTGAGATTACAAGCAGGAGTCACCACACCTGGCTATATATAAAAATTATAAACAGATAATTTTTAACCAAATGTACATAATTTTAATTGCTTTTTTTTTTTTCAGCCAGCAAGCATTTTTTTCCATCTAGTTATCGGGAAAGTAGAACTAGAGGCAAAAGAAAATGTGTTGAATGGTGAAACCCTGTCTCTACTGAAAATACAAAAAATTAGCCAGGCGTGGTGGCAAGCACCTGTATTCTCAGCTACTCGGGAGGCTGAGGCAGGAGAATCACTTGAACTCGGGAGGCAGAGGTTGCAGTGAGCTGAGATCACGCCACTGCACTCCAGCCTGGGCGACAGAGGGAGACTCCGTTTCACAAAAAAAAAAAAAAAAAAAAAAAGAAAATGTGTTGAGAAAGAGTGAAAAAAATCATTGGCTTGAGAATCACATTGGCGGTCACATAAAGGTGAGGTTTGTGTTCCATGTATGTGTGGAAGGATACCTATTTTCCTGTGCCTTTGAAAACAGAATTAAAAGTGACAGACACAGGGGAGGGTAAGGATATATCACAGAGTGAAGTATCATTGAACCATTCCTCTGTTGAATATTCAGGTTTTTTTAGCTTTTCATATTAACAATAATGCTGCAATGAACAAGCTTGCAAATATATATATATATATATATTTTTTTTTTTTTAGAGATAAGAGTCTTGCTCTGTCGCCTAGGCTGGAGTGCAGTGGCACAATCTCTGCTCACTGCAACCTCCGCCTCCAGGGTTCAAGTGATTCTGCTGCCTCAGCCTCCCAGGTGGGATTACAGGTGCCTGCCACCACGCCTGGCTAATTTTTTTGTCTTTTTAGTAAAGATGAGGTTTCACCATGTTGGGCAGGCTGGTTTCAATTGCTGACCTCAAGTGAGCCACCCCGCCTCAGCCTCCCAAAATGCTAGGATTACAGGCATGAGCCACCGCACCCAGCCAAGTTTGTACATATATTTTTGACTACACTTCTTAACTATTCTTAGGATAAATTACTAGAAGTGAAAATTCTTGGGTGAAGAGCTTGAGGCCTTTACACACACACACACACACACACACAAAAATAGGCTGGATGCAGTGGCTCACACCTGTAATCTCAGCAGTTTGGGAGGCTGAGGAAGGAGGATCACTTGAGTCCAGGAGGTTGAGAATAGCCTGAACAACATAGCAAGATCTTGTCTCTACAAAAAATTTAAAAAAAATTAGCTGGCCATGGCAGCATGTGCCTGTAGTACCAGCTACTCGGAAGGCTGAGGTAGGAGGATCGCTTGAGCCCAGGAGGTTGATTGAAGCTGCAGTGAGCTGTGATTACACCACTGCACTCCAGCCTGGGCAACAGAGCTAGACTCTGTCTCTAAAAAAAGCACAAAATAATATTTAAAAAGCACCAGGTATGCCTGTACTTGAGTTGTCTTTGTTGATGGCTACAAATGAGGACAGCTCTGGCTGAAGGGCGCTTCCATTTCCATGGGCTGAAGGAGGGACATTTTGCAAAGTGTGTTTTCAGGAAGACACAGAGTTTTACCTCCTACACTTGTTTGATCTGTATTAATGTTTGCTTATTTATTTATTTAATTTTTTTTTTGAGACAGAGTCTCACTCTGTCACCTGGGCTGGAGTGCAGTGGCATTATTGAGGCTCATTGCAGTCTCAGACTCCTGAGCTCAAACAATCCTCCTGCCTCAGCCTCTGGAGTAGCTAGGACTACAGGCATGTGCCACCATGCCTGGCTAATTTTTTAAATGTATTTTTTTGTAGAGTCGGGGTCTCCCTATGTTGCCCAGGCTGGAGTGCAGTGGTGTGATCCTAGCTCACTGCAGCCTGGACCTCGGGCTCAAGTAATTCTCACACCTCAGCCTGTCCAGTAGCAGGGGCTACAGGCGCGCACCACCATGCCCAGCTAATTAAAAATATTTTTTTGTAGAGACAGGGTCTCTCTATGTTGCCCAGGCTGGTTTCAAACTCCCAGGCTCAAGCAATCCTCCTGCCTTGGCCTCCCAAAGTGCTGGCATTACAGGCGTGAGCCACTGCGCCTGGCCCGTATTAATGTTTAGAACACGAATTCCAGGAGGCAGGCTAAGTCTGTTCAGCTTGTTCATATGCTTGGGCCAACCCAAGAAACAAGTGGGTGACAAATGGCACCTTTTGGATAGTGGTATTGACTTTGAAAGTTTGGGTCAGGAAGCTGGGGAGGAAGGGTGGGCAGGCTGTGGGCAGTCCTGGGCGGAAGACCAGGCAGGGCTATGTGCTCACTGAGCCTCCGCCCTCTTCCTTTGAATCTCTGATAGACTTCTGCCTCCTACTTCTCCTTTTCTGCCCTTCTTTGCTTTGGTGGCTTCCTTGTGGTTCCTCAGTGGTGCCTGCAACCCCTGGTTCACCTCCTTCCAGGTTCTGGCTCCTTCCAGCCATGGCTCTCAGAGTCCTTCTGTTAACAGGTGCATGGGGGTGGGGTGGGGGACTCTGGGTGGGGAGGAGGGTAACTTTTGGGTCTGTCATAAATAGAGGGCCCAGAATATGTAGGAGTCAGTCTGGGGAGAGGCAAAGGGGATTTGGGGAAGGAGAAAGGGTTCAAGAAGAAGCAGGGAGAACAGCTAGACCCAGACAGGCTGGCCAGGGAAGCCTGGATGAATGACCACATTCATGGACTGTGCAAGGCTGCTTGCCGGTCCCCTTGCTTCACACATGAGGAGACGGAGGCCCAGGGAGGAGAAGTGACATGGCTCAGGGTGCGCAGCAGGTGTGAGACCCCTTTCCTGAGTGCTTCCTCCTGGATCCCCTCTCACCATCTCCACTTTGCCTCCGGTTCTATTTTCCAAGGTCCCGGGTGCAAATGTTTGTTGAATGACTGATGAATGAAAATGATTTGAGTTTGTTACCTTTTATGCTTATATGTTGTGGAAAATGAAATTCTCCTCAAAAGGGAAGGAAATACTTGAGAGCTGCATAGGAAGGAAATTATCTAATTAAGAATGTATAGAAACTTCACTGTTGGGCAAATCATCGTTGTGACACCGGGGGAAGAAGCCATTTAGGTGCTCAGAAGGGAGGCTGGAATTCAGAGCAGGACTGGACGTGCCCCACGACGGTGGTTCTTAGGTCAGGAGTCAGCAAACAGTGGCCTGGGGGCCCGATATGGCCCACGACCTGTTTTTGCACAACCTGCCAGCTAGAGATTGAAGATGAACACTGATAATCGATTTGATGATAGGGAGCACCACCCCCAAAGAATTCTATTTGTCTCATTTGTAAACCCGTATTACAAACAAATTGTACTCAATCATTATGTTTGAAATTTCCCTAATGACAAATTTGTGGAAAAGTATTTTCTGTCTTGTTATATAAGTACTTGTACAACATATTCTATCAGCCTCTTGGTCTGCAAAACCTAAAATTTACTATCTGGCTGTTTACAGAATAAGTGTGCTAATCCCCGCCCCAGGCTAACAGAGCTGGACCTGGGAGGCAGACATCTGGATGCTGGGTTAGTTAGGGTGACCGAATGGATGGGAAAGGGAATGGAGCAGGAAGACATGCTGCTATCTTTTTTTTTTTTTTTTTTTTTTGATACAGGGTCTTTCTCTGTTGCCCAGGCTGTAGTGCAGTGGCATGATCATGGTTCACTGCAGCCTTGACCTCCTGGGTTCAAGCAATCCTCCCACCTCAGCCTCCTGAGTACCACTACACCCGGCTAATTTTTTATTTTTTGTAGAGATGGGGTCTCACTGTGTTGCCTAGGCTGGTCTTAAACTCCTGAGCCCAGGTGATCCTCCCACGTCAGCCTCTTAAATTATTGGGATAACAGGCCTGAGCCACCACACCCAGCCATTGCTTTCTTTTAAATTATTATTAGTTTTTGTTTTTTTTTTGTATTTAATTTTGAGATAGGATCTCTCTCTGTTGCTCAGGCTGGAGTGCAGTGGCACAATCAGGGCTCAAGTGATCCTCCTGCCTCAGCCCTCCAAAGTGCTAGGACTACAGCCCCTAACTGGCATGCTACTTTCCTCTGCTTGATCCTTCCCCCATTCTCCCTTTAGCCTTGACCTTATGTCATGGGTTCAACTTGGACACTGAAAACGCAATGACCTTCCAAGAGAACGCAAGGGGCTTCGGGCAGAGCGTGGTCCAGCTTCAGGGATCCAGGTGAGACCCTTAGATGGAGCCCCCTTTCTCAGTGCTTTCTCTCCAAGACTTACATACCTGAAAAAAATCAGCGATTTGAGTGATCTTTTTCAACAGATAAATCAATTCAAAATATACAACAAATTCATCTTTTGAATTTACAGTATTCTAAATTCAAAAGATGCAAAAGGGTGTAAGAGTAAAAATCTCTTCCTTACTCCCTTCCCCTAGTTCCCTTCCCAGGAGGGACCTCACAAATGGTTTCCTGGGTGTTCCTTCGGGGAGACTCTGTGTGTGCATAACACATACACGTTCCCTCCCTCAGCCAACACACCATGTGTAGTATACATTGTACTGAAATTAAGGCC
Organism: Homo sapiens; assembly: GCF_000001405.40. Classification (NCBI taxonomy): domain Eukaryota; kingdom Metazoa; phylum Chordata; class Mammalia; order Primates; family Hominidae; genus Homo; species Homo sapiens. The sequence continues at coordinate 31,262,145 of NC_000016.10, forward strand.
TGCCTGCAGGCTGCCGCCTATTTTTGTGAATGAATTTTATTGAAAACAACTCCGTCCACTTGTCTCTTACTGTTTATTGCCCTTCCCTCCCTTCCTCCCTTCCTTCCTTCCTTCCTTCTTTCCTTCCTTCCTTCCTCCCTCTCTCATTCCCTGCTTCCCTCTTTCCCTCCTTCCCTCCCTTCCCTCCCTTCCATCCTTCCTTCCTTCCTTCCTTCCTTCCTTCCTTCCTTCCTTCCTTCCTTCCTTCCTTCCTTCCTTCATTTCTTTCTTTCCTTTCTGACATGGTCTTGTTCTGTCATTCAGCCTGGAGTGCACAGGTGAAATCATAGCTCACTGTAGACTCAAACTCCTGGGCTCAAGCAATCCTCCCACCTTAGCCTCCTGAGTAGCTGGGACTACAGGCATGTGCCACCACACCTGGCTAATTTTTTGATTTTTTTTGTATAGACGAGGTCTCACTCTGTTGCCCAATCTGGTCTCAAACTCCTGGCCTCAAGTCATCCTCTTGCTTGGGCCTCCCAACTTGCTGGGATGATAGGTGTAAACCACTGTGCCTGGCTATGGCCACTTTTGAGCTGTAATGGCAGAATTCAGGAGCTGTGATAGAGATTGTATGGACCCTGAAGCCTAAAACATTTACCTTTACAGAAACAGTAATTGTGGAGGTGATAGTACCTTTCCAGAAGAAGGGGGCTGGTCTCTGCTCTTTGCTTTATCTCCCATAATACAGCCCAGTGATTTGAGTCCATTAATCCCATGTTATGCTTGCATTGCATGCCATAATTGGGAGATGCTATAATTTATTTTATTTTATTTTTTTAGAGACTCCCTCTGTCGCCCAGGCTGGAGTGCAGTGGCATGATCTTGGCTCACTGCGACTTCTGCCTCCTGGGTTCAATCGATTCTCCTGCCTCAGCCTCCTGAGTAGCTTGGATTGCAGGTGCCTGCCACCACGCCTGGCTAATTTTTGTATTTTTGTAGAGACAGGGTTTCACCATGTTGGCCAGGTTGGTCTTGAACTCCTGAGCTCAGGTGATCCACCTGCCTCGGCCTCCCAAAGTGCTGGGATTACAGGCTTGAGCCACCGTGCCTGGCTTGTAATCTCCTTTTACATTACATTAGATCTCTTGTTAATGAACATTTAGATTGTTCCCAAACTTTTGCTCTATGAACAATGCTGTCATTTTGCACATGTGCAAGCCTATTTGGAAGTAAAGGCTAGGACTGGGATTGTGGTATCCACGGGTGCATGAGCACGTGCAATTTTAATAGATTTTTCCAGATCCCCCTCTACAGTGGTGGCAGCAATTTACACTCACACCAGAAATTCATGAAAATACCTACTTCCTCATACTCCCTCACTCATTTGCCAACTCAGTGTGCTATCAAACTTACTGATCTCTGCAGATCGAGTAGGTGAGAAGTGGTATCTTAATTTAGCTTTAAATTGCTTCTTTTTTTTTTATGAGAGAGGCATTTTCTGTGAACATGTTTTTCTTATCTGTTGGCCATTTTTCTTTCTTTTTTTTTTTTTTTACTAGTTTGTACAAGCTTTGAGTACACTGAGGAAAGTAGTCTGGGGTATGAGTTGTGAAGCTCTCTCCCTTGTGTATTATTTTTCTTTTGAGTATGCTTATGGTAGTTTATCACATACAAAAATTTATTTATTTATTTATTTATTTATTTATTTATTTATTTATTTATTTATTGAGATGGAGTCTCGCTTTGTCGTCCAGGCTGGAGTGCAGTGGAGTGATCTCGGCTCACTGCAACCTCTGCCTCCTGGGTTCAAGCGATTCTCCTGCCTCAGCCTCCCGAGTAGCTGGGACTACAGGTGCGTGCCACCACGCCTGGCTAATTTTTTTGTATTTTTAGTAGAGATGGGGTTTCACCATGTTAGCCAGGATGTTCTCGATTTCCTGACCTCGTGATCCACTTGCCTCGGCCTCCCAAAGTGCAGGGATTACAGGTGTGAGCCACTGCGCCTGGCCCAGAAATTTATTGAAAATGACTGTGTGGAGGCTGGGTGCAGGGGCTCACGCCTGTAATCCCAGCATTTTGGGAGGCCGAGCTGGGCTGGTCGCTGGAAGCCAGGAGTTCGAGACTACCCTGGCCAACATAAGGAAACCTCATCTCTACTAAAAATACACAAATTAGCCAAGCATGGTGGCACACACCTGTAATCCCAGCTACTCAGGAGGTTGAGACAGGAGGAATGCTTGAACCTGGGAGGCAGAGGTTGCAGCAGTGAGCCGAGATTGCACCACTATACTCCAGCCTGGGTGATGGAGTGAGAATCTGTTTCAAAGAAAGAAAATAAATAAAAATAAAAATAAATAAAATGACTGTGTGGGCCGGGTCCAGTGGCTCATGCCTGTAATTCTAACACTTTGGGAGACTGAGGTGGAAGGATTGTTTGAGCCCAGGAGGCAGAGGTTGCAGTGAGCTATGATTATGCCACTGGACTCCATCTTGGGCAACAGGGTGAGACCCTGTCTCAAAGAAAAAAAAAAAATGGTTGGCCTGGGACTACAGGTGTGTACCACCATACCTGGCTAATTTTTAAAAACATTTTTTGTAGAGATGGGGTCTGGCTATGTTACCCGGGCTAGTTTCAAACTCCTGGCCTCAAATGATGCTCCTGCCTCAACCTCCCAAGGTGCTGGGATTAAAGGCATGAGCCATGGTGCCCAGCTTGAATTGACCTATTTTTATTTTTAAAATTTATTCATTTATTTTTTGGGACAGAGTCTTGCCCTGTCTCTCAGGCTGGAGTGCAGTGGTGCTATCTCGGCTCACTGCAACCTCTGCCTCCTGGGTTCAAGCAATTCTCTTGCCTCAGCCTCCCATTTAGCTGGGATTACAGGTACGCACCACCACGTGTGGCTAATTTTTTGTATTTTTAGTAGAGGCGGGGTTTCACCATGTTGCCCAGGCTGATCTTGAACTCCTGAGCTCAGGCAATCCACCCCCTTGGCCTCCCAAAGTGCTAGGATTACAAGCATGAGCCACCGCGCCTGGTCCTATTTTTAAATGACTTCTGGTTTTTGTGTCATTCTTAGGAAGACCTTTTCTCATTCTGAGTCTTAACATTTTCCCATTTTTTTCTTTGCTAATTCTTCCTCCTAGTCATAGGAATTTAGGAATCCGGGTATGGGCCCCCACCGTCCTCTGGGTGGCAGAACTTCCTCTGTGGTCTCCTTCTCTCCCCACATGTCGAAGTTTTCTCTGTTCCCACTTCTCCCCACAGGGTGGTGGTTGGAGCCCCCCAGGAGATAGTGGCTGCCAACCAAAGGGGCAGCCTCTACCAGTGCGACTACAGCACAGGCTCATGCGAGCCCATCCGCCTGCAGGGTGAGTCACTGCCCCGCCGGGCTGGGACTGGGATTCCCCTGTGAACACATAGGGACTTTCCAGGCACTCCTGTGTCCTGGGGATCTGTGGTGGGGACACAGGTGCCTGCCTCCGTACCCTCTCCTCTGCCTGCAGTCTCTACCCTAGACATCCCCAGGCAACCCCTCTGTGTTCCTTTCTTTCCCAAGATTTAGGATCCCCCTTCACCGTCAGACCTCCTTGTCTCCCGCATGGAGGTGACCCCTGCCCAGCTCTTCCACAGCCTTCTCTGTCCCCCCACCAGGGTGACCATGCCCATATCTGTCCCCGCAGTCCCCGTGGAGGCCGTGAACATGTCCCTGGGCCTGTCCCTGGCAGCCACCACCAGCCCCCCTCAGCTGCTGGTGAGTGGGGCTCGATCAGAGGAGCATCCTAATGGGGGTGTTTGGGGGCCCACGCATGGTGGGGCTGGGGGTCTTGTGGAGGGTGGAGGTGCTGGGGTACAAGGACAGGAAGCAGGGGCAGCCCCTTCCACTGGCTCCTGTCCCCTAGGCCTGTGGTCCCACCGTGCACCAGACTTGCAGTGAGAACACGTATGTGAAAGGGCTCTGCTTCCTGTTTGGATCCAACCTACGGCAGCAGCCCCAGAAGTTCCCAGAGGCCCTCCGAGGTGGGTTGCCTTTGGCAGAGGGAACAGATGCGCAGCAAAAGACCAGGGGAGGGGGCAGGACTGAGGTGACGTCTGCTCAAGGTCTGGGCTCTGGGTGCAGAAGAGTGGGGGAACTGGGTCCCATTAGAGTCAGAAGCTAGGGAGGTGCTAGGGTCTTGTACTTTAGGAAAACGCCTTGGCTAGGCACAGTGGCTCATACCTGCAATCCCAAAGCTTTGGGAGCCCAGGAGCTTGAGATCAGCCTGGGCAATGTAGTGAGATCCTGTCTCTAAAAAAAAAAAAAAAAAAAATTAGCTGAGTGTGGTGATGAGCACCTGTAGTCTTAGCTATTTGGAGGCCAAGGTGGGAAGATTGCTTGAGGCCACAAGTTCAAGGCAAGCCTGGGCAACATAGGGAGATCCCCGTCTCTACAAAAAAAAAAAAAAATTAGCCAGGCGTGGTGGCACACACCTGCAGTCCCAGCTACTCAGGAGGATCACTTGAGCCTGGGAAGTTGAAGCTGCAGCAAGTTATGATTGCACCACTGTACTCCAACCTGGGTGACAGAGCAAGACCCTGTCTTTAAAAAATAAGTCCAGGTCACACTGCAGAGGAGGGGATGGTGCAAGGTGTCATTGGCAAGAGGTGGGAATCTTGGGGACCATCCTGGGGGGCGGCCTTCCACACCCCTGTTCCCCAAACCTCTGTTGATTGAGATTCTGAGTGACTGTATGGATTTTTTTTTTTTTTTTTTTTTTTGAGGCAGAGTCTCGCTCTGTCACCCAGGCTGGAGTGCAGTGGCACGATCTTGGCTTACTGCAACCTCTGCCTCCCAGGTTCAAGCGATTCTCCTGCCCCATCTTCCCAAGTAGCTGGGATTACAGGTGCCCGCCACCACACCCGGCTAATTTTTGTATTTTTAGCAGAGACGGGGTTTCACCATGTTGGCCAGGCTGGTCTCGAACTCCTGAGCTCTGGTGATCTGCCCACCTTGGCTTCCCAAAGTGCTGGGAATGAGCCAGGGAATGAGTGGGGGGCATGAGCCACCATGCCTGGCCAGAGTGCGTGGATCTTTCAAGCTGCTTTTTCCCACTGCTTTGTTCGATGGCTATGCCATCTTTTTGCTTGTCTTCATGTTGATTCTGGGACCACAGGCGAATGTTTCTCCCTTGCATTTTTTTTCTTTCTCAAGCCCTGTTCCTCTATATTTCACCCTCCACAGTTAATCCTCCTTCCTCCACAGAGAAAACAAAAGCTTCAGGCATGGACTCCCTCCACTTTCCCCTTCTCTTATTTTATCTTAATAAGCGGTTTTCCAGTCTTCACTGGAATTTGTTGACAAATTCTAAAGGAGCTGTAACACCGCACTTTCTCCTTTTTCTCAAATTTCCATAATGACAGCACTCCTGGCAGTGACTCACTCGTTTTAGAGGAAGACCTGTCTCTCCTCTGTCCCATGACTAAATTCTTCCATATGGGCTTTTGAGAGTCTCTCATGCACCAACTAAGGTGATCACCTATCTTTCTTTTTTCTTTTTTTTTTGGAGACAGGGTCTTGCTCTGTCACCTAAGCTGGAGTGCAGTGGCACAATCTCGGCTCACTGCAGCCTCTGCCTCCTGTGCTCAAGAAATTCTTGTGCCTCCGCCTCCAGAGTAGCTGGGATCACAGGTGCGCATATACTGATTTTTGTATTTTTTGTAGAGATGGGGTTTCACCTTGTTGCCCAGGCTGGTCTCGAATTCCTGGGCTCAAGAGATCTTCCCACCTCAGCCTCCCACAGTGCTGGGATCACAGGTGTGAGCCACTGCGCCTGGCCCAGCATCTCTTGAATCACTTGTTTTCTCTCTAGGACAATTAACTTCCCCCTTCCTCTGGCTGTAAACACTCTTCATTCTATCTGTATCTGAAAAGCAATCAACCACCACAATCGATAGCCATGAAAACAATCTTCTCTCTTCCAGTCTCCTCCTCATCTCCTGCCATCTCTCCTCACCCTCACCACCCAAGCTTCCTGAGTGCATTCTCTTCACCCCCGGCTGGCCTCCAGCTTCCCTCTCCACCTAGGGGCACTGGGTTCTGGGTTCTCTTTTCACCCACGTGTTCTTCTTTCCTGAAATCACCCAGTTCTGTGGCTTCAGCTAACACTTCTACCTCTCCCTCTTTAGACCTCACTCTCAGGGTTCAAGACTACTTCTTTAAAAAAGTTTTCATTTATTAAAAAATATATAATACATACACTTGGTTCAAAATTCGAAAGGGTGCGGTAGCTCACACCTGTAATTCCAGCACTTTGGGAGGTCAAGGCAGGAGGATTGTTTGAGGCCAGGAGTTTGGGACCAGCCTAGACAACATAATGAGACCCCATCTCTACAAAAAATGCAATTAGCCAGGCATGGTGGCGTGTGCCTGTGGTCTTAGCTATTCAGGAGGCCTCCCAAAGTGCTGGGGTTACAGGCATGAGCCACTGTGCCCTGCCAGTCTTTCTAAAATACAAAACAAATCATCTCACTTCCTTTTCTAAGAACCTTCTGTGGCTCCCCATTGCCTACAGATAAAGTCGAGCTCCTTATTGGAGTAGAAAGGCCCTTGCCCGCTGCTCTTTGCTTGATGCCACCGCTGTGTCTCCATCGCCGTCACATACGTTTGTCCCTGTAGTGCTGTTTCCATCAAACGGCATTCCTGGATTCTGCCAGAATCCTTTTGAGGCCCTTGTCCCATATATCAGTAGGAGTCTCAACTGGGACCAAAAGCACATTCCAGTAATGTAACTGCCCAAGGGGTTCACCTTGCTTGCTGCCTAGACAGAGCCGATTCATCAAGACAGCAGAATTGCGATAGAGAAAGAATAATTCACACAGAGCCAGCTATGCAGGGGACCAGAGTTTTATTATCACTCGAATCAGTCTCCTCGAGCATTTGGGGGCAGAGTTTTTGAGGATAACTTGGTAGGTCGCGGGGGAAGCCAGTGAGCTGGGAGTGCTGATTGATCAGGGATGAAATCATCGGGAGTCGGAGCTGTCTTCTTGCGTTCAGTTGGTTCCTGGGTGGGGGCAGCAAGATCGGATGAACCAGTTTATTGATCTGGGCAGTGCCAGCTGATCCATCAAGTGCAAGGTCTGCAAAATATCTCAAGCACTGATTTTAGGAGCAGTTTAGGGAGGGTCAGAATCTTGTAGCCTCCAGCTGCATGACTCCTAAATCATAATTTCTCATCTTGTGGCTAACGTTAGTCCTACAAAGGCAATCTAGTCCCCAGGTAAGAAGGAGGTCTGCTTTGGGAAAGGGCTGTTACGATCTTTGTTTAAACTATAAACTATAAACTATAAACTAAGTGTCTCCCAAAGTTAGCTCAGCCTACACCCAGGAATGAACACGGACAGCTTGGAGGTTAGAAGCAAGATGGAATCAGTTAAGTTAGATCTCTTTCACTGTCTCAGTCATAATTTTGCAAAGGCGGTTTCAGTAAGATTTATTTACAAAGAGGGGGGTTTATTTATAAAGGGAGTAATTATAAAGCTGTGACAGGCCTAAGGGAGCCATCAGGGACTTTCCAAGCCCTGGGCAAGCAGGTCTGTTGCCACCCCTGGGTTTATGGGTTGAGGAGAGGGAGAGCTCACCAGGGTCTGGAGAGAGTCATGTGGAGCTGGCTTCCTTCTGAGGAACAGTTGGTCTTTTGTGAAGGACATAGCTGTCCCCAAACAACCTCAATGGGAGAACACCCGGACCTCACTGCCCTCCTCCCTCTAGTCTTCTGTTGAGCCCCCTCATCTGCCAAATCCAATGGGAATCCAGAGGGCAACAGAGTCCTGGTGATGGGGTCCCTGCAGGTTGACCTCCCAGGCCACAGAGCTGAGCGGCAATGGGTAGAAAGTGGATTTGGGGATGGGGCAGAAGGCAGAGGAGCACATTCCACATCACTTTATATGTGTGTGCCCTTCCCTTTTCTAGAATCTACTCCTTTTGTATATCTGGCAAATCCTTCCTTCCTTCCTTCCTTCCTTCCTCCTTTGCTTTCCTTTCCTTTCCTTTCCTTTCCTTTCCTTTCCTTTCCTTTCCTTTCCTTTTTTTCTTCCTTTCTTCCTTTTCTTCGAAGTCTTGCTCTGTGACCCAGGCTGGAGTGCAGTGGTGCGATCTCAGCTACTTTTTGTATTTTTAATAGAGATAGGGTTTCACCATGTCAGCCAGGCTGGTCTCAAACTCCTGATCTCAAGTGATCCACCTGCCTCAGCCTCCCAAAGTGCTGGGATTACAGGTGTGAGCCACCTCGCCCAGCTGGGCAAATTATTTCCTGTTCTTCAAGATTCAGTCAAACATCACCACATTCCCTGATTCCCTTGGGCAGAATTAACGAAAATTTTCCATACCACTTTGTCCTTGTTTATTTACTTATTTATTTATTTTTAAGAGACAGGGTCTTTCTCTGTGGCCCAGGCTGGAGTGCAATGGCGTGATCATAGCTCACTGAAGCCTCAACCTTTTGGGCTGAAGTGATCCCCCACCCTCAGCCTCCTGAGTAGCTGGGACTACAGGCATGTGCCAACATGCCTGACTAATTTTTAACGTGTGTGTGTGTATATATATATATATATATATATATATATATATATATATATATATGTTTTTAACGTGTGTATACATATATATATATACACACACGTTAAAAATTATATATATATTATACATAATTTATATATATATTTAACATCTATATTTTTTATAGAGACGGGGTCCTATATTCTCATTGTTCAGCAGAGGGCTGACATGCAAAAAAACCCAAAACACCAAGTGTCAAATTACTTGATTCATACTCTTTTCCCCTTCCCCAGGGTGTCCTCAAGAGGATAGTGACATTGCCTTCTTGATTGATGGCTCTGGTAGCATCATCCCACATGACTTTCGGCGGATGAAGGAGTTTGTCTCAACTGTGATGGAGCAATTAAAAAAGTCCAAAACCTTGGTGAGGGCCCAGGGGTAGGTTAGGGAAGAGCCCACACGGGGCTGGAAGATACATGGCAACCGGGCCACCATGTTCTCCTCCCAGTTCAACTGCAGACATTGCCAAATTGACGATCGATTATGGTTTGCCTTCCTGAGTCTCTTTTCTGCTCTGTTGGATGCAGCCTCAGCATTCTTTCAGCCTTTTATAAAGCGGGCAGCTCTAATTGTTAAGGTTGGCATGGGAGATGAAGCCCACGTGTCATTGCTGGCTGAGTTCTATTTTCATTTTTATTTCTTATTTTTTTGAGACAGAATCTCACTCTTTCTCTCAGGCTGGAGTGCAGTGGTGTGATCTTGGCTCACTGCAACCTCCGCCTCCCGGGTTCAAGCAATTCTCTTGCCTCAGCCTCCCGAGTAGCGGGGATTACAGGCGCATGCCACCATGCCTGGCTAGTTTTTGTATTTTTAGTAGAGACGGGGTTTCACCATTTTGGCCAGGCTGGTCTCAAACTCCTGACCTCAGGTGATCCACCCGCCTCGGCTTCCCAAAGTGCTGGGATTACAGGTGTGAGCCACTGCTCCCGGCCGCTGGCCGTGTTCTAGTATTGAGGAGAGATGGGAGCTGCTGGCAGCTCTCCGTCCTGGTGAGGCAGGGGATTAGGGGCAGCACAGAGGAGGAATTTGGAGAGTGGAGTGTTTAAGATCTTCGTGGAGCTTGCTGGGAGATGTCTGAGGGGTGGGGGCACCTTCTCCAGCATCACACCAGCCGCCCCCTCCGCAGTTCTCTTTGATGCAGTACTCTGAAGAATTCCGGATTCACTTTACCTTCAAAGAGTTCCAGAACAACCCTAACCCAAGATCACTGGTGAAGCCAATAACGCAGCTGCTTGGGCGGACACACACGGCCACGGGCATCCGCAAAGTGGTGTAAGCTTCCCCTTTTCCCTTAGGATGGAGGGAGGAGGAGACACTTTTAGCTGGGCTTTGATGGATGAAGGGAGCCGTTCAGACAGGGGTGGTAGAGGATGCTTCCCCACCGGCAGAGGTGGGGAGGCTGTGCGTGGTGTGTTCATCAAAGGACAAGTTGTGAGTGAAAGGTGGGAGTGGAGTGGGGAAGTGAGGGAAAGGTGTCTGGAGGGAAGCTACAAAGATCAGCTCAGGCCAGGGAGCCAAAGGCAGCTTTACAGCCTGTGGTGAGATATCGCCATGTCTCATTTTGGGAAGTTCACTCTGATTTTGAGGTGGGTGTAGAGGCAAGGATGGGGTTGGGACAGAAGTACAAGAAGCACTGGAGAGTCCTAGAGGGGCTGGGGAGCTGGTGCAGTGCTCTGGGAGAGGTTTCCTGAAGGCCAATTAACTATATATATATATATATATATATATATATATATATATATATTTTTTTTTTTTTTTTTTTTTTTTTTTTTTTTTTTTTTGAGACAGAGTCTCACTCTGTCACCCAGGCTGGAATGCAGTGGCCTGATCTCGGCTCACTGCAACCTCCACCTCCTGGGTTCAAGCAATTCTCCTGCCTCAGCCTCCTGAGTAGCTGGGATTACATGCGTCCATCACCACCATCAGCTAATTTTTGTATTTTTAGTAGAGACAGGGTTTCACCATGTTGACCAGGCTGGTCTTGAACTCCTGACCTCAGGTGATTCACCTGACTTGGCTTCCCATAGTGCTGGGATTACAAGTGTCAGCCATAAATATATATATTTTTAAAATTCAAAAGTAATAATACTCAGTTAAAAAACCCAAATTATGCGAAAGTATAAAAACAAAAACCGTGAAGGCTTCCTTTCCCTTCCCTGCTGCTTTTCCAGGTCTCGGGGCAGTTGCATCTCAGTGCTAAGTCTCAGGGGAGACGGAGCCCCTCCGAGACCTCGCCTAGCTGTATCTGTGTCTGGGACTCTGCTGACATTTCCTTTCTGACGTTAATAGCATCTCTGGCTAGGTGCAGGGTCTCATACCAGTAATGTCAGCACTTTAGGAGGCCGAGGTGGGAGGATCACTTGAGGCCAGGAGTTTGAGACCAATTGACAACATAGTGAGACTCTATCTCTAAAAAGATAAAAAAATAAACCAAGTGTGGTGGTACATGCCTGTAGTCCCAGGTACTCAGGAGGCTGAGGCAGGAGAATCACTTGAGCCCAGGAGTTCAAGTCTGCAGTGAGCTATGATTGTGTCTCTGCACTCCAGCCTGGATAACAGAGTGAGTGTCTATTTCTTAAAAAAAAAAAAAAACTAGTGTGTCATCTACTTGCATTTGACTTTGTCCCTCCTGTTTCCTGCACAGACGAGAGCTGTTTAACATCACCAACGGAGCCCGAAAGAATGCCTTTAAGATCCTAGTTGTCATCACGGATGGAGAAAAGTTTGGCGATCCCTTGGGATATGAGGATGTCATCCCTGAGGCAGACAGAGAGGGAGTCATTCGCTACGTCATTGGGGTAGGGAATGCAGCTCTCAGGTTGATGCTTCTGTGGAGGGTTTCTATGTGGATCCATCCTCCCTTCAATTTGCAAATATTATTAAAATCAAAGTGACATGAGAGCTAATGCTAGCTCATATACACCGTATCAGCTATCTGTTGCCACATCAATGCTGTGTAATAAACTATCCCAAAATTCAGCAGCTTAAAATAATAAGTAAGCCTGTGGGTCAGCCTGCCAAGAGTTCTGGTCTCAATGGCCTTCCTCACTGTCATTAGCTACAGGTTGGCAGGCTGCTCTGCTGATCTTGGCCAGGCTCTCTCTGTTTCTGAGGGTTGCCAGCTATGTCATCTGCTGGACCAGATGGCCTTGGGTGGAACCACTGGGGTGACTTGGCCCTTTGGCAACCTGGCTCTCATTCTCCAGGGCTAGCCTGGGCATGTCCTCATGGTGAAGGCAGGGGAGCAAGAGAACAGTGGAGATGTTGCAAGTGCTTTTTTACGCCTCTGCATCATGTTTGATAACATCCATGGGTGTCACGAGCAGTGCAAGGTTAGCGATAACCAGGTCCATGCAGGTTTGTGTTTTTCCACAACATCTTTCGCTGATGCTATTTCAATCACAAACGCCACAAGCTGCATGGAATTCCCAAGGAGGCAGTTCTTCTTAGTGCATCCTGTTCCCTCAGACACTCTGGCTCAAGCCACCCACAAGTCAGTCAATATTGCAAACCATATATAATAGTATACTTAATCAATATATAAGTTATAGGTTAAACATTCCACAGCAAACAAAGTAACATTTAACATCAGAAGAAAAAGAAAGAGGAGAAAGGATGAATGAAAAGGACTCCTGGTCTGGGCCCAAGGGTCCTGGTCCTGTTAGTCTTGCAAGGCAGAGTCTTTGATACGGCAGAGCCCTCGGCAGCAAATGCCAGGCTCTCATCATGAGCGACTGCGAGGTGTGAGTTCCAACAGCTGCTTTGAGCTGCTGAAGGCCTGATCTCTTCTAGTCACAGAGCTGTCTGGTGAGAACAGACAGAGAAGAATGTGCTTGTTTGCATCCTTATCTGGTTGGATGTAGTCTTTATTTGTTTATTTTATTTATTTATATTTATTTATTTATTTATTTTGAGACTGAGTCTTGCTCTATCGCTCAGGCTGGAGTGCAGTGGCATGATCTTGGCTCACTGCAACCTCCACCTCCTGGGTTCAAGCAGTTCTTGTGCCTCAGCCTCCTGAGTAGCTGGGACTACAGGCATGCACCACCATGCCTGGCTAATTTTTGTTTTGTATTGTTAGTAGAGATGGGGTTTCACCATGTTGGCCAGGTTGGTCTTGAACTCCTGATCTCAAGTGATCTGCCCGCCTTGGCCTTCCAAAGTGTGGGATTATAGGCATGAGCCACTGCACCTGGCCTATTTAAAAAATTTGTTTAAAACGACCTTATCCTTGTTGGCAAAGTGCCCTGTGAAATATAGAATGGAGCCTTTTTCTAAGATGGAGTCAGTTATGTCAAGGGTGCTCTGTATACAATGGGCTAAAGCAAGACTCATGTCTGAGCCCAGAGGCAATGAAGGGGGCAGATGACTCCACCAAGAGCAGGAGGGCACAGCAGAGTGCTGGGGGAAAGGGCTTGGATACAGGAAGAGGCAAGGAGTCAGGATCATCAGTGTAATCAAACTACTACAGCACCTGCATGACACAGAAAGCGATATCACCATGGATACATGCCTTGGCACGTAGGACATACCTTCATATAAAGAAAAAGGCTCCCCTTCCTCTAGGGGGAGGTCAGCTCCATACCAGGAGACGTGGCACAGCAGATGGATCAGCAGCCGGGTTTCTGCCCCAACTTGCTTCCTTGGCACAGTGCCTTGTGCAGTGTACAACCTGCCCAACTATACCTGGCAACCCTGTCCCAGGGACCTTCTGATGCATTTCCTCACTTGATAAATAATGGTTCAGACTAGTTTCCTGCAGAATTGTCTTTGCCAGATGATATTGCTAGCCTCACACCATGATTTAGCCTCTGTTCCTTGGTAACAGGTGGGAGATGCCTTCCGCAGTGAGAAATCCCGCCAAGAGCTTAATACCATCGCATCCAAGCCGCCTCGTGATCACGTGTTCCAGGTGAATAACTTTGAGGCTCTGAAGACCATTCAGAACCAGCTTCGGGAGAAGATCTTTGCGATCGAGGGTGAGTCAGGCATCTGTGTTCCCAGAGCAGCTCCAGAGGCAGCCCCCCACCCCAGAACATAGTCCCCTCTAGAATCCAGACCTTCCTAACCCTTGGTATCCCCCAGCATCAACTCTCTCCACTTCCTACAGCTCCCAGTCCCAGCCTCACTTGGTCAATTCCTTTGAAGTCAAAGAATCCATACTTTTATCTGTAATTTTGCAAATCTTGGCTATAGGCTGGTAAATTGGAGTATGGGGGAGTCAAATCCCACCCAGTATTTTAACAAAAATTTGGATGTGTTGCCAGCTGTCGTCTGTTCGGTTCTCTGTTGTATCCCAATTGCCTAGAATAGTGCCTGGTACTCAGAAGGTGCTCAATAAATGTTTGTTGAATAAAAGGAATTTAGAAATTGGGGGATTTCATAAACAGTCTGGGTTTATGGCTTATCTTGAAAAGCTGGAAGATTAGACACCTTGAAGACCGCATTCCCACTTGGCAGGATGTTGCTGGAGGTGAATGGCTGCCATCCTTCTAAGAGGGACGTATGCTGTCCAGCTTGACACAGATCCTGTCGGAGTCTCCTTTGTCTGTGGCCACCAGAGCACTTGGGTTTTCAGTACCTGTTCTAGGTTCTTCTGCTTTCTTTTCTTTTCTTTCTATTTTTTTTTGAGACTGAGTCTTGCTCTATTGCCCAGGCTGGAGTGCAGTGGTGCGATCTTGGCTCACTGCAACCTCTGCCTCCCAGGTTCAAGTGATTCTCCTGCCTCAGCCTCCTGAGTAGCTGGGATTACAGGCGCATACCACCACGCCCAGCTAATTTTTGTATTTTTAGTAGAGACGGGGTTTCACCATGTTCACCAGACTGGTCTCTAACTCCTGACCTCAAGTGATCTGCCCATCTCAGGCTCTCAAAATGTTGGGATTACAGGCGTGAGCCACCATGCCCGGCCTTCTGCTTTCTTTAATATAGAAACTTCTCCTCTTTACAGGTACTCAGACAGGAAGTAGCAGCTCCTTTGAGCATGAGATGTCTCAGGAAGGCTTCAGCGCTGCCATCACCTCTGTAAGTGGCCCTTCATTAAATTGCGGGGGTGGGGCAGGGGGTAGCAAGAAGAGATAGGAGAGATGTGGGGGTTTGGGGACTCTTCTCTGTGATAGATACTTGGGAAGTAGCTCTGTGAGGGGCAGCGGTTGTCCCTTCTTCCTTCCTCATCAACCCTGTTCTACACCTTTCCCAGAATGGCCCCTTGCTGAGCACTGTGGGGAGCTATGACTGGGCTGGTGGAGTCTTTCTATATACATCAAAGGAGAAAAGCACCTTCATCAACATGACCAGAGTGGATTCAGACATGAATGATGCTTACTTGGGTAAGTGGGGAGGGCAAGGGTTACTCTAAGAAGGGGTGAGGATTTGGCATAAGTCAACTAGCATAGATGTCTGGGTCTTGAATGAATGGGATACATATGTATGGGATACTAGCTATTAGTCTCTTGGGATAGCTTTAAAGACAGAAACTTCAATTTTTTTTTTTGAGGTGGAGTTTCTTTCTTGTCGCCCGGGCTGTAGTGCAATGGCACTCGGCTCACTACAACCTCTGCCTCCTGCGCTCAAGCGATTCTCCTACCTCAGTCTCCTGAGTAGCTGGTATTACAAGAATGCACCACCACCCCTGGCTAATTTTTTTTTTTTTTTCGAAATGGGGTTTCGCTCTTGTTGCCCAGGCTGGAGTGCAATGGCGTGATCTTGGCTCACCACAACCTCCGCCTCCCAGGTTCAAGCGATTCTCCTGCCTTAGCCTCCTGAGTAGCTGGAATTACAGGCATGTGCCACCATGCCCAGCTAATTTTGTATTTTTAGTAGAGATGGGATTTCTCCATGTCGGTCAGGCTGGTCGCGAACTCCCAACCTCAGGTGATCCACCTGCCTCGGCCTCCCAAAGTGCTGGAATTACAGACGTGAGCCACCGTGCCTGGTCTTTTTTTGTATTTTCAGTAGAGACCGGGTTTCACCATGTTGGCCAGGCTCGTCTGGAACTCCTGACCTCAGGTGATCCGCCTGTCTCGGACTCCCAAAGTGCTGGGATTATAGGTGTGAGCCACCGCACCCGGCCAGAAACTTCTAAATTGAATTGTAATTATGTTCATAAAGAGAAATATAGCGTAGGGATCAGTTACCCCAACACAGCAAGCGTGGGGCTGCCCCAGTGCCCCTACTCAAGGGGTGGGTCTGCATGGTGGAGGAGGGGGCAGGGAATGCACTTCACCTCTCAGACCCCCACCTTCAGGTTATGCTGCCGCCATCATCTTACGGAACCGGGTGCAAAGCCTGGTTCTGGGGGCACCTCGATATCAGCACATCGGCCTGGTAGCGATGTTCAGGCAGAACACTGGCATGTGGGAGTCCAACGCTAATGTCAAGGGCACCCAGGTGAGTGCGGTTTGTGGAGCATGAATGTGCAAACAGAGGCGCCCTGGGGTCTTAGAGATTCCAGGAGGGGCATTCAGATGACATGCATGGCCCTCTTGTAAAGGAGGCTTTGGGGGCTGTGAGCTGGGGAGTTGTGGGATCAGCTTAGCATTTGTGAATGCTGTGTCCTCAGCTTTTTTAACAATGATAAATAACAATGCTTGCCTGTACAGAGCTCTCTATGGGTCTTTCTGTACTCAGGGCTGGTATTCAACCCGTATATAACCAGGATAGCCATGTTAGTTAATAAAATATTGAAACAATTCCGTATTCATTGATAAATGGTGGATTCCCCCTCACCCATGCACTCTGGTGCTTCCCCAGTCTCTGTGGGCTTCCCCATGATCCAGCAACTATGAGGTCAGGCAGGACACTTCACACACCCTCTAGGATCTGCTCCAGCCATGCCCCTGCTCAGTACCTGTGCAGCTCCAGCTGTTCATTATTTTGAATATCACCCCTGCAAAAGCAGCATGGTCACATATTATGTGGGAACTAGCGAGTGAGGCAAAACTCTCTAGTCAAAATCATTCTTGCAAATTCCTGAAATAGGACTGCACCCATGATATGGTGCCTATAGTTCTTTATTTTATTTTTATTTTATTATACTTTAAGTTCTAGGGTACATGTGCACAACATGCAGGTTTGTTACATATGTATACATGTGCCATGTTGGTGTGTTGCACCCATTAGCTCGTCATTTACATTAGGTATATCTGCTAATGCTATCCCTTCCCTCTCCCTCCACCCTACGACGGGCCCTGGTGTGTGATGTTCCCTACCTGGTGTCCAAGTGTTCTCATTGTTCAATTCCCACCTATGAGTGAGAACATGCAGTGTTTGGTTTTCTGTGCTTGCAACAGTTTGCTCAGAATGATGGTTTCCAGCTTCATCCATGTCCCTACAAAGGACATGAACTCATCCTTTTTTATGGCTGCATAGTATTCCATGGTGTATATGTGCCACATTTTCTTAATCCAGTCTATCGTTGATGGACATTTGGGTTGGTTCCAAGTCTTTGCTATTGTGAATAGTGCCACAATAAACATATGTGTGCGTGTGCCTTTATAGCAGCATGATTTATAATTCTTTGGGTATATACCCAGTAATGGGATGGCTGGGTCAAATGGTATTTCTAGTTCTAGATCCTTGAGGAATCGCCACACTGTCTTCCACAATGGTTGAACTAGTTTACAGTCCCACCAACAGTGTAAAAGTGTTCCTATTTCTCCACATCCTCTCCAGCACGTGTTGTTTCCTGACTTTTTAATGATCACCATTCTAACTGGTGTGAGATAGTATCTCACTGTGATTTTGATTTGCATTTCTCTGATGGCCAGTGATGATGAGCATTTTTTCATGTGTCTGTTGGCTGCATAAATGTCTTCTTTTGAGAAGTGTCTGTTCATATCCCTTGCCCAGTTTTTGATGGGGTTGTTTGATTTTTTCTTGTAAATTTGTTTAAGTTCTTTGTAGATTCTGGATATTAGCCATTTGTCAGATGGGTAGATTGTAAAAATTTTCTCCCATTCTGTAGGTGGCCTGTTCACTCTGATGGTAGTTTCTTTTGCTGTGCAGAAGCTCTTTAGTTTAATTAGATCCCATTTGTCAATATTGGCTTTTGTTGCCATTGCTTTTGGTGTTTTAGTCATGAAGTCCCTGACCATGCCTATGTCCTGAGTGGTATTGCCTAGGTTTCCTTCTAGGGTTTTTATGGTTTTAGGTCTAACATTTAAGTCTTTAATCCATCTTGAATTAATTTTTGTATAAGGTGTAAGGAAGGGATCCAGTTTCAGCTTTCTACATATGGCTAGCCAGTTTTCCCAGCACCATTATTAAATAGGGAATCCTTTCCCCATTTCTTGTTTTTTCAGGTTTGTCAAAGATCAGATGGTTGTAGATGTGTGGTATTATTTCTGAGGGCCCTGTTCTGTTCCATTGGTCTATATTTCTGTTTTGGTACCAGTACCATGCTGTTTTGGTTACTGTAGTCTTGTAATATAGTTTGAAGTCAGGTAGCGTGATGCCTCCAGCTTTGTTCTTTTGGCTTAGGATTGACTTGGCAATGTGGGCTCTTTTTTGGTTCCACATGAACTTTAACGTAGCTTTTTCCAATTCTGTGAAGAAAGTCATTGGTAGCTTGATGGGGAAGGCATTGAATCTATGAATTATGTTGGGCAGTATGGCCATTTTCACGATATTGATTCTTCCTATCCATGAGCATGGAATGTTCTTCAATTTGTTTGTGTCCTCTTTTATTTCATTGAGCAGTGGTTTGTAGTTCTCCTTGAAGAGGTCCTTCACATCCCTTGTAAGTTGGATTCCTAGGTATTTTATTCTCTTTGAAGCAATTGTGAATGGGAGTTCACTCATGATTTAGCTCTCTGTTTGTCTGTTATTGGTGTATAGGAATGCTTGTGATTTTTGCACACTGATTTTATATCCTGAGACTTTGCTGAAGTTGCTTATCAGCTTAAGGACGTTTTGGGTTGAGACAATGGGGTTTTCTAAATATACAATCATGTCGTCTGCAAACAGGGACAATATGAATACCCTTTATTTCTTTCTCCTGCCTGATTGCCCTGGCCAGAACTTCCAACACTATGTTGAATAGGAGTGGTGAGAGAGGGCATCTCTGTCATGTGCCAGTTTTCAAAGGGAATGCTTCCAGTTTTTGCCCATTCAGTATGATATTGGCTGCGGGTTTGTCATAAATAGCTCTTCTTAGTTTGAGATACGTCCCATCAATACCTAGTTTATTTAGAGTTTTCAGCATGAAGGGCTGTTGAATTTTGTTAAAGGCCTTTTCTGCATCTATTGAGATAATCACGTGGTTTTTGTCTTTGGTTCTGTTTATATGATGGATTATGTTTATTGATTTGCATATGTTGATCCAGCCTTGCATCCCAGGGATGAAGCCCACTTGATCATGGTGGATAAGCTTTTTGATGTGCTGCTGGATTCAGTTTGTCAGTATTTTATTGAGGATTTCTGCGTTGATGTTCATCAGGGATATTGGTCTAAAATTCTCTTTTTTTTGTTGTGTCTCTTCCAGGCTTTGGTATCAGGACGATGCTGGCCTCAAAAAATGAGTTAGGGAGGATTCCCTGTTTTTCTATTGACTGGAATAGTTTCAGAAGGAATGGTACCATCTCCTCCTTGTACCTCTGGTAGAATTCAGCTGTGAATCCGTCTGGTCCTGGACTTTTTTTGGTTGGTAGGCTATTAATTATTGCCTCAATTTCAGAGCCTGCTATTGGTCTATTCAGAGATTCAACTTCTTCCTGGTTTAGTCTTGGGAGGGTGTATGTGTCCAGGAACTTATCCATTTCTTCTAGATTTTCTAGTTTATTTGTGTAGAGGTGTTTATAGTATTCTCTGATGGTAGTTTGTATTTCTGTGGGATTGGTGGTGATATCCCCTTTCTCATTTTGTATTGCGTCTATTTGATTCTTCTCTCTTTTCTTCTTTATTAGTCTTGCTAGCGGTCTATCAGTTTTGTTGATCTTTTCAGAAAACCAGCTCCTGGATTCATTGATTTTTTGAAGGGTTTTTTGTGTCTCTATTTCCTTCAGTTCTGCTCTGATCTTAGTTATTTCTTGCCATCTGCTAGCTTTTGAATGTGTTTGCTCTTGCTTCTCTAGTTCTTTTAATTGTGATTTTAAGGTGTCAATTTTAGATCTTTCCTGCTTTCTCTTGTGGGCATTTAGTGCTATAAATTTCCCTCTACACACTGCTTTAAATGTGTCTCAGGATTCTGGTATGTTGTGTCTTTGTTCTCATTGGTTTCAAAGAACATCTTTATTTCTGCCTTCATTTTGTTATGTATCCAGTAGTCATTCAGGAGCAGGTTGTTCAGTTTCCATGTAGTTGAGCGGTTTTGAGTGAGTTTCTTAATCCTGAGTTCTAGTTTGATTGCACTGTGGTCCGAGAGACAGTTTGTTATAATTTCTGTTCTTTTACATTTGCTGAGGAGTGCTTTACTTCCAACTATGTGGTCAATTTTGTAATAGGTGTGGTGTGGTGTTGAAAAGAATGTATATTCTGTTGATTTGGGGTGGAGAGTTTTGTAGATGTCTATTAGGTCCGCTTGGTGCAGAGCTGAGTTCAATTCCTGGATATCCTTGTTAACTTTCTGTCTCGTTGATCTGTCTAATGTTGACAGTGGGGTGTTAAAGTCTCCCATTATTATTGTGTGGGAGTCTAAGTCTCTGTGTAGGTCACTAAGCACTTGCTTTATGAATCTGGGTGCTCCTGTACTGGGTGCATATATACTTAGGATTGTTGGCTCTTCTTGTTGAATTTATCGGTTTACCATTATGTAATGGCCTTCTTTGTCTCTTTGATCTTTGTTGGTTTAAAGACTGTTTCATCAGAGACTAGGATTGCAACCCCTGGTTTTTTCTGTTTTCCATTTGCTTGGTAGATCTTCCTCCATCCCTTTATTTTGAGCCTATGTGTGTCTCTGCACGTGAGATGGGTTTCCTGAATACAGCACACTGATGGGTCTTGACTCTTTATCCAATTTGCCAGTCTGTGCCTTTTAATTGGAGCATTGAGCCCATTTACATTTAAGGTTAGTATTGTTATGTGTGAATTAGATCCTGTCATTATGATGTTAGCTGGTTATTTTGCTCGTTAGTTGATGCAGTTTCTTCCTAGCATCGGTGGTCTTTACAATTTGGTATGTTTTTGCAGTGGCTGGCACTGGTTTTTCCTTTCCATGTTTAGTGCTTCCTTCAGGAGCTCTTTTAGGGCAGGCCTGGTGGTGACAAAATCTCTCAGCATTTGCTTGTCTGTAAAGTATTTTATTTCTCCTTCACTTATGAAGCTTAGTTTGGCTGGATATGAAGTTCTGGGTTGAAAATTCTTTTCTCTAAGAATGTTGAATATTGGCCCCCACTCTCTTCTGGCTTGTAGGGTTTCTGCTGAGAGATCAGCTGCTAGTCTGATGGGCTTCCCTTTGTGGGTAACCTGACCTTTCTCTCTGGCTGCCCTTAACATTTTTTCCTCCATTTCAACTTTGGTGAATCTGACAATTATGTGTCTTGGAGTTGCTCTTCTTGAGGAGTATCTTTGTGGTGTTCTCTGTATTTCCTGAATTTGAATGTTGGCCTGCCTTGCTAGATTGGGGAAGTTCTCCTGGATAATACCCTGAAGAGTGTTTTCCAACTTGGTTCCATTCGCCCTGTCACTTTCAGGTACACCAATCAGACGTAGATTTGGTCTTTTCACATAGTCCCATATTTCTTGGAGGCTTTGTTCATTTCTTTTTACTCTTTTTTTCTCTGAACTTCTCTTCTTGCCTCATTTCATTCATTTGATCTTCAATCACTGATACCCTTTCTCCACTTGATTGAATTGGCTACTGAAGCTTGTGCATGCATCACGTAATTCTCATGCCATGGTTTTCAGCTCCATCAGGTCATTTAAGGTCTTCTCTATGCTGTTTATTCTAGTTAGCCATTCGTCTAATCTTTTTACAAGGTTTTTAGCTTCTTTGTGATGGGTTTGAACATCCTCCTTTAGCTCGGAGAAGTTTGTTATTACCGATCATCTGAAGCCTTCTCCTCTCAACTCGTTAAAGTCATTCTCCGTCCAGCTTCGTTCCATTGCTGGTGAGGAGCTGTGCTCCTTTGGAGGAGAAGAGGTGCTCTGATTTTTAAAATTTTCAGCTTTTCTGCTCTGGTTTCTCCCCATCTTTGTGGTTTTATCTACCTTTGGTCTTTGATGATGGTGACATACAGATGGGGTTTTGGTGTGGAAATCCTTTCTGTTTGTTAGTTTTCCTTCTAACAGTCAGGACCATCAGCTGCAGGTCTGTTGGAGTTTGCCGGAGTTCCACTCCAGACCCTGTTTTCCTGAGTTTCACCAGTGGAGGCTGCAGAACAGCAAATATTACAAAACGGCAAATGTTGCTGCCTGATTCTTCCTCTGGAAGCTTCGTTGCAGAGGGGCACCCAGCCGTATGAGGTGTAAGTCGGCTCCTACTGGGAGGTGCCCCCCAGTTAGGCTACTTGGGGGTCAGGGACCCACTTGAGGAGGCAGTCTGTCTGTTCTCAGATCCAAGCTGCATGCTGGGAGAACCATTACTCTCTTCAAAGCTGTCAGACAGGGACATTTAAGTCTGCAGAAGTTTCTGCTGCCTTTTGTTCAGCTATGCCTTGCCCCCAGAGGTGGAGTCTACAGAGGCAGGCAGGCTTCCTTGAGCTGCAGTGGGCTCCACCCAGTTCGAACTTCCTGGCCGCTTTGTTTACCTACTCAAGCCTCAGCAATGGTGGACGCCCCTCCCCCAGCCTCACTGCCACCTTGCAGCTTGATCTCAAACTGCTGTGCTAGCGTGAGCAAGGCTCCATGGGCGTGGGACCCTCTGAGCCAGACGCGGGATATAATCTCCTGGTGTGCCATTTGCTAAGACCATTGGAAAAGTGCAGTATTAGGGTGGGAGTGTCCCAATTTTCCACTTACTCTCTGTCACGGCTTCCCTTGGCTAGGAAAGGGAATTCCCCAACCCCTTGCACTTCCCAGGTGAGGCGATGACCCACCCTGCTTTGGCTCATACTCTGTGGGCTGCACCCACTCTCCTACAAGCCCCAGTGAGATGAACCCAGTACCTCAGTTGGAAATGCAGAAATCACTTGTCTTCTGCGTCACTCACGCTGGGAGCTGTAGACTGGAGCTGTTCCTATTCGGCCATCTTGGAACCTCCTCTGCCTATAGTTCTTTAAAAAAAAAAATTTCAGGCAGGGCATGTTGGCTCATGCCTGTAATACCAGTGTAGCAGGACAAGCTGCATACAAAACCCCTCAGACACCGAGTTAAAGAAGGAAGGGCTTTATTCAGTCAGGAGCTACAGCAAGACTCACGTCTCCAAAAACTGAGCTCCCCGAGTGAGCAATTCCTGTCCTTTTAAGGGCTTAAAACTCTAAACAGGTCCACGTGAGGGGGTCGTGATCGATTGAGCAAGCAGGAGGTACGTGACTGAGGGCTGCATGCACCAGTAAACAGAACGGAACAGAACAGGACAGAGATTTTCACAATGCTTTTCCATACCATGTCTGGAATCTATACATAACATAACTGGTTAGGTCATGAGTTGATCTTTAACCAGACCCAGGGTGCAGCACAGCCCGTGGATTTAATTTCTGCCTTTTAGTTTTTACTTCTTTCTTTGGAGGCAGAAATTGGGCATAAGACAACATGAGGGGTGGTCTCCTCCCTTACCAGCACTTTGGAAGGCTGAGGCAGGTGGATCACCTGAGGTCAGGAGTTTGAGACGAGCCTGGCCGATATGGTGAAACTCTGTCTCTACTAAAAATAAAAAATATTAAAAAAAGTTAGCCAAGCGTGGTGGCGTGTGCATCTGTAATCCCAGCTACTCGGGAGGCTGAGGCAGAAGAATCACTTGAACCTGGGAGGCAGAGGTTGCAGTGAGCTGGGATCTTGCCACTGCACTCCAGCCTGGATGACAGGGCGAGACTTCATCTCAATTAAAAAAAAAATTTCAAGTTTTAGATTTGGGGTACATGTATAGGCTTGTTACATGCATACATTGCATGTTGCTGAGGTTTGGGCTGCAGATCCCATCACCCAGGTAGTGAGCATAGTACCTGTGGTGGTTTTTCTTTTTTCTTTTTCTTTTCTTTTCTCTCTCTTTTTTTTTTTTTAGAGACAGGGTCTCACTATGTTGCCCAGGCTGGTTTTGAACACCTGAGCTCAAGCAACGTTGCCCAGGCTGGTTTTGAACTCCTGAGCTCAAGCAATCCTCCTGCCTTGGCCTCCCAAAATGCTGAGATTACAGGTGTGAACCACTGCGCCTGGCCCAATAGGTGGTTTTCCAACCCACACCTCCTGCTCCTCCATCTGGTAGTCTGCAGTATCTATCATTCCCATCTTTATGTCTATGTATACCCAGTGTTTAGCTCCCACTTATAAGTGAGAACATGCAGTATTTGATTTTCTGTTCCTGTGCCAATTCACTTAGGATTATAGCCTCCAGCTGCATCCATGTTGCCGCAAAGGATGTGATTCATTTTTTTTTTTATGGTGGCGTAGTATTTGATGGTGTATATGTACCACATTTTCTTTTCCAATCCACCACTGATAGACACCTAGGTTGATTCCATGTCTTTCTATTGTGAATAGTGCTGTGATGAACATACGAGCATGTATCTTTTTGATAGAACAGCTTATTTTCTTTTGGATATATGGCCAGTAATGAGATTGCTGGGCTGAATAGTAGCCCTGTTTTATATTCTTTGAGAAATCTTCAACCTGCTTTCCACAGTGGCTGGACTAATTTACATTCCCACCAGCCAACAATGTATAAGCGTTCCTTTTTCTTCATTGCCTTACCAGCATCTGTTATTGTCTTTTTAATAATAGCATTCTGACTGGTGTGAGATGGTATCTCATTGTGGTTTATGATTTGCATTTCTCTGGTGATTAGTGATAATGAACTTTCTTTTTCAAATGTTTTTTGGCTACTTGTATGTCTTCCTTTGAGAAGTGTCTGTTTATGTCCTTTACCCACTTTTTAATGGGGTTATTTGTTTCTTGCTTGTTGATTTGTTGAAGTTCCTTATAGATTCTGGATTTCAGACCTTTGTCAGATGTGGTTTGCAAATATTTTCTCCCATTCTGAAAGTTTTCTGTTTACTCTGTTGATAGTTTCTTTTGCTCTACAGAAACTCTTTAATTAGTTCCCACTTGTTGATTTTTGTTTTTGTTGCAGTTGCTTTTGAGGGCTTAGCCGAAAGTTCTTTGCCAAGGCTGCTGTTGAGAAAGTATTTCCTAGGTTTTCTTCAATGATTTTAATAGTTCGAGGGCTCACATTTAAATCTTTAATCCATGTGATTTAAGTCTTTAATCACATTTAAATCTTTAATACACCTTGAGTTGATTTTTGTATAAGGTGTAAGGAAGGGGTTCAGTTTCATTCTTCTGCATATGGATAGCCAGTTATCTCCACACTCTTTATTGAATAGGGAGTTCTTTCCCCATTGCTTGCTTCATAGTCTTTATTGAAGATCAGGTGGTTATAGGTGGGTGGCTTTATTTCTGGGCTCTCTGTTCTATTCCGTTGGTCTATGTGTCTGTCTTTGTACCAGTACCATACTGTTTTGGTTACTATAGCCTCATATTCGGATAGTGTGATGCCTCCAGCTTTGTTATTTTTGCTTAGGATTGCTTTTGCTATTTAGGCTCTTTTTTTGTTCCGTATTAATTTTAGAATAGTTTTTTCTATCTGTGAACAATGGCATTGGTAGTTTGATACAAATAGCATTGAATCTGCAAATTGCTTTGAGCAGTGTGGCCATTTTAACAATATTGATTCTTCCAATCCATGAGCATGGAATACTTTTCCGCTTATTTGTGTCGTCTCTGATTTCTTTCAACAGTGTATTTCTCTTTGTAGAGACCTTTTACCTCCTTGGTTAGCTGTGTTCCCAGGTACTTCATTTTTCGTTTCTGCCTGTAGTTCTGTGTGTTTTTAAAATTTTTGTCGGTGGTTCTCTTTGACTTGTAATTAATGCATTGTATGGGGATGAAACCAGTTTCTCCTGATACCTGAACAGCTTGTCATAATTCTTTGCCAATAGTCAAATTCTTCACGTGGTCTCTCTAAACACATACTGGCCATTGATGGTGTCAATGCCTGACATGTATAAGGGATGGGGTGGGGAAAAAAGTGTAGAGGAATTACGGGAAGTCAAGTGTGGATTGGATGCCACTTCTCTGTTTTCGGTGTGTGGTCAGGACCACATGAGGAAGGCTGGCTGGTCAACTCCCCCACCCCACACAAGTACACGCACATTACCATCAAGGGTGATAGATGCTTAAAGTGGGACAGTCTGGGAGTTATGAGAGCAAATGGGAGGGGCACCCACAGAAAGGCAGTATGGAAGCCTTCCTGGTGGAAGTGGCAGCTAAGCCAAGGCCTGAGGTGGAAGCACAAGAGAAGTGAAAAGGGGTGTGGGGAAGCAAGGGGCCAGAGGAGGGAGAGAGAATGGAATGGAGGGTCAGAATATGCGTATAGGGTGGTGGGAGGAGTGGTGGGAGAAAACAGGAAAGAAGGGTAGGTGTGGCTTATCCCAGACATGCAGGGCTTGTTCAATATCCCAAATACCAATATTGCAGAAATGGACAAGCTGATCCTGAAGTCCATATGGAAACAGAAGGGACCCATATATTAGACTTATACCTAAATGTTTCATGACCTTTGGCACTATTGTAAATTGTACTGGTTTTTAAATTTAAATTTCCAATTGTTGGAACAGAACAGAGCCCTCAGAAATAATTCCACATGTCTACAACCATCTGATCTTTGACAAACCTGACAAAAACAAGAAATGGGGAAAGGATTCCCTATTTAATAAATGGTGCTGGGAAAACTGGCTAGCCATATGTAGAAAGCTGAAACTGGATCGCTTCCTTACACCTTATACAAAAATTAATTCAAGATGGATTAAAAGCTTATATGTTAGACCTAAAACCATAAAAACCCTAGAAGGAAACCTAGGCATTACCATTCAGGACATAAGCATGGTCAAGGACTTCATGTCTAAAACACCAAAAGCAATGGCAACAAAAGCCAAAATTGACAAATGGGATCTAATTAAACTAAGGAGCTTCTGCACAGCAAAAGAAACTACCATCAGAGTGAACAGGCAACCTACAGAATGGGAGAAAATTTTTGCAATCTACTCATCTGACAAAGGGCTAATATCCAGAATCATCAAAGAACTCAAACAAATTTACAAGAAAAAAACAACCCCATCAACAAGTGGGTGAAGGATATTAACAGACATTTCTCAAAAGAAGACATTTATGCAGCCAACAGACACATGAAAAAATGCTCATCATCACTGGCCATCAGAGAAATGCAAATCAAAATCACAATGAGATACCATCTCACACCAGTTAGAATGGTGATCATTAAAAAGTCAGGAAACAACACGTGCTGGAGAGGATGTGGAGAAATAGGAACACTTTTACACTGTTGGTGGGACTGTAAACTAGTTCAACCATTGTGGAAGACAGTGTGGCGATTCCTCAAGGATCTAGAACTAGAAATACCATTTGACCCAGCCATCCCATTACTGGGTATATACCCAAATGACTATAAATCATGCTGCTATAAAGGCACATGCACACGAATGTTTATTGCGGCTCTATTCACAATAGCAAAGACTTGGAACCAACCCAAATGTCCATCAACGATAGACTGGATTAAGAAAATGTGGCACATATACACCATGGAATACTATGCAGCCATAAAAAAGGATGAGTTCATGTCTTTTGTAGGGACATGGATGAAGCTGGAAACCATCATTCTCAGCAAACTATCGCAAGAACAAAAAAACCAAACACTGCATGTTCTCACTCATAGGTGGGAATTGAACAATGAGAACACTTGGACACAGGAAGGGGAACATCACACACCAGGGCCTGTTGTGGGGTGGGGGAAGGGAGGAGGGAAAGCATTAGGAGATATACCTAATGTAAATGACAAGTTAATGGATGCAGCACACCAACATGACACATGTATACATATGTAACAAACCTGCACGTTGTGCACATGTACCCTAGAACTTAAAGTATAATAAAAAAATAAATTTCCGATTGTTTAGGGATATAGAAATACAACTGGCCGGGCCCAGTGGCTCACGCCTGTAATCCCAGCACTTTGGGAGGCCGAGGCAGGTGGATCACCTGAGGTCAGGAGTTTGAGATCAGCCTGACCAACATGGAGAAACCCTGTCGTTACTAAAAATACAAAATTAGCCAGGTGTGGTGGCACATGGCTGTAATCTCAGCTACTTGGGAGGCTGAGGCAGGAGAATCGCTTGAATCTGGGAGGCAGAGGTTATGGTGAGCCGAGATCATGCCATTGCACTCCAGCCTGGGCAACAAGTGTGAAACTCCATCCAAAAAAAAAAAAAAAAAAAAAGAAATACAACTGATTCTTACATATTGATCTTGTATCCAAAACAATCTTAGAAAAGGGGAACAAAGCTGGAGGGTTCACACTTTCCAATTCAAAACTTACAAAGCCATCAAGCCAGAAAGTAAATTAGTGGTTTCCAGGGGCTGGGGGTTGGACTGGGGATTGGAAATACTGCTAACAGGTAGAGAATTTCTTTCTGGGAAGATGGAAATGTTCTGGAGGTAGTGGTGATGATTACACAACATTGTGAAGGTACTAAAACCCAGTGAACCTTATACTTTAAAATGGTAAATTTTATGGTCTATACATTTAATCTAAATTATAAAAGCTACTTTGAAGAAAACAATGTGATTCACCATAACAGCAGATTAAAGAAGAAAAAACATGTAACCACCTGAACAGATATAGAACTCTAATTTGACAACATACAACATCGTTTCATGATTAAAAATACTCTCAGCCGACTAGGAACTAAAGGGAACTTCCTCAAGCTGAAAAAGAGCATTTACAAAAAATCTCTACCAGGCATTATACTTAAAAGTGAAAGAGAATGCTTTTCACCTAAAATTGGAAACAAGACAAGAATATCTACTTTTATAATTCCTATCCAACATTGTACTGAAAGACCTAGCCAATGCAATAAAGCAGGAAAAAGAAGAAAAAAAAATATAAAGAGGAAAGGAAGAAATAAAACCCTCTCTATTTGCAGATGATACAATTGCATGGAAAATTCCAAAGAACCTATAAAAAAGCTATGATAATAGGTTTTTTCAGTAAGTTCTCAGGATATAGGAGCAATGTATAAAAATTAGTTTTATTTCTATAATATAATTGAACAATTGGAAATTTAAATTAAAAAGTACCATTTACAATAGCATAAAATACCATGAAATATTTAGGTATAAATCAAACGAATCATGTACGGTAACTTTATGCTGAAAACTACAAAACACTAATGAGAGAAATAAAAGACCTAAATAAATGGAGAGAGACGCTGTGGTCATGGATTCGAATATTATAGTTCCAATATTGTTAAGATGTCAATTCTCCCTGGGTTGATCTACAGATTCAATGCAGTAAAAATCCTGGATAATATTCCATTGTGCACATGTACCACATTTTCTTTATCCATTCATCTGTTGATGGACACTTAAGTTGATTCTATATCTCGACTATTGTGAATAGTGCTGCGATAAACACGGGAGTGCAGTTATCTCTTCAGTATACTGATTTCCTTTCCTTTGGCAATATACCCAGCACTGGGATTGCTGGATCATGTGGTAGTTCCATTTTTAGTTTTCTTGAGGAGCCTCCATATTGTTCTCTATAGTGGCTTTACTAATTTACATTCCTACTAACAGTGCATGAGGGTTCCTCTTTCTCTGCATCTTTGCCAGCATCCATCATTGTTTGTCTTTTCGATAAAAGCCCTTTTAACTGGAATGAGATGATATCTCATTGTGGTTTTCATTTGCATTTTTCTGGTACACAAAGGAATATTATTCAGCCATAAGATGAATGAATCTTGTGATTTGCAATAACAGGATTGGAACTGGAGGACATTATGTTAAGTAAAACAACCCGGGCACAGAAAAACAAATATTGCATGTTCTCATTCATGTGTAGGAGCTAAAAAAAAATGGATCTCATGGAGGTAGAGAGTAGCATGATGGGTTACTAGAGACTGGGAAGGGTAGTAAGGAGGATGGGGTAAAGAGGGGATGGTTAATGGGTACAAAAATACAGTTAGGAAAAATAAGACCTAGTGTTTGGTAGCACAGTAGGGTGACTATAGTTAACAATAATTTATTGTGTATTTCAAAATAACTACAGGAATGGAATTGGAATGTTCCCAGCAAAAGAAATGATAAATCCTTGAGGCAACGGATATCCCAGTTACCCTGATTTGATCATCACACATTGTATGCTTGTATAAAAATATCACATGTTCCCTATAAATATGTGCAATTATTACATATTCATAAAAAGGTAAAAATCCTAGAAGTATATTTTGCAGAATTTAGCCAATTCTAAAATTTATATAAAAAATAAAAAAGTAGAGTATCCAAAAGAATTTTGAAAAGAATCTTGATACATACCATTAAGTAGCTGTCACTTTTTATTTATTTATTTAATTTAAAAAAATTAGATTGATATTTTATAATTTTTCAACTTTTACTTTAGGTTTGAGGGTACACATGAAAGTTTGTTATATAAGTAAACTCATGTCATGGGAGTTTGTTGTACAGAGTATTTTGTCACCCAGGTATTAAGCCTAGTATCCAATGGTTATTTTTTCTGCTCCTGCCTCCTCCCAACCTCCACCCTCAAGTAGACCCCAGTGTCTGTTGTTTCCTTCTTTGTGTTCATAAGTTCTTTATAGTTTAGCTCCCACTAATAAGTGAGAACATGCAGTATTTGTTTTTCTGTTCTTGTGTTAGTTTGCTAAGGATAACGGCCTTCAGCTCCATCCATGTTCCCACAAAAGACATGATCTTGCTATTTTTATGGCTGCATAGTATTCCACGGTGTATATGTACCACATTTTAAAAAATCCTATTTGTTATTGGTGGGCATTTAGGTTGATTCCATGTTTTGCTATTGTGACTAGTACTGCAATAAATATTCATGTGCATGTGTCTTTATGGTAGGATGATATATATTACTCTGGGTATATCCCCAGTAATGGGGTTGCTGGGTTGAATGGTAGTTCTGCTTTTAGCTCTTTGAGGAGTTGCCATACTGCTTTCCCCAAGTGGTTAAACTAATTTACCACTCCCACCAACAGTATAAGTGTTCCCTTTTCTTCACAACCTCACCAGCATCTATTTTTTAACTTTTACTAATAGCCATTCTAACTGGTGTGAGATGGTATCTCATTGTGGTTTTGATTTACATTTCTCTAATGATAATGATTTTGAGCTTTTTTTGTATGCTTGTTGGCTGCATGCATGTCTTCTTTCGAAAAGTGTCTGTTCATTTCCTTTTCCCACCTTTTAATGGCGTTGTTTTTCTCTTGTAAATTTGTTTAAGTACCCTGTAGATGTTGGATATTACACCTTTGTTGGATGCATAGTTTGTGAATATTTTCTCTCATTCTTTAGGTTGTCTGTTCACTCTGTTGATAGTTTCTTTTGCTCTTGCATTTAATTAGATGCCATTTGTCAATTTTTGCTTTTGTTGAGATTGCTTTTTGTGTCTTTGTCAGGAAATCTTTGCTTATTCCTGTGTCTAGAATGGTATTGCCTAGGTTGTCTTCCAGGGTTCTTATAGTTTTGGGTTTTACATTTAAGTCTTTAGTCTATCTTGAGTTGATTTTTGTATATGGTGTAAGGAAGGGGTCCAGTTTCAATCTTCTGCATATGGCTAGCCAGTTATCCTAGCACCATTTGTTGAATAGGAATTCTTTTCCCCATTGCTTATTTTTGTCTTAGATCAGATGGTCATAGGTGTATGGCCTTATTTCTGGGCTCTCTATTCTGTTCCATTGGTCTATGTGCCTGTTTTTGTACCAGTATCATGCTGTTTTGGTTACTGTAGCCCTGTAGTATAGTTTGAAGTCAGGTAATGTGATGCCTCCTTCTGTGTTCTTTTTGCTTAGGATTGACTTGGTTATTCAGGTTCTTTTTTGATTCCATATGAATTTTAAAATAGTTTTTCCTAGTTCTGTGAAGAATGTCATTGGTAGCTTAATAGTAATAGCACTGAATCTATAAATTGCTTTGGGAAGTGTGTCCATTTTAATGATATTGATTCTTCCTATCCATGAGCATGAGATGTTTTACCATTTTTTTGGTGTCATCTCTGATTTCTTTGAACAGTGTTTTACAATTCTCACTGTACAGATCTTTCAACTCTCTGGTTAGCTGTATTCCTAGTTATTTTATTCTTTTTGTGGCAATCGTGAATAGGATTGCCTTCCTGATTTGGCTCCCAGCTCTTGTTGGTGTATAGGAGTGCTAGTGATTTTTGTACATTGATTTCGTATCCTGAAACTTTGTTGAAGTTATTTATCAGCTGAAGGAGCTCCTAGGCCAAGACTATGGGGTTTTCTAAATATAGAATCATGTTGTCTGCAAACAGGGATAGTTTGACTTTTTTACTTCCTTTCTTCCTATTTGTATGCCCTTTTTTCTTTCTTTTGCCTGATTGCTCTGGCTAGAACTTCCAATAATATGTTGAATAGGACTAGTGAGCAAAGGCATCCTTGTTTTGTGCTGGCTTTCAAGGGGAATGCTTTTGCCCATCAAGTATGATGTTGGCTGTGGGTTTGTTGTAGATGGCTCTTATTATTTTGAGGTATGTTCCTTCAATACCTAGTTTATTGAGAATTTTTAACATAAAGGGGTGTTGACTTTTATTAAAGCCTTCTCTTCATCTATTGAGATAATCATGTGGTTTTTGTCTTTAGTTCTGTTTATGTGATGAATCATATTTATTGATTTGCATATGTTGAACCAACTTTGCACCCCGGGAATGAAGCCTACCTGATCATGGTGGATTAGATTTTTGATGTGCTGCTGGATTTGGTTTGCAGGTAGTGTGTTGAGGATTTTTGCATTAGTGTTCATCAAGAATATTGGCCTGAAATTTTCTTTTTTTGTTAAGCTGACACTTTTTAGTTTGATGCCACCCCATTTGTCTGGTTTGCTTTTGTTGCCTGTGCTTTTGGGGTCATATCCAAAAAATCATTTCTCAGAAGCTTGATTGTCAAGAAGCTTTTCCCTTTGTTTTCTTCTAGTAGTTTTACAGTTTCAGGTCTTGTGTTTAAGTCTTTAATCCATTTTGAGTTGATTTTGTATATGGTTTGGGATAAAGGTCTAATTTAATCCTTTTGAATATGAATATCCAGTTCTCCCCACACCATTTGTTGAAGAGAATGTCCTTTCTCCTTTGCATATTCTTGGCACCTTTATTGAAGATCAATTGACCATAAATGCATAGTTTTATTTCTAGCCTCCCTGTTCTGTTCCATTGGTTGATGTGTCTGTTTTTATGCCACCACCTTGCTGTTATGCTTACTAGAGCTTTCTTGACACAGTATGTTTTGAGATCAGGAATTATGATGCCTCCAGTATTTTTTTTCTTGAGGATTGCTTTGGCTATTTAGGGTCTTCTGTGGTTCTACATAAATTTTAGTTTTTTTTCTATTTTTGTAAAAAAATGCCATTGGGATTTTGATAAGGATTGTACTGAATCAGAAGATTGCATTAATACTCCAGTCCATGAACATAGGATATCTTTCCATTTATTTTTGTCTTGTTTAACTTCCTTAATCAATGTTTTATAGTTTTAGTGTACATGTTTTTCACCTCTCTGGTTAAATTTAAGCTTAGGTATTTTTTTTGATGCTATTGTAAATGAGATTGTTTCTTGATTTCTTTTTCAGATAGTTCATTGTTAGTGTATAGAAGCACTATTGATTTTTCACATTGATTTTGTAACCTGTAACTTTACTGAATTTATTCATTAGTTCTAGTAGTTCTTTTTTGGTGGAGTTTTTAGGGTTTTTTAAAAATATATTTATATATATATGTTTTTATATATATATCATTTTAAGTGTAAACAGAGACAAATTTCCTTTTTTATATCTGATTTGGGTCTCTTTCATTTATTTTTCTTGCCTAATTGCTGTGACCAGGACTTCCAGTACTATGTTACATAGAAGTAGTGAGAGTGAGCATTCTTGCCTTTTTCCTCATTTTAGTGGTAAAGCTTTCAATTTTTCACCATTGAGTATGATGTTTGTTGTGGGCTTGTCGTATATGGCCTTTATCATATTGAGGTACATTCCTTCTGTAGCGAATTTATTGAGAGTTTTTATTATAAAAGAATGTTGAATTTTGTCAAATGCTTTTTTTTGCGTATATTGAGATGATCATGTGGTTTTAGTCCTTCATTCTGTTAATGTGATATGCCACATTAATTGATTTGCATATGTGGAATCATCCTTGCATCTCGCATCCCAGGGATAAATCACACTTGATCATGGTTATTATCTTTTTATCTTTTTTTTTTTTTTTTTTAACAGAGTCTCTCTGTGTTGCCCAGGCTGGAGTGCAGTGGCGTTATCTCGGCTCACTGCAAGCTCCACCTCCCAGGTTCACGCCATTCTCCTGCCTCAGCCTCTTGAGTAGCTGGGACTATAGGCGCCCGCCACCATGCCCTGCTAATTTTTTTTTTTTTGTATTTTTAGTAGAGATGGGGTTTCACCATGATTTCCAGGTTGGTCTCGAACTCCTGACCTCAGGTGATCCACACGCCCTGGCCTCCCAAAATGCTGGGATTACAGGCATGAGCCACTGCATCTGGCCGGTTATATGACTTTATATGTTTGTCAAAACTCATAAAACTATGTACTAAAAGGCTGAATTTTATTGTATGTAAACTCTTCCCCAATAAATCTGACCTAAAAAACAATCAAATTCTGTTGACTTTAGGATAAAGTATTCAGTTATCAATGAGTCTTCCCTCAATGGTGTATGAGGCAGAAATCACGTTGCAGAGCCGTGGCATGATGTCCCCTGCACATTCCCTTTCTAGAACTTGTCCCAGTTTGAAATTGCTATACACATCTCCCTGTTAATCCATTGATTACTCTCCTCTCCTCCACCTGGCTGCACTGAGGGCCCTGGAAGGCACTGTATCTCTATTACCCAGCTGTGTGCTTAGCAATAAGAAACACTTGTTTGTTGAATGAATGAATAAATGAATGAATGAATGTATGATTAAATAGGTGAATTTTATGGATGAATTCTACATATTGACCTTGAAGATATTTCTTAATATCACAACAAATATTCAAATAACAAATAGTTATTTTTAATCTAAGCCAGTTATTAGCCTTATTAGTCAGAGTGCCAACTTTGACTTTTTACCTCCCTAAAGATTCCCAATATATTGAAAGGGTGGTATTCTGTCTTCTCTTCTAGAATTTTCTATGTATTTTCCAACCCAAATTCTTCTTTGCTGCCTTAATAATCTCCCAGGAATACCACCTGGAGTAAATCCTCACTCACTGCCCATTGACTCTACTATAGGCTTATTTTTTATCTTTTAAATTATTAAAAAATATATATATACACTTAGAGATTGGGATCTTGCTCTGTTGCCCAAGCTGGAGTGCAGTGGTGACAAAGCTCACTGCAGCCTTAAACTCCTTGGCTCAAGGGATCCTCCCACTTCAGCCCCCCGAGGAGCTGGGATTACAGGCAGAAACCATTCTGCCAGGCTTATTATATAGGTTCCTTTAGCTGGCAGCACATTCAAGTGATAATTTATCATGAACCATATAGAAGATCACATCTGCTCCAGAGGGATTCCCCCAGCAGGCATAACTTTTCTTCAGAGAGAGAAAACCTCCACATCTGCTTTAGGTGGGAAGAGGTGTGTGATTACGGTCCTGTCTCTTTCAGATCGGCGCCTACTTCGGGGCCTCCCTCTGCTCCGTGGACGTGGACAGCAACGGCAGCACCGACCTGGTCCTCATCGGGGCCCCCCATTACTACGAGCAGACCCGAGGGGGCCAGGTGTCCGTGTGCCCCTTGCCCAGGGGGGTGAGTGGCAATGGGACCTGGGCTGGGTGGGGCCCGGTGTGGGTGGAGGGGTCGCCTGGGTTGGGGCCTGATACTGTTTGTGTTTAGCAGAGGGCTCGGTGGCAGTGTGATGCTGTTCTCTACGGGGAGCAGGGCCAACCCTGGGGCCGCTTTGGGGCAGCCCTAACAGTGCTGGGGGACGTAAATGGGGACAAGCTGACGGACGTGGCCATTGGGGCCCCAGGAGAGGAGGACAACCGGGGTGCTGTTTACCTGTTTCACGGAACCTCAGGATCTGGCATCAGCCCCTCCCATAGCCAGGTGAGACCTGGTCACTGTCCTTGTCATGACAGTAGCCTCTTTGTTGATCTTTCTCCTAATTCAGTGTGCCCACAGCTGCCAGATAAGTTCTCACAGTACTCCTTTCAGAACCTTCAAAAATAATAACATGTGGCTGGGCCTGGTGGCTGACGCCTGTAATCCCAGCACTTTGGAAGGCTGAGTTGGGAGGATTGTTTAAGCCCAGGAGCTCAAGACCAGTCAGGGCAACATGGTGAGAACCCATCTCTCCAAAAAAAAAAAAAAAAAAAAAAAATTAGCCAGGTGTGGTGGCATACACCCATGGTCCCAGCTACTCTGGAGGCTGAGGCCGGAGGATTACTTGAGCCTGGGAGGTTGAGGCTGCAGTGAGTCCTGGTCACACCACTGTACTCCAGCAGCCAGAGTGACAGAGTCAGACTTGCACATGCATGCGTGCACGTGCACACACACACACACATTCACAGAAATCTCAAAGACTCTTAGTTCCAGATTGATTATTTCTACAGCAATAGGAGGTGCATGATAGCCTCATCACCCCCACTTTACAGATGAGTAGATCAAGGCCCAGCGATGGCAAATGGCAAGCTAGCAGTATTGGGATGCAGGCATTCCTTTCTTCTGAATCTCGGTCCTGGTAAGGTGACCAAGAGCTCTAGTTTGCTTAACTCTGTCCCAGATTTAGTACTGAAATCCCACATCCTGGGAAACCTATGCGGTTGGCCACCTTACGGGATTGCACACTTCACAGATGTGGAATTGTGCAGTCACACGTGCCCCTCTCTCAGAATCGCCCTGTGCTTGGCTTAATGCTCTGCTATTGCCATCTTCAATTCTTAGTAATTTTTCAACAAGGGGTCCTACGTTTTTTTGCATTGGGTCTTGCAAAGCATGGAGCCCATCCTGATGACTTGTCACCCTATATTCTGGACCTGACAACTGTTTTGCTCTGTAAGTTGGCTTTCTGTCTCCTGCCAGGTGGAGCCCACTGTCTGGAGGGACCCTTACAGTCTGGTTCCATCTTCCCTGTTCATATTCTTTCCCACCATAGCCACCTGAGACCATCTAGTTTTCTGGCCTCTGGTCTCTGGGTTTTTGCTAGCCTTACATTTTTCTTTCTTTATGTTTAAAAATTTTTTTATTGTGGTAAGGGCACTTAACATGAGACCTATCCTCTTAACAGATTTTAAAATGTACAATGTAATACTGTCATCTATTGGTGCAATGTTGTACAGCAGACCTCTTGAACTTCATCTTGCATATTGAAAATGTATACCCATTGATTAGCAACTCCTCATTGTTCTCTAGCCTCTGGCAGCCACCATTATATTCTTTGCTTCAATGAGTTTGGCTGTTTTATTTTTTTTTAGTTTTTGAGACAAAAGTTTCAGTCTGTCGCCCAGGCTGGAGTGCAGTGGCACAATCTCGGCTCACTGCAACCTTACCTCCTGGGTTCAAGCGATTCTCCTCTCTCAGCCTCCTGAGTAGCTGGGATTACAAGCATGCACCACCATGCCTGGCTAATTTTTGTATTTTTTGTAGAGACTGGGTTTTGCCATGTTGTCCAGGCTGGTCTTGAGCTCCCGGACTCAAGTGATCCACCTGCCTTGGCCTCCCAAAGTGCTGGGATTACAGGTGTGAGCCACCGCACCCTGCCAGTTTGGCTATTTTAGATAACTCATATAAGTGAAACCACGCCGTATTCATCCTTTGGTGACTGGCTTATTTCACTTAGAATAACGTCCTCCAGGTTCATCCATGTTGTCACAAATGAAAGAATATCTTTCTTCTTTTTCTTCTCCTCCTCCTCCTCTTCCTCCTCCTCCTCCTCCGCCTCCCCCTCCTCCTCCTCTTCCTCCTCCTCCCCCTCCTCCCCCTCCTCGTCGTCCTCCTCTCCTCCTCCTCCTCCTCCTCCTTCTTCTTTTTTGACAAAGTCTTGTTCTGTCACACAGGCTGGAGTGCAGTGGTGCAAACACGGCTCCTGGAAGCCTCAACCTCCTGGGCTCAAGCGACCCTCCCACCTCAGTCTCCTGAGTAGCTGGGACTGTGGGCCCATTCCACCATGCCTGTCTAATTTATTTTTATTTTTTGTAGAGATGGGGTCTCCCTATGTTGCCCAGGCTGATGGCTTTCTTTTTTAAGGCTGAATAATATCCCACTGTATGTATATACCACAATTAAAAAAATCCATCATTTCCTGGTAGAGAGGGAAGGAAAAATCCCTCATCTGTTGATAGGCATTTAGGTTGTTTTCACATCCTGGCTATTGTGAATAGTGCTGCAATGAACATGGGCACGTTCATATCTCTTTAAGATCATAATCCCCATTCCTCTGGTTAAATAACCAGAAGTGGGATTATTAAATCATATGGTAGTTCTATTTCTAATTTTTTGAGGAACTTCCATACGTTTTCCCTAGGAGCTGCACCATTTTGCAGTCTCGCCAACAGTGTGCAAAGGTTCTGATTTTTCCATGTGTTTACCAACACTTGTCTTTTGTTTTTTTGGCAATAGCCAGGCTAGCAGGTGTGCAAGTGAAATTTCACTGTGGCTTTGATTTGCATTTCCCTGATGATTAGTGATGTTGAGCATCTTTTCATGTATGTATTGGGCATTTTTGTGTCTGAAAAAAATGTCTCTTCAAGCCCTTAAGCTTATTTTTAAATCAAGTTATTAAGGCCGGGAGCAGCGGCTCATGCCTGTAATCCCAGCACATTGGGAAGCCGAGGCGGGTGTATCACCTGAGGTCAGGAGTTCAAGACCAGCCTGGCCAACAGGGTAAAACTTCATCTCTACTAAAAATACAAAAATTAGCCGGGCTGTGGTGGTGCATGCCTGTAATCCCAGCTATTCCAGAGGCTGAGATGGGAGAATCGCTTGAACCCGGGAGGTGGAGGTTGCAGTGAGCCGAGATTGTGCCACTGCACTCCAGCCTGGGAGACAGAGGGAGACCTTGTCTCAAAAAAAGAGAAAAGTTATTAGATTTTTTGCTATTGAGTTGTATGAGTTCACTATATATTTTGGAGATTAACCCCTTATCAGATACATGGTTTGCAAATACTCTCTCCCATTCCATAGGTTATATTTTACTCTGCTTATTCTTGCCTTTGCTGTGTAGAAGTCTCACTTGGTTTGATGCAGTCAGGCTTAGTTATTTTTGTCGTCTGTACTTTTGGTGTCATAGCCATAAACTCATTGCTCAAACCACCATCTTTCCAGCTTCTCCCCTGAGTTTTATTCTAGATGTTTTACTTTTTCATTGAAGTCTTTAATTCATTTTGAATTGATTTTTGTGTATGGTATATGAGTCAAGTTGCATTCTCCTGCATTTGTATATCCAGTTTCCCAATACCATTTGTCTAAGAGAGTATCCTTTACCCATTGTGTATTCTTGGCATTATTTAGGAGAATCAGTTGGACCCATATGGATGGGTTTATTTCTGGGCTCTGTATTCTGTTCCATTTGTCTATATGTCTATCTTTATGCTAGTACCATACTATTTTAAGTACTATAACTTTGTCATTTATATATATAATCCTGCATTTTATTAGAGTCAAATAACATTAAAAGAAAGACACTTATATTCGCTTTAGAAAACCCATTGATGTTGATGAATTTGGCACATACTTATAAAAGCAAGGCTTATTAGCTCATATATTTGGAACTAAAAAGTATTTGAAGTTGATCACAGCATAATGAATCCTCAATTTCCAGAGTACTAGAGATGATTATATACAAAAATCCAGTGAAACTTATTTTACTAATTTACCAGTTCTATATCACTCCTAAATTTCCCTAAAAATATGGATTTATAAAAGGTAGTATTCTATAATTCACAAATATGAAGAGCTTTATTATAATTTGAGTATGAACTGTGTATCACCCATATCATGGCTTCAGAAAACTATTGCTTTTCTTACTAACTTATTTAAGGTTTCACTACATGAGTCAGTATGCAGAACTCACTATGTTGTAACTACGATCTGTAATGATAAAAATATAGAACCTCTTTGACTTTAATCTAAAAAAGTCACCTTATCATAAAACAGTGTTAACATAATCAAAAATTAACCCTGACAAAAAAAAACCCACTTATTTTGGCTTTTAAAAATAGCTCATGCTCATGGTTCTTTCAAAGTGGTGTTGTAGCTACCGTCTTTTCTAACAGAGGAATATTTTCATCATAGCAACTATTTCTGAGCCAAAAATAAACCACACTAAAAACAGAAGAAAATTCTCAGTGTAGAAAGGAAAAGGCTCATCTGTTGTGCAATAGCAGGCATCGGGCTCTGTGAGTGCCTTTCAGACATCCTCAATCAACCCAACTAGAGGCACTATTGAGTTTATCCAGTAAGAGCACTGTGCAATCTAGTGCTGTGAGGGCATTACTTAATTAGCCAAAGGAAGAACAATCTTTTTTTCTTTCTTTTCTTTTCTTTTTTCTTTTCTTTTCTTTTTTCTTTCTTTCTTTCTTTCTTCTTTCTTTCTTTCTTTCTTTCTTCCTTCCTTTCTTTCTTTCTTTCTTTCTTTCTTTTTTCTTTCCTTCTTTCTTTCTTTCTTTTTTTTCTTTCTCTTTCTCTTTTGTTTTTGTTTTTGTTTTGAGACGGAGTCTCGTGCTGTTGCCCAGGATGGAGTGCAGTGGAGTGAGCTCGGCTCACTGCAACCTCCGCATCCCAGGTTCAAGCTATTCTCTTGCCTCAGCCTGCCGAGTAGCTGAGATGACAGGCGCCCGCCACTACGCCTGGCTAATATTTTTCTCTTTTTAGGAGAGACGGGGTTTCACCATGTTGGCCAGGCTGGTCTCGAACACCTGACCTTGTGATTCACCTGCCTCAGCCTCCCAAAGTGCTGGGATTACAGGCGTGAGCCACCGCGCCCAGCTTTTTCTTTCTCTTTCTTTCTTCTTTCTTTCTCTCTCTCTCTTTCCCTCCCTCTTTCTTTCTTTCTCTCTCTCTCTTTCCCTCCCTCTTTCTTTCTTTCTTTCTTTCTTTCTTTCTTTCTTTCTTTCTTTCTTTCTTTCTTTCTTTCTTTCTTTCTTTCTTTCTTTTTCTTTCTCTCTTTCTTTCTCTCTGTTTCTTTCTCTCTCTTTTTATTTTTTTGAGACAAGGTCTCCCTCTGTTGCCCAGGCTGGAGTGCAGTGACGAGATCATGGCTCACTGCAGTCTTGACACCCAGGCTCAAGCAATTCTTCCTTCTCAGCTGCCCAAGTAGCTGAGACTATAGGTGTGCACCCCCACGCTTGGCTAATTTTTCAATTTTTTGTAGAGATGAAGTCTCACTATGTTGGCCAGGCTGGTCTTCTGGCCTCAAGCCATCCTCCTGCCTTGGCCTCTCAAAGTGTTAGGATTATAGATGTGAGCCACTGCACCCAGCCAAAGCAGTCTTCAAGTTATGTACCAGTAATTTATATAGCTTTTCTAAAATTTAAGAAAGTACTGAATGGACTATAGTTATTATCTAAAATTTAAGCAAGTACTGAGTGGACTATAGTCATTATATGATTTTTTAAAAAATTTCAGTAACTTTTGGGGTACAAGTGCTTTTTGGTTACATGAATGAATTCTATAGTGGTGAATTCTGAGATTTTAGTGCACCTGTCATCAAAGCAGCGTACACTGTACCAAATATATAGTCTTTTGTCTCTTACCTCCTCCCAGACTCCCCTTCCCCAAGTCCTCAAAGTCCGTTACATCACTCTTGTCTTTGCATCCTTATAGTTTAGCTCCCACTTATAAATGAAAACATATATTTAGTTTTCCATTCCTGTGTTACTTCAGTAATGGCCTCCAGTTCTATCCAAGTTGCTGCAAAATACATTATTTGTTCCTTTTTATGGCTGGGTAGTACTCTGTGTATATATACACATATACACACACACATATATATAACTTTTTAAAATCCACTCATTGGTCGACGGGTACCACAGTTTGGTTCCATATCTTTGCAATTGTGAATTGTGCTGCTATAAACATGCATGTTCATGTATCTTTTTCATATAATGACTTCTTTTCCTTTGGGTAGATACCCAGTAGTGGGATTACTGAATCAAATGGTAGATCTACTATTAGTTATTTAAGGAATCTCCATACTGTTTTCCATAGAGGTTGTGCTAATTTACATTCCCACCAGCAGTGTAAAAGTGTCCCCTTTTCATCACATCCATGCCAGATCTATTGTTTTTTGACTTTTTAGTTATGGCCATTCTTGCAGGAGTAAGGTGGTATTTTATTGTGGTTTTAATTTGCATTTCCTTGATGATTAGTGATGTTGAGCATTTTTTTCATATGTTTATCGGCCATTTGTATATCTTCTTTTGAGAATTGTCTATTCATATCCTTTGCCTACTTTTTGATGGGATTATTTGTTTTTTCCTTGCTGATTTGTTTGAGTTCCTTATAGTTTCTGGATAGTAGTCCTTTGTCAGATGCATAGTTGGCAAATATTTTCTTGCATTCTGTGGGTTTTCTGTTTGCTCTGATGATTATTTCTTTTGCTGTGCAGAAGCTTTTTAGTTTAATTAGGTCCCATTTATTGGTTTTGTTGCATTTGCTTTTGGGGTCTTGGTCATGAATTCTTTGCCTAGGCCAATGTCCAGAAGAGTTTTTCCAATGTTATCTTGTAGAATTGTTATGGTTTCAGGTCTTAGATTTCAGTCTTTGATCCATCTTGAGTTGATTTTTGTATAAGTTGAGAGAAGAAGATCCAGTTTCATTCTTCTACATGTGATTTGCCTGTTTTCCCAGCGCCATTTACTGAATAGGGTGTCCTTTTCCCAATTTATGTTTTTGTATGCTTTGTAAAAGATCAGTTGGCTGTAAGTATTTGGTTTTATTTCTGGGTTCTTTGTTTTGTTCCATTGGTCTAAGTGCCTATTTTTATACCAGTACCATGCTGTTTTGGTAACTATAGCCTTGTAGTATAATTTGAAGTCTGGTACTGTGATGCCTCCAGATTTGTTCTTTTTGCTTAGTATTGCTTTGGCTATTTGGGCTCTTTTTTTTTGTTCCATATGAGTTTTAGGATTGTTTTATTCTAGTTATGTGAAAAATGATGTTGGTATTTTGATGGGAATTGCATTAAATCTGTAGATTGGGCAGTATGGTCATTTTCACAATATTGATTCTTCCTATCCATGAGCATGGGATATATTTCCATTTGTTTGTGTCATCTATAATTTATTTCAGCAGTGTTTTGTAGTTTTCCTTGTAGGGAGCTTCACCTCCTTGGTTAACTATATTCCTAGGCATTTTATTTTATTTTTGTAGCTGTTATAAAAGGGGTTGAGTTCTTGATTTGATTCTCAGCTTTGTCATTGTTGGTGTATAGCAGTGCTACTGATTTGCATACATTGATTTTGTAACCTGAGACTACTGAAATTGTTTATCAGATCTAGGAATCTTTTGGATGAGCCTTTAGCATTTTCTAGGTAAATGATCATATCATTGGCAAACAGCTCTAATTTGACTTCCTCTTTTCCAATTTGGACCCCTTTATTTCTTTCTCTTGACTGATTTGATTTGGCTGGGACTTTCAGTACTGTGTTGAATAGAAGTGCTGAAAGTGGGCATTCTTGTCTTGTTCCAGTTCTTAGTGAGAATGCTTTCAACTTTTCCCCCTTCAATATGAAGTTGGCTGTGCTTTTGTCAGATAATGGCTTTTATTATTTTGAGATAAGTCCCTTCTATGTCTAATTTATTGAAAGCCTTTTTTTAATCATAAAGGGATGCTGGATTTTATCAAATGCTTGTTCTGCATCTATTGAGATGATTATATAGTTTTCTTCTTTAATTCTGTTTATGTGATGTATCACATTTATTGACTTGCATATATTAAACCATTCCTGCGTCCTTGGGATGAAACAGACTTGATCATGATGTATTATCTTTTTGATGTACTGTTGGATTTGGTTAGCTAGTATTTTGTTAAGGATTTTTGCTTCTATATTCATCAGGGATATTGTTCTGTAGTTTTCTTTTTTTTGTTATATCCTTTTCTGGTTTTGATATTAGTGTGATACTGGCTTTATAGAATGATTTAGGGAGGATTCCCTCTTTCTCTATCTTTTGGAATAGTATCATATCATTGGTACCAATTCTTTGAATGTCTGTTAAAATTCAGCTGTGAAACCTTCTGGTCCTGGGCTCTTTCTGATTTGATCTCGCTGCTTGTTATTGGTCTGTTCTTGGTATCTATTTCTTGCTATAGCTATTATATGATTAATCCAAGGTACCGAAAAGCATTTTGAATGATTTAGCAGGCCATCCTTTTTCCTTGTGTCCTAATGAGGAATTTTTTTGACGCTTCATAATTCTCTTAACAAGGAATTTTAGCTCCTCCTCCATCATTTTGTAAAATAACGATGATAATTTAAAACTTCCATCAACATATTAAATTTTCAAAATTAAACAACTAAAAGCTACAAAAATCTCAAAGTTTGAGTTTTAAACTGAATATTTGAAGCTAATATAGAAATTTTTGATAAGAATATCAGTGCAGACATATAACACTCAAACCTTCACAGCTAATGGCAATATCTATTA
The DNA here is from genome assembly GCF_000001405.40 of Homo sapiens. Classification (NCBI taxonomy): domain Eukaryota; kingdom Metazoa; phylum Chordata; class Mammalia; order Primates; family Hominidae; genus Homo; species Homo sapiens. Next base: position 31,306,493 of record NC_000016.10, read on the forward strand.
GCAATGCAAGGTACTCTTTTTTTTTTTTTTTCTTTTTGAGATGGAGAATTTTGCCCTGTTGCCCACACTGGAGTACAGTGGCATGATCTTGGCTTACTGCAACCTCTGCCTCCTGGGCAAGAGATTCTTTTGCCTCAGCCTCCTGAGTAGCTGGGATTACAGGAGTGCGCCACCATGCCCAGCTAATTTTTGTATTTTTAGTAGAGATTGGGTTTCACCATGTTGGCCAGTCTGGTCTCGAACTACTGACCTTGTGATCTGCCCGTCTCAGCATCCCAAAGTGCTGGGATTACAGGCATGAGCCACCATGTCTGGCCGCAAAGTACTCTTAATGACTTTTAAATCATGTTTAACAGAGAGTTTACACAAGTTAGTCCAATGTAGTTAGTATTAGTGTCCAATAATATATGAACACCCTTCAAGACAATTGCTGCTACATTTTCAATATAATTATTAATTGTTGTCTGAAAAACACACATAAACGCAAGTGAGACTAAAAGTTGTGTCACAAAAGAAAAAAAGAAAAGACCAGTACCATGCTGTTTTGGTTACTGTAGCCTGGTAGTATGGTTTGAAGTCAGGTAGCGTGATGCCTCTAGCTTTGTTCTTTTGGCTTAGGATTGACTTGGCAATGCGGGCTCTTTTTTGGTTCCATATGAACTTTAAAGTAGTTTTTTCCAATTCTGTGAAGAAAGTCATTGGTAGCTTGATGGGGATGGCATTGAATCTATAAATTACCTTGGGCAGTATGGCCATTTTCACAATATTGATTCTTCCTACCCACGAGCATGGAATGTTCTTCCATTTGTTTGTATCCTCTTTTATTTCATTGAGCAGTGGTTTGTAGTTCTCCTTCAAGAGGTCCTTCACATCCCTTGTAAGTTGGATTCCTATATATTTTGTTCTCTTTGAAGCAATTGTGAATGGAAGTGCACTCATGATTTGGCTCTCTGTTTGTCTGTTACTGGTGTGTAAGAATGCTTGTGATTTTTGCACATTGATTTTGTATCCTGAGACTTTGCTGAAGTTGCTTATCAGCTTAAGGAGATTTTGGGCTGAGACGATGGGGTTTTCTAGATATACAGTCATGTCATCTGCAAACAGGGACAATTTGACTTCCTCTTTTCCTAATCGAATGCCCTTTATTCCCTTCTGCTGCCTGATTGCCCTGGCCAGAACTTCCAACACTATGTTGAATAGGAGTGGTGAGAGAGGGCATCCCTGTCTTGTGCCAGTTTTCAAAGGGAATGCTTCCAGTTTTTGTCCATTCAGTATGATATTGGCTGTGGGTTTGTCATAGATAGCTCTTATTATTTTGAGATATGTCCTATCAGTACCTAATTTATGGAGAGTTTTTAGCATGAAGGGTTGTTGAATTTTGTCAAAGGCCTTTTCTGCATCTATTGAGATAATCATGCGGTTTTCGTCTTTGGTTCTGTTTATATGCTGGATTACGTTTATTGATTTTCGTATGTTGAACCAGCCTTGCATCCCAGGGATGAAGCCCACTTGATCATGGTGGATAAGCTTTTTGATGTGTTGCTGGATTCGGTTTGCCAGTATTTTATTGAGGATTTTTGCATAAATGTTCATCAAGGATATTGGTCTAAAATTCTCTTTTTTTGTTGTGTGTCTGCCAGGCTTTGGTCTCAGGATGATGCTGGCCTTATAAAATGAGTTAGGGAGGATTCCCTCTTTTTCTATTGATTGGAAGAGTTTCAGAAGGAATGGTACCATCTCCTCCTTGTACCTCTGGTAGAATTCGGCTGTGAATCCATCTGGTCCTGGACTTTTTTTTGGTTGGTAAGCTATTAGTTATTGCCTCAATTTCAGAGTCTGTTATTGGTCTATTCAGAGATTCAGCTTCTTCCTGGTTTAGTCTTGGGAGAGTGTATGTGTCGAGGAATTTATCCATTTCTTCTAGATTTTCTAGTTTATTTGCGTAGAGGTGTTTGTAGTATCCTCTGATGGTAGTTTGTATTTCTGTGAGATAGGTGGTGATATCCCCTTTGTCATTTTTGTATTGCATCTATTTGATTCTTCTCTCTTTTCTTCTTTATTAGTCTTGCTAGGGCTCTATCAATTTTGCTGATCTTTTCAAAAAAACCAGCTCCTGGATTCACTAATTTTTTGAAGGGTTTTTTGTGTCTCTATTTCCTTCAGTTCTGCTCTAATCTTAGTTATTTCTTGCCTTCTGCTAGCTTTTGAATGTGTTTGCTCTTGCTTCTCTAGTTCTTTTAATTGCGATGTTAGGGTGTCAATTTTAGATCTTTCCTGCTTTCTCTTATGGGCATTTAGTGCTATAAATTTCCCTCTACACACTACTTTGAATGTGTCCCAGAGATTTTGGTATGTTGTGTCTTTGTTCTCATTGGTTTCAAAGAACATCTTTATTTCTGCCTTCATTTTGTTATGTACCCAGTAGTCCTTCAGGAGCAGGTTGTTCAGTTTCCATGTAGTTGAGCGGTTTTGAGTGAGTTTCTTCACCCTGAGTTCTAGTTTGATTGCACTGTGGTCCGAGAGACAGTTTGTTATAATTTCTGTTCTTTTACATTTGCTGAGGAGTGCTTTACTTCCAACTATGTGGTCAGTTTTGGAATAGGTGTGGTGTGGTGTTGAAAAGAATGTATATTCTGTTGATTTGGGGTGGAGAGTTTTGTAGATGTCTATTAGGTCCGCTTGGTGCAGAGCTGAGTTCAATTCCTGGATATCCTTGTTAACTTTCTGTCTCGTTGATCTGTCTAATGTTGACAGTGGGGTGTTAAAGTCTCCCATTATTATTGTGTGGGAGTCTAAGTCTCTTTGTAGGTCACTAAGGACTTGCTTTATGAATCTGGGTGCTCCTGTATTGGGTGCATATATATTTAGGATAGTTAGTTCTTCTTGTTGAATTGATCCCTTTACCATTATGTAATGGCCTTCTTTGTCTCTTTTGATCTTTGTTGGTTTAAAGACTGTTTTACCCGAGACTAGGATTGCAACCCCTGCCTTTTTTTGTTTTCCATTTGCTTGGTAGATCTTCCTCCATCCCTTTATTTTGAGCCTATGTGTGTCTCTGCACTTGAGATGGGTTTCCTGAATACAGCACACTGATGGGTCTTGACTCTTTATCCAATTTGCCAGTCTGTGCCTTTTAATTGGAACATTAAGCCCATTTACATTTAAGGTTAGTATTTTTATGTGTGAATTAGATCCTGTCATTATGATGTTAGCTGGTTATTTTGCTCGTTAGTTGATGCAGTTTCTTCTTAGCCTTGATGGTCTTTACAGTTTGGCATGTTTTTGCAGTGGCTGGTACCGGCTGTTCCTTTCCATGTTTAGTGCTTCCTTCAGGAGCTCTTTTAGGGCAGGCCTGGTGGTGACAAAATCTCTCAGCATTTGTTTGTCTGTAAAGTATTTTATTTCTTCTTCACTTATGAAGCTTAGTTTGGCTGGATATGAAATTCTGGGTTGAAAATTCTTTCCTTTAAGAATGTTGAATATTGGCCCCCACTCTCTTCTGGCTTGTAGAGTTTCTGCTGAGAGAGAAAGTTCGGGTTACCCACAAAGGGAAGCCCATCAGACTAGATCAGCTGCCAGTCTGATGGGCTTCCCTTTGTGGGTAACCCAACCTTTCTCTCTGGCTGCCCTTAACATTTTTTCCTTCATTTCAACTTTGGTGAATCTGACAATTATGTGTTTTGGAGTTGCTCTTCTCGAGGAGTATCTTTGTGGCGTTCTCTGTATTTCCTGAATTTGAATGTTGGCCTGCCTTGCTAGATTGGGGAAGTTCTCCTGGATAATATCCTGCAGAGTGTTTTCCAACTTGATTCCATTCTCCCCGTCACTTTCAGGTACACCAATGAGATGTAGATTTGGTCTTTTCACATAGTCCCATATTTCTTGGAGGCTTTGTTCATTTCTTTTTATTCTTTTTTCTCTAAACTTCTCTTCACGCTTCATTTCATTCATTTCGTCTTCCATCGCTGATACCCTTTCTTCCAGTTGATCGCGTCAGTTACTGAGGCTTGTGCATTCGTCACGTAGTTCTCGTGCCGTGGTTTTCAGCTCCATCAGGTCCTTTAAGGACTTCTCCGCATTGATTATTCTAGTTATCCATTCGTCTAATTTTTTTTCAAAGTTTTTAACTTCTTTGCCATTGGTTTGAACTTCCTCCTTTAGCTCAGAGTAGTTTGATCTTCTGAAGCCTTCCTCTCTCAACTCGTCAAAGTGATTCTCCGTCCAGCTTTGTTCCGTTGCTGGTGAGGAGCTGCGTTCCTTTGTAGGAGGAGAGGCGCTCTGATTTTTAGAGTTTCCGGTTTTTCTGCTCTGTTTTTTCCCCATCTTTGTGGTTTTATCTACCTTTGGTCTTTGATGATGGTGACGTACAGATGGGTTTTTGGTGTGGATGTCCTTTCTGTTGTTAGTTTTCCTTCTAACAGTCAGGACCTTCAGCTGCTGGAGATATAGACCAATGGAACAGAACTGAGCACTCAGAAATAGTGCCGCATATCTACAACTATCTGATCTTTGACAAACCTGACAAAAAGAAGAAATGGGGAAAGGATTCCCTATTTAATAAATGGTGCTGGGAAAACTGGCTGGCCATATGTAGAAAGCTGAAACTGGATCCCTTCCTTACACCGTATACAAAAATTAATTCAAGATGGATTAAAGACTTACATGTTAGTCCTAAAACCATAAAAACCCTAGAAGAAAACCTAGGCAATACCATTGAGGACATAGGCATGGGCAAGGACTTCATGTCTAAAACATCGAAAGCAATGGCAACAAAAGCCAAAATTGACAAATGGGATCTAATTAAACTAAAGAGCTGCTGCACAGCAAAAGAAACTACCATCAGAGTGAACAGGCAACCTACTGAATGGGAGAAAATTTTTGCAACCTACTCATCTGACAAAGGGGTAATATCCAGAATCTACAATGAACTCAAACAAATTTACAAGAAAAAAACAAACAACCCCATCAAAAAGTGGGTGAAGGATATGAACAGACACTTCTCAAAAGAAGACATTTATGCAGCCAAAAGACACATGAAAAAATGCTCATCATTACTGGCCATCAGAGAAATGCAAATCAAAACCACAATGAGATACCATCTCACACCAGTTAGAATGGCAATCATTAAAAAGTCAGGAAACAGCAGGTGTTGGAGAGGATGTGGAGAAATAGGAACACTTTTACACTGTTGGTGGGACTGTAAACTAGTTCAACCATTGTGGAAGTCAGTGTGGTGATTCCTCAGGGATCTAGAACTGGAAATACCATCTGACCCAGCCATCCCATTACTGGGTATATACCCAAAGGATTATACATCATGCTGCTATAAAGGCACATGCATACAAGTGTTTATTGCGGCACTATTCACAATAGCAAAGACTTGGAACCAACCCAAATGTTCAACAATGATAGACTGGATTAAGAAAGTGTGGCACATATACACCATGGAACACTACGCAGCCATAAAAAAGGATGAGTTCATGTCCTTTGTAGGGACATGGATGAAGCTGGAAACCATCATTCTCAGCAAACTATCGCAAGGACAAAAAACCAAACACTGCATGTTCTCACTCATAGGTGGGAATTGAACAATGAGAACACATGGACACAGGAAGGGGAACATCACACACCAGGGACTGTTGTGGGGTGGGGGGAGGGGGGAGGGATAGCATTAGGAGATATACCTAATGCTAAATGACGAGTTAATGGGTGCAGCACACCAACATGGCACATGTATACATATGTAACAAACCTGCACGTTGTGCATGTGTACCCTAAAACTTAAAGTATTATAATAATAAAAAAGAAAAAGAAAAGAAATCCAATGAATCAATTAATGCTATCAACAAAGAACATGCAAGAATGTAACATTACATGTAATTTTTGTTTTCAAAAAAGACACTAAAATGCCACTGCATTAAAATGTATTTATTATTTATTATTATTATTTTTGAGACAGGGTCTTGGTCTGTCATGCAGGCTGGAGTGAAGTGGTGCAATCATGGCTCACTGCAGCCTTGACCTCCCAGGCTCATGTGATCCGCCTGCCTCAGCCTCCTAAGTGTCTTTGACTGCAGGTGTATGCCACCATACCTGGCTAATATTTAAATTTCTTTTGCAGTGACAGGGTCTGTCTATGTTTCCCAGGCTGGTCTCCAACTCCTGGGCTCAAGTGATCTTCCCACCTTGGCCTCCCAAAGTGCTGGGACTACTGGTGTGAGCCACTGCACTCAGCCGGACTATAATTTATTCAGAACATCTTTAGTGTTCATTCCCAGAGATCTTGATCTGCTCAGTAATGCTTTCACAAGATCGATTATAGCCATCTTTTGCAGTGAATGCTTAGGCTGGTCCGTCCTCCTGTGGTAGTAGGGAGCAGTCTTTTTTTTTTTTTTTTTAAATCTTCATGTTTTTATTTATTTTTTCTTTTTTAAATTACACATTGGGCCAGGCACAGTGGCTCATGCCTGTAATCCCAGCACTTTGGGAGGCCGAGGCGGGCGGATCACGAGGTCAGGAGTTCAAGACCAGCCTTGCCAACATGGTGAAACCCCATCTCTACTAAAAATACAAAAATTAGCTGGGCTTGGTGGCGTGTGCCTGTAATCCCAGCTACTTGGGAGGCTGAGGCAGGAGAATTGCTTGAACCCAGGAGGCGGAGGTTGCAGTGAGCCAAGACTGCACCACTGCACGCCAGCCTGGCAACAGAGCGAGACTCCGTCTCAAAAAAAAAAATTATACGTTAAGTTCTGTGATACATGTGCAGAACATGTAGGTTTGTTACCTAGGTATACAAGTGCCATGGTGGTTTGCTGCACCCATCAACCCGTTGTCTAGGTTTTAAGCCTCACATGCATTAGGTATTTGTCCTAATGCTCTCCCTCCCCCTTGATCCCCACCCCTCAACAGGCTCCAGTGATGTTCCCCTCCCTGTGTCCATGTATTCTCATTGTTCAACTCCCACTTATGAGTGAGAGTATGTGGTGTTTGCTTTCCTGTTCCTGTGTTAGTTTGCTGAGAATGATGGTTTCCAGTTTCATCTATGTCCCTGCAAAGGACATGAACTCATTCTCTTTTATGGCTGCATAGTATTCCATGGTGTATATGTACCACATTTTCTTTATACAGTTTATCATTGATGGGCATTTAGGTTGGTTCCAAGTCTTTGCTATTGTAAATAGTGCTTCAGTAAAAATACATGTGCATGTGTCTTTATAGTAGAATGATTTATAATCCTTTGGGTATATACCCAGTAATGGGATTGCTGGGTCAAATGGTATTTCTGGTTTTAGATCCTTGAGGAATCGCCACACTGTCTTCTACAATGGTTGAACTGATTTACACTCCCACTAACAGTGTAAAAGCATTCTTATTTCTCCACATCCTCTCCAGCATCTGTTGTTTCCTGACTTTTTAATGATCATCATTTTAACTGGCATGAGATGGTATCTCATTGTGGTTTTGATTTGCATTTCTCTAATGACCAGTGATGAGCTTTTTTTTTTCATATGTTTGTTGGCCACATAAATGTCTTCTTTTGAGAAGTATCTGTTCATATCCTTTGCCCATTTTTTGATGGGGTTGTTTGTTTTTTTCTTGTAAATTTGTTTATGTTCCTTGTAGATTCTGGATATTAGACCTTTGTCAGATGGATAGATTGCAAAAATATTCTCTCATTCTGTAGGCTGCCTGTTCACTCTGATGATAGTTTCTTTTGCTGTGCAGAAGCTCTTTAGTTTAATTAGATCTCATTTGTCAATTTTGGCTTTTGTTGCAATTGCTTTTGGTGTTTTAGTAAGGAAGATTTTGCCCATGCCTATGCCCTGAATGGTACTGCCTAGGTTTTATTCTAGGGTTTTTATGGTTGTAAATTTTACATTTAAGTCTTTAATCCATCTTAAGTTAATTTTTATATAAGGTGTAAGGAAGGGATCTAGTTTCAGTTTTTTGCATATGGCTAGCCAGTTTTCCCAGAAGCATTTATTAAATAGGGAATCCTTTCCCCATTTCCTGCTTTTGTCAGGTTTGTTGAAGATCAGATGGTTGTAGATGTGTGGTGATATTTCTGAGGCCTCTGTTCTGTTTCATTTGTCTATATATCTGTTTTGGTATCAGTACCATGCTGTTTTGGTTACTGTAGCCTTGTAGTATAGTTTGAAGTCAGGTAGTGTGATGCTTCCAGCTTTGTTGTTTTGCTTAGGATTGTCTTGGCTATATGGGCTCTTTTTTGGCTGCATATGAAATTTAAAGTAGTTTTCACAAGATCAGCTACAGCCAACTTTTACAGCAAACGGTTAGGCTGTTCCTCCTGTGGTAGTAGGAGGCAGGGTTTTTTTTTTTTTTTTTTTGAGATGGAGTCTCAGTCTGTCACCCAGGCTGGAGTACAGTAGCGTGAACTGCAACCTCTGCCTCCAGGTTCAGGTGATTCTCCTGCCTCAGCCTCCTGAGTAGCTGGGATTACAGGTGCCCACCACCACACCCAGCTAATTTTTGTATTTTTAGTAGAGATGGCATTTCACCATGTTGGCCAGGCTGGTCTCAAACTCCTGATCTCAAGTGATTCACCTGCCTCAGCCTCCCAAAGTGCTGGGATTACAGGTGTGAGTCACCGAACCCGGCCCTCTTTGCCCATTTTTAAATTGGGTTATTTATTTTCTTACTATTGAGTTCTTTATGTGTTATGGATATTAACCATTTATCAGTTGTGTGGTTTGCAAATATTTTCCCCCAGTCTGTAGGTTGTCTCTTCACTCTGTTAATTATTCCTTTATTGTGCAGAAGCTTTTTAGTTTGATGCAATTCCATTTGTCTGTTTTTGTTTTTGTTGCTTGTGCTTTCAGGATCATATAAAAAAATCATTGCCCAGACCAATGTCATGAAGCTTTCCCTCTACGTTTCCTTCTAATAGTTTATAGTGTTAGATCTTACATTTAAGCCTTTAACTCACTTTTTAATTTTTTTATTTTTTAATTTAATTTTATTTTAGATGGAGTCTCTCTCTATTGCCCAGGCTGGAGTGCAGTGGCACGATCTCAGCTCACTGCAACCTCCACCTCCCGGGTCCCAGCGATTCTCCTGCCTCAGCCTCCCAAGTAGCTGGGATTACAGGCCTCCGCCACCATGCCTGGCTACTTTTTTGTATATTTAATAGAGACGGGGTTTCACCATGTTGGCCAGGCTGGTCTTGAACTCCTGATCTAAGGTAATCCACCCGCCTCAGTCTCCTAAAGTGCTGGGATTACAGGCGTGAGCCACTGCACCCGGCCCAGCACTTTTGATTTTTGTATTTGGTTTGAGATAAAGGCTCAGTTTCATTCTTTTGCCTGTGGATATCCAGTGTTCTTAACACCATTTGTTAAAAAGACTGTCCTTTCCCCATTGTATGCCCTTGGCACCTTTGTTGAAAATTAGTTGATTGTTGGCCGGGCGCGGTGGCTCATGCCTGTAATCTCAGCACTTTGGAAGGCTGAGGCGGGTGGATCATGAGGTCAGGAAATCGAGACCGTCATGGCTAACAAGGTGAAACCCCGTCTCTACTAAAAATACAAAAAATTAGCCGGGCGCGGTGGCGGGCGCCTGTAGTCCCAGCTACTCGGGAGGCTGAGGCAGGAGAATGGCGTGAACCCGGGAAGCAGAGCTTGCAGTGAGTCGAGATTGCGCCACTGCAGTCCGCAGTCCGGCCTGGGCGACAGAGCGAGACTCCGTCTCAAAAAAAAAAAAAAAAAAAAAAAAAAAAAAAAAAAAAATTAGCCAGGCATGGTGGTGGGCACCTGTAGTTCCAGCTACTCGGGAGGCTGAGGCAGGAGAATGGGGGAACCTGGGAGGAAGAGGTTGCAGTGAGCCTACATCATGCCACTGCACTCCAGCCTGGGTAACAGAGCAAGACTCCGTCTGGAAAAAAAAAAAAAAGAAAAGAAAATTAGTTGATTGTAAATGCATGGGTTCATTTCTGAGCTCTGTATTCTGTTCCATTGGTCAATGTCTCTGTTTTTATGTCAGTGTCATGCTGTTTTGCTGAGTATACCTTTGTGGTGTATTTTGATGTCAGGTAGTGTGATACCTCTACCTTTGTTGTTTATGCTCAAGATTGTCTTGGATATTTGAGGTCTTTTGTGACTTCATATTAATTTTAGTATTGTTTTTTCTATTTCTGTAAGAAATGCCATTGGGATTTTGGTAGGAATTACATTGACTCTATCGATCACTTTGAATAGTATGGACCTTTAAAAATATTCTTTCAATCCATAATATGGGATATCTTTCCATTGATTTTTGTCTTAACTTTCTTTCGTCAATGTTTTATAGTTTTAGTGTGCATATTTTTCACCTTCTTGGTTAAATTAACTTGTAAGCATTTTATTTTTTGATGCCATTGTAAATAGGATTAATTTCTTTTTCAGATAGTTTGTTGTTAGTGTATAGAAACAAATAATTTTTGTATGTTCATTTTGTATTCCATGACTTTACTAAATTTGTTTATTAAATTTGATAACTTTTTCGTAGAGTATTTATAACAAGTTTCTTATATATAAGATCATGTCAATTGCAAACAGGGACAATTTTTTTTTCTTTATTTCTAACTTGAATGCATTTCTTATCTTTTTCTTGCCCAATTGCTCTGGCTAGGACTTTCAGTACTGTGTTGAAATAGAAGTGGTGAGTGTGGGCATCCTTGCCTTGTTCCTAATTTTAGTGGTAAAATCAAATTTTCACCACTGGGTATGATGTTAACTAGACACTTTTTTTAATGTTCTTTATCATGTTGATGTAATTTCCCTGTATTTCTAGTTTGTTGAGGGTTTTTAATCATGAGTGGCTATTCCTGTGGCCTGAATGTTTGTGTCCTCCCCAGATTCATATGTTGAAGCCTAATTCCTTGTGTGATGGTATTTGTAGATGGGACCTTTGGAAGGTGTTTAGGTCATGAGAGTGTGGCCATCATTAATAGGATTAGTGCCCTTAGACAAAAGCAAAATGATGGTTGCCTATGAACCAGAAAATAGGCTCTCACCAGATATTGAATCTGCTTGCACCTTGATTTTGGATGTCACAAGTCTTCAGAACTATGAGAAATAAATTTCTATTGCTTATAACCCATCCAGTCTATGTTATTTGTTATACCAAATAAGCTAAGACAGATGTTTAGTTTTATTAAATGCTTTCTTTTCTTATTGATAAGATCATGTTATTTTTATTCCTTATTCTGTTAATGTGGTGCATCACATTTATTGATTTGCATATGTTGAGCCATCCTTGCATGCCAGGAATAAAGCCCACATGGTCATGGCGTATGACCCTTTTGTGCTATTGAATTCAGTTTGCTAGTATTTTATTTAGGATTTTGGATCTATGTTCAATAGGGAAATTGGCATGTAGTGATCTTTTCTCATGGTGTGTTTGTTGGGATTTAGTGTCAGGATAGTGCTTGCCTCATACAATAAGTTTGGAAGTATTCCCTCCTCTTCAGTTTTTTGGATGAGTTTGAGAAGAATTCATATTAATTCTTATTTAAATGTTTGGTTGGTAGAATTTGCCTGAGAAGCCACCAGGTCCTGGGCTTTTCTTTGTTAGGAGGTCTTTGATTACTGATTCAATTTCCTTACTCATTATAGATCTGTTTAAACTTTCTATTGCCTTATGATTCAGGCTTGGTAGGTTGTATATTTCTAGGAATTTATCCATTCCTTCAAGGTTATCAAGTTTGTTAACATATAATTGTTCATAGTAGTCTCTTAATGATCCTTTTTATTGCTATGGCATCAGTTGTATGTTCTTTCATTTATAATTTTACTTATCTGTTGTTTCTGTTTTTTCTCCCTTTTTCCTTGGTCTACCTAAAAGCTTGTCAGTTCTTTTTTTTTTTTTTTTTGAGATGGAGTCTCACTCTGTTGCCCAGGCTGGAGTGCAGTGGCATGATCACAGCTCACTGCATTCTCCACCTCCCAGGTTCAAGTGATTCTCCTGCCTCAGGCTCCTGAGTAGCTGGCATTACAAGCACGTGCCACCACACCTGGCTGATTTTCGTATTTTTAGTAGAGACAGGGTTTCACCATGATGGCCAGGCTGGTTTTGAACTCCTCATCTCAGGTGATCCACTTGCCTCGACATCCCAAAGTGCTGGGATTGCAGGCGTGAGCCACTGCACCTGGCCAAAGCTTGTCAATTCTATCTTTTTGAAAAATCAACTTAATTTCATTGATTTTTTTCTATTCTCTATTTGATTTATTTTTCTGTAATCTTTATTATTTTCTTCCTTCTACTAACTTTAGGTTTAGTTTGTTCTTTTATTTCTCATTTCTTGAGGTGTAAAGTTAGGTTTTGTAATTGAAATTTGTCTTTTTGTTTTAAAATTAGGTGTTTATCCCGAACTTTCCTTTAGTACTGCTTTTGCTGCCTCCCATTAAGTTTGGTATATTGTGTTTTTGTTTTCATTTATCTCATGTTATTTTCTAATTTATTTTTTTATCCATTAGTTGTTCAATGGTGTATTGTTTAATTTTTACATATGTATGTTTTTTTCCAGTTTTTCTTCTGGTATTGTTTTTAGTTTCATTCCATTGTGGTTGGAAAAGATTCTTGATATAATTTAAATCATTTCAAATTTGTTAAGACTTGTTTTGTGACCTAACATGTGGTCTGTCCTGGGGAATGGTCCATGTGCACTTGAGAAGAATGTATATTCTGCAGTAGTTGGCTTGTGTATTTTGTATATGTCTGTTAAGTCCATTTGGTCCATTCTCCCTTGGGTTTTTTTTTTGTCTAGTTGTTCTATTTGCTATTGAAAGTAGGATTTTGAAGTTTCTTACTATTGAATTGCTGTCTATTTCTCCCTTCAGTTCTGTCATTATTAGCTTTATATATTCAGATGTCTGATGGGTGTGTATATAATTAATTGTTGTAACTCCTGGTGAAATGGCCATTTCATCATTATATAATATCATTATTTGTTTTTTGACTTAAAGTCTATTTTGTCTGATATTAGCATGTCATCCTGCTCTCTTTTGGTTACCATTTTAATGGAATAGCATTTTCTACTCCTTTACTTTTAGCCTATGTGTCAGTAAATACAAAGTGGGTATCTTGTAGATAGCATATAATTGGATTTTGTATTTTTATTAATTCTGCCACTCTGTTTTGAGAGTTTGCTTCTGTTTACATTTAAAGTAATTATTGATAGAGAAGGATTTACTACTGCCATTTTGTTAATTGTTTTCTGTTAGTCATGTAGGTCTTTTGTCCCTCTTTTCTTCTCTTGCTGTCTTCCTTTGTGTTTTATTGTTGTTAATTTTTGTATTAATATGCTTTCATTTTGTTCTCTTTTTGTACTTTTTTTTTTTTGAGACGGAATCTCATTCTGTCACCCAGGCTGGAGTGCAGTGGTGCGATCTCGGCTCACTGCAAGCTCCGCCTCCCGGGTTCAGGCCATTCTTCTGCCTCAGCCTCCCGAGTAGCTGGGACTACAGGTGCCCACCACCTCTCCTGGCTAATTTTTTGTATTTTTAATAGAGATGGGGTTTCACCACGTTAGCCAGGATGGTCTTGATCTCCTGACCTCGTGATCCGCCCACCTCAGCCTCCCAAAGTGCTGGGATTACAGGTGTAAGCCACGTGAGCCACCGCGTCTGACCCTTTTTTTGTGTATATAACTTCTAAAGGTATTTTCTTTGTGGTTTCCACAAAACATCTCATAATTATCATGGTCTATTTTAAGCTGATAACAACTGAACTTAAATCACATGCACTCTATACTTTTATTCCCCACTACACGTTTTACGTTATTGATTCACAATTTACAGTTATTTATATTGTGTATCCAGTAACATAATTTTAGCTATAGTTATTTTTAATATCTTTGTCTTATAACTTTTATACCATAATTAAAAGTGTCCAATTCACTTGCATTAAGGACATGACAAAATCACTTTTAAAATTTCTTTAAAATTTATTATTTGGCTGTCATTTTTTTCAATATTACTCTTGCACATACTTTAAAGAGTCAAAATAGTTCCAAAAAGCTCACTATTAAAAAACAACAATTTCCACATACACGATGGTTTTGGCTTCATTTCCCTTGCTCTTGAGGGAACCACTTTCAGCTCTTTCAATTCTCTATTTGTTCCAATTACATAATAATAATTTTGCTACTTTTTGATTTTTGTTTTACCACTGACTTCCCACCATGGAAGGTGGAGATTGATCTCTTTTTCAGTTTTCCTTTTGCCACATAGTAGCACTCTTTTACCCCCCATTCACGCCTCATGTTTATGTGATCATTTTGTTTAGATCAACATTCAGTGTTTGCATTATTCTGACTACGTAAATGAAATTCAGCTGAGCCAAATAATATACTTTTACTTTTCCCTGTATGCAGGGAAATGCAGGTAATTAATAGAAATTGGGGTTGGGCGTGGCGGCTCACACCTATAATCCTAGCACTTGAGAGGCTGACAGGGCAGAATCGCTTGAGCCCAGGAGTTCAAGACCAGCCTGGGCCACAAAGTGAGACCCCCGTTTTTATTTTAAAAGTTTTTTTAAAAAAGAAATTGTAGGTATCCTCTTGAGGTTGTGGTCTAAAGGTGAATAATTCCTTGATAAGTTCTAAGCTGTCCTAGTTCCTTGGTTAGTTGCAAGAGATGAGACTTGAGTAGAGCTTAGAGAACCTCTGTCTGGGCCATGCTGGATGACTGAGTTATACATCTCCTGTCTTTCCTACCCCTTTCTCTCTCCACACCTCTTTTTTACCCTCAGCGGATAGCAGGCTCCAAGCTCTCTCCCAGGCTCCAGTATTTTGGTCAGTCACTGAGTGGGGGCCAGGACCTCACAATGGATGGACTGGTAGACCTGACTGTAGGAGCCCAGGGGCACGTGCTGCTGCTCAGGTGAGAATGCCTTTTGGAGTCAACCGGACATTCTCCCTTGAAGGAATGTTTCCTGTTTGAAGGTCCCTGATGGTTTTCTGGTGTCCCTTTAGGTCCCAGCCAGTACTGAGAGTCAAGGCAATCATGGAGTTCAATCCCAGGGAAGTGGCAAGGAATGTATTTGAGTGTAATGATCAGGTGGTGAAAGGCAAGGAAGCCGGAGAGGTCAGAGTCTGCCTCCATGTCCAGAAGAGCACACGGGATCGGCTAAGAGAAGGTGAGGCTTGGTGGATGAGTCTCAAGAGGTTAAACGACCGAGGACATGAATGGGTGCTGCAATCCACTCTGCCCAGCCTTCTGGCTGTCCTGAACTGAGTTCTCACAGGCTCTGACAACCTTCTCCAAGCCTTACCTGAGTGAGCAGGCTATTGTCCTGCTGGGTAGGGAAGTCCAGTGGACCTCCCTAAAGAGGTGAGCATGTGGCACTTCCTTACTCACTCAGTTCTCCAGAGAACTGAAGGCCCCATGCCTGTGAACAAACTATGTTTTTGTTTTTTAATAAACGGAGAGAAAACCTATTTGGGGAGATTGAATTGATGAAGCTAAACAGAGATTTACAAAGCACTCACATACGCATTTTATCACCAGTGACTTCTTCCCTTGTTCCTATTCTCAAAGAGTAGAACTGTGTTTGGGGTGGGAGAATAGTAATGACAATACTAAGAATAACTGTCTCTAGTAGTGACAGCACTAGGAATAACTGTCTCTAGTAATGACAGTACTAGAAAGAATTGTACCCTCTTTAAAAGTAAAATTATTAGCTAGGCATGATGGCATGTTCTTGTAGTCTCAGCTACTTGAGAGGCTGAGGTGGGAGGGGAGGATCACTTGAGCCCAGGAGGTTGAGGCCAGCCTGGGCAACATAGCAAGACCCATCCCTAAAAAATGATTACCTTTCTAGGAACAGTTTTCCTGTGCTGAGGAGATAGCATTCCAGATATGAGAGCAGCCAGCATGGCTAGAAATTAAGAGCAAAATGTTAGAGAGTAGGGAATTGAAGAAGAGGTACCCTTAAACCTACATAGAAGTCCCCCTCTACTCTTTGGCTGACTCTTAAGACACGAATGCCTAGGTCAGTACTCCAAGACACCCAGTAGAAAACAGCAACTGAAAAGCCAAAGAGCTGATCAGAGAATTCAGCAGCTCCTCAGTGCTGGGGAGACAGAGATTTGAGAGGCCTTGGTAAATACCTTGGTCTTTCCATTGAGACAACTGACTAGCAACCAAGAGAAACAATATACAATAGAAATAGACCCACAGGTGATTCAGAAATTAGAGTGATTGGATAGGAATTTTTAAAAGGTAACTATAATTAATATCTTCAAGAAAAAAGGGAAAGGATGAGAACTTCAGCAAAAACCTGGAATTCATAAAATAGAGTCAAATGGAAACTCTAGAACCAAAAATCGCACTGACTGAAATGAAGAATTCAGTAAATAGATTTATAGCAGATTAGAAGCAGAACAGAGAATTAGTGAACAAGAAGACAGTCATTTGAAAGTATCTGGATAAATATGCGATAAAAAGAAAGAAAAATACAGAAAAACACCATAAGAGATGTGTGGGATATGGTGAAAGATCTAACAAACATGTAATTGGAATTACAGAAAGTGGTGGTGGGGGAGGAGAGAGAGAGAGAGAGAAAGAAAATAGGAAAGATGGAATAGGAAAGACAGAATAGGAAAGATGGAATAGGATGGAATAGGAAAGATGCAGTAGTTAAAGAATTTCCCCAAACTGGCCAGTCACGGTGGCTCACGCCTGTAATCCCAGCACTTTGGGAGGCCGAGGCAGGTGGATCACCTGAGGTCAGGAGTTTGAGACCAGCCTGGCCAACATGGTGAAACCCCATCTCTACTAAAAATACAAAATTAGCAGGTGTGGTGGTATGCGTCTGTAATCCCAGCTACTCAGGAGGCTGAAGCAGGAGAATTGAACCTG